>NC_000002.12:97489618-97792648 GCF_000001405.40 Homo sapiens
GAATTCAAATCTCTGTCAGCCCCAAAACACTGGCAGGGGTGGCTGGATGCCGAGGTCCTTCACTGGGCCAGACCCTGAGACATCCATACCAGGGAGAATTCAAATCTCTGTCAGCCCAAGAACACCGGCGGGGGTGGCTGGAGGCCCGATTGGGAGGTCACTCACTTGGCAGGACTTAAAGACCTCCATGCCAGGGAGAATTCGAATCTCTGTCAGTCCCAGAACACTGACAGGGGTGGTTGCAGGCCCCAGTTGGGAGGTCCCTCACTGGGTGGGACCTGGAGACCTCCATTCCAGGGAGAATTCAAATCTCTGTCAGCCCCAGAACACTGGTGGGGGTGGCTGGAGGCCCCAGTTGGGAGGCCCCTCACTGGGCCACACCCCAAGACCTCCATGCCAGAGAGAATTCAAATCTCTGTCAGCCCCAGAACACTGGAGGGGGTGGCTGGAGGCCCCAGTTGGGAGGTCCCTCACTGGGCAAGATCCTGAGACCTCCATGCCAGGGAGAACTCAAATCTCTGTCAGCCTGAGAACACCGGAGGGGGTGGCTGGGGACCCCAGGTAAAAGGACCCTCATTGGGCAGGACCTTGAGAACTACGTGCCAGGGAGAATTCAGATCTCTGTCAGCCCTGGAACACCAGCGGGGGTGGCTGGAGGCCATGGTTGGGAGGTCCCTCACTGGGCCAGACCCTGAGGCCTTCATGGCAGGGAGAATTCAAATCTCTGTCAGCCCCAGAACACTGGCAGGGGTTGCTGGAGGCCTCGGTTGGGAGGTCCCTCTCTTGGCAGGACCTCAAGACCTCCATGCCAGGGAGAATCCAAATCTGTCATCCTGAGAACACTGGCGGGGTGGGCATAGCAAGGTGCTCTACCAAAATGTGGCCATACTGGGTCTTTAAGAAGGTCTGTGATCCATTCCTCCTCACTGGGCGGGACCTCCCAACCGGGCCTCCAGCCACCCCCACCAGTGTTCTCGGGCTGGCAGAGATTTGAATTCTCCCTGGCATGGAGGTCTGGAGGTCCTGCCCAGTGAGGCACCTCCCAACCGGGGCCTCCAGCCACCCCCACCAGTGTTCTGGGGCTGACAGAGATTTGAATTCTCCCTGGCATGGAGTTCTGGAGGTCCTGCCCAGTGAGGCACCTCCCAACCGGGGCCTCCAGCCACCCCCGCCAGCGTTCTGGGGCTGACAGAGATTTGAATTCTCCCCAGCATGGAGGTCTCGAGGTCCCGCCCAGTGAGGGACCTCCCAACAGGGGCCTCCAGCCACCCCCGCTGGTGTTCTCAGGCTGACAGAGATTTGAATTCTCTTTGGGATGGAGGTCTTGAGGTTCCATTCAGCGAGGGACCTCCCAATAGGGGCCTTGAGACACTCCCGCCAGTGTTCTGGGGCTGACAGAGATTTGAATTCTCTCTGGCATGGAGGTCTTGGGGTCTGGCGCAGTGAGGGACCTCCCAACTAGGGCCTCCAGCCACCCCTGCCAGTGTTCTGTGGCTGACAGAGGTTTGAATTCCCCCTGGTATGGAGGTCTTGAGGTCCTGCTTAGTGAGGGACCTCCCTACCGTGGCTTCCAGCCACCCTCGCCAGTGTTCTGGGGCTGACAGATATTTGAATTATCTTTGGGATGCGGTTCTTGGGGTCCCTTCCAGTGAGGGACCTCCCAACCGGGGCCTCCAGCCACCCCCACCAGTGTTCTGGGGCTGACAGAGATTTGAATTCTCTCTGGCATGGAGGTCTTGGGGTCTGGCCCAGTGGGGGACCTCCCAACTGGGGCCTCCAGCCACCCCCACCAGTGTTCTGGGGCTGACAGAGATTTGAGTTCTCCCTGGCATGGAGGCCTGGAGGTCCAGCCCAATGAGGGTCCTTTCAGCTGGGGCCTCCAGCCACCCACACCGGTGTTCTCAGGCTGACAGAGATTTGAATTCCTGGAATGAGTTCCCACGCGCAAGAGCAAGGAGCCATCTTTGCTGTTTGTGCAACTTAGTCGTTACAGCCCGCGGGCTCTGGAGAATCCATACCTACCGGGGCAGAAGGGATATATCATCAGCACAGCACAGCTACTCTACAAAATCTTAGAAGGCAGATTCTTTTACCAGGTTCCTGATCCATTCCTCCTTACTGGGCAGGACCTCGACAACTCCTTCCCGGGGAGAATGTAAATCTCTGTCAGCTCGAGAACACCGGTGGGGTGGTGGAGGCCCCAGGTGGGAGGTCCCACCCAGAGAGGAGGAAAGAATCAGGGATCTGTGTAAAGAATCTGCCTGGCCACTATTTGGTAGAGCAGTTGTGATGTGCTGGGGGATCCCTTCCACCCCCAGTCATTTGGGACTCTCCAAAGCTGGCCCCATCCTCTCCCCCAGGCCCCAGTTGGAAGGACTCCCACTGGGCAGGAACTCCAGAACTCCCTCCCAGGGAGAATTCAAATTCCTCTCAGCCCCAGACACCAGTGGGGTAGCTGGAGGCCCTGGTTGGGAGGAACAGATTGGGAATCCCCTTAAAGATTCTGTCTGGGGCCGGCCACGGTGGCTCATGCCTGTAATCCCCATACTTCGGGAGGCCCAGCAGGGTGGATCACTTGAGGTCAGGAGTTCCAGACCAGCCTGGCCAACATGGTGAAACCCCATCTCTACTAAAAATAAAAAAATTCGCTGTGCGTGGTGATGGGCACCTGTAGTCCTAGCTACTTGGGAGGCTGAGGCAGAAGAACTGCTTGAACCAGGGCTGTGATGGGTGCTGTAAGCCGAGATCATGCCACTGCACTCCAGCCTGGGTGACAGAGCAAGACTCCTTCTCAAAAAAAAAAAAAAAAAAAAAAAAAAAAAAAAGGATCTGGGCACATGTTGGGAGAGCAGCTGTGCTATTCTAGGGATCCCTTCTACCCCACCAGTTTGCACTGTCCAAAGCCCACAGGCTGGAATGGCTGTGTCACCCAAACAGCAAAGATGGCGGCCAGCTCCTCCCCTGGGAAACTCATCCCAGGGAGCTCCAGCATCCTTGGCACAAGCTGGCAAGTATTGGCTGAAATGACAGGTGCCCTGGAGAAATTTGAAAGGGTTATCCACATCCGGCTGCTGATTATTTTCACAATTTTCCTGAGATGTCGTTATCATTCTTTGACTCTCCTTTCTATAGTCAGACATTTGGCTCTCAGAGGTGACTTTCTGGCTGAAGAATGTGGATTCGTCACTGTCTTGTGCTCAATGTAGAGGGGGCTCTTAATTCCAGAAATGTCCATATCTGATGAAAGAAAGCGAAGAATGAAACAAAAAGAGATATGTACCGTATTCATAAGTAGATTCAATGCTCTTAATTCCAGAAATGTCCATATCTGATGAAAGAAAGCGAAGAATGAAACAAAAAGAGATATGTACCGTATTCATAAGTAGATTCAATGCTATTAAGATGTCAGTTCTTTCCAATGTATAGATTCAATGCAATTCTACTCTAAATGAAAATGTTTATATGGAGAGGCAAAAGACCTTGAATAGCTAACACCATATTGAAGGAGAAGAACAAACTTGGAGGACAGACACTACTCAATTTCAAGACTTACCCTAAAGCTACAGTAATGGAGACAGTGTGGTATTAGTGAAAGAACAAACGGATAAAATGAGATAGAGAGTTCACAAATAGAAACACATTAATACATTCGATTAATTTTTGACAAAAAAGTAAAGGCATTATGATGATGAAACAGTTTTTTCAGGAAGGGCTGCTGGAATACCTGGATATCCACATGCAAAAAAAAAATAAATTGCAGACCTTACACCCCCACCAAAATTAACTCAAAATGGATCAGCAACATAAATATACAAAAAACTATAAAATTTATAGAAGATAATATAGAAGGAAATACAGATTATCTTGGGTTTAATGATGACCTTTAGAAAAAACACCAAAGTTGAAGTCAATAGAAGAAAGAATTGACAAGCTGGACTTGATGAAAATGTAACATTTTTACACCATTAAAGACACTGAAAGAAAAGAGAAACCACAGATGGAAAAAAATTTGCCAAAACGTATCTGATTAAGAACTATTATTCAAAACATATTAGTATTCTTAAAGCTGAGCAGTAAAAGACATGAGCTAAAGACCTTAACAAGTACCTCACCAAGTAAATTATACAAATGGAAAATAAGCATATGTAATGAGGCTACACATAATATTTCCTCAGAGAAATGCAACCATGAGATGCCACTGCACACGTATTAGAATAACCAAAATCTAGAACCACTGACAACATCAAACGCTGGCAAGGATGTGGAGCAAGAGGAAACTTCATTCATTGCTTGTGGGAATGCAAAATGGTGCAGTCACTTCTTGAAAGTTGTATTCTATGTACCTCAACAGCATGGCCTTCACTGTTCATATTCCTATTATCATTTTGGTCGACCACTTAACCAAGGTCTAATTAAGTTCCACAAGTTTCCTCATCTTCCTGTCTTCTTTGCCTATTACCCAGTTCCAAAGCAAATTCTGCATTATCAGGTGTTTTTATAGCAAAACCCCACTCCTTGGTACTAATTTCTGTGTTAGCAACACAGAATAACACAGAAAAGAGCAACACGGAAAAACACAAATTTTTGTGTTGCTATAAAAAAATAGCTGAGACTAGGTAATAAGGTATAAGGAACAGGTATAAGACTAGGTATAAGGAACAGAGGTTTGTTTGGCTCACAGTTTTGCAGGCTGTAGAAGAAGAATGGCAGTGGCATCTGCACAGCTTCTGGTCAGGGACCCAGAAGGCTTTTACTTGTGGCTAAAGGTGAAGAGACAACGGGTATGACACACATGGCTAGAGAGGTAGGAAGAGAGGGGAGAGGTGCCACACTGTTTTAAACAACCACCTTTCGTGTAATGCAGTGAGAACTCACTCATTAGTGAAAAAAGGGCAAAAAGCTATCCAGGAGAGATCAACCACCATGACCCAAACACCTCCCACTAGGTCCCACCTCCAACATTGGGGATCAAATCTCGACACAATATTTGGAGGGTACAAATTTGCAAACAATATCACTCTCTTTTTGTCTTTAACTTTGGACAATTTGATTATAGTGTATCTTGTTGTGAGTCCCTGGATTCACCTTATTTGGTTTCCTTTGGGCTTTCTGGATCAGGCTTTCTGTTTTCTTCCCCATGCTTGATAAATTCTCTGTCATTATTCCTTTAAACACTTTTCCGTTCCTTTCTTCCTCACTTCTCCTTCAGGCATGCCAATAATGTGTGAGTGGTCCTGCTTGATGGTGTCCCATAACTCTCTAAAGTTGTCTTCACTCCGTTTGCATTATCTTTTTTTCTGATCCTCAGGTTAGATAATTTCCAGTGACCAGTCTCAAAGTTCACTGATAGATTCTATTAATGGACACCTCTATTAAATTTTTTCAGTTCAGTTACAGTACACTTTAGATCTATGATTTGTTTGACATTATTGTATAACGTTTTTCCTTTTCTTGAAGTTCTCAACTTGTTCTTGCAAAGCTATCTTGACCTCAGTGATTATTGTTATGACCATTATTTGGAAATCTCTGTCAGATAAATTACATATCTGCACTTCACTCAGGTGCTGGAGATTTATCTTGTTTTCTTGCTTTGAATATATTTCCCTGTTTCTTCATTTTTCCTCGACTCTCTCTGTTGGTTCCCGTGCATTTGATAAGACTGGCCTCATGTAGGAAAAGGATCTCACCAAACTTTCCAGCCAGAGATCTTCAGGTACCTCTCAAGTCCTTGTGTGCTCTAGTATTGACTGTTTTTGGTGGCTCCCTGGAACTTAGGATGTGCCACGCCTTGTCAGTAACCAGAAATTGGTTAAGGTAGGAGCCAGACAATCCAGATGTAGCTAGAAAGTTAGAAGGCTGGAGGAGTGTTTCAGTTCTTTCTAGCTACATGATGAAGATTAGTATGGACATTTATCTCCCACTCTCTCTCCATTAAGCTTGGTAGAGGATCTGTGACAAACACCTATGCACACTCTGGATGCAGCCTCTGATCCTGAGGAGATAGCTTCTGAATGTGGGCCCATTGTATGCTTACTTCTTTGTTTTCTATGGTCTAAATACATTCAAAAATACAAAATCCTGTCGACTCACAGAGCAGAGTTCTTAAGAAAACAGTTCCTTGGGCACTAACCACGGAGGTTGTAGAATTTCAATGCATAATCAAGCTCCTTCTGGGAGCTTGATTCAATGCATAATCAAGCTCCTTCCGGGAAGAATGGGTAGGCTTGGATTTATTACTGGGTTGAACCCGACATAAGACTGGTAGTGTCAAACTATGGTTCCATCTGCCAGATGAATTATACTTTGTAAGCCACATTAGCCCCCATGATGCCAGTATTTAAATACAAAGCTAGAAATGATTAATAGGGTGAGAAAAGCATGTTGAAAGCTCAGATAGGCTGAAAGCTAGGCAACTTACATCAAACAGTAAACTAAGCTGTGAATGCAAAAAAAAAAAAGTTCTTAAAGGAAATTAAACAGACTACTCCAGTGAATGCACAAATGATAAGTACAATGGTATTATTGCTGATGTGAAGACAGTTTTAGTGGTCTGGATAGAAAATCAAATGAGCCACAACATTTCGCTAAGCCAAAGCTGAATCCAGAGCTAAGCCTTAGTAACATTCTTTAATTCTATGAAGTCTGACACAGGTGAGGAGGCTGCAGAAGACAAGTTTAAAGCTAGCAGAGGTTGGTTCATGAGGTTTAAGAAAAGAATCTTCATAACATAAAAGTGCAAGGTAAAGCAGCCAGTGCTGATAGAGAAGCTGCAGCAAGTTATCCAGAAGATCTAGCTAAGATCATTGATGAGGGCAGTTATGCTAAATAACAGATTTTCAATGTAGACAAAACAGCATTATACTGGAAGAAGAGGATACCTAAAACTTTCACAGCTATAGAGGAGAAGTCAATGCCTGGCTTCTAATCTTCAGAGGACAGGCTGACTCTTTATGTACTGGCTAATGCAGCTGGTTACATTAAAACATTAAAGGCAGTACTCATTTACCATTCTGCTACATTTTTAAGTTCTTCTAAACCTATGCTACCTATACTCTATAAATGAAACAACAAAGCCTGGATGAAAACACATCGTTTACAGTATGGTTTACCAAATATCTTAAGCACACTGTTGAGACCTATTGTCCAGAAAACGTGTGTGTGTGTGTGTTTGTGTGTGTGTATACGTGTATGTGTGTGTATGTATATATGTGTGTGTATATATATATATATATATATATATATCTTTTAAAATATTACTGCTCATTGACAATGCACTCATAACCCAAGAGCTCTGATGGAGTTGTACAAATAGATTAATGTTGTTTTCATGCCTGCTAACACAGCATTCATTCTGAAGCCCATGGATCAAGGACATTTTATTATTTAAGAATACATTTTGTAAGCCTATACCTGCCATAGACAATGATTCTTCTGTGTATCTGCACAAGGCAAATTAAAAATCATCTGGATTTTTTTAGAAAGCAATCACTATTCTAGATGAAATTAAAGATATTTGTGATTCCTTGGAGGAGGTCAAAATATGAAGTTTGGAAGAAATTGATTTCAGCCCTCATAGATAGCTTGCAGGGTTTCAAGACTTCAGTGGAGGAAGTAACTGTGAGTGTGATGGAACTAGGGAGAGAACTAAGAGTAAAACTGGAGCCTGAGCCTGTGACTGAATTTCTGCAGTTTCATGATCAAACTTGAATGTACTAAAAGTTGTTTCTTATAGCCCATCCATCTGAGATGGAATCTATTCCTCGTGAAGATACTGTAAACACTGTTGAAATGACAAAAAAACACCTATCTTATTATACAAACTGAGTTGATAAAGCGGTGGCAGCATTAGATAGGATCGACTCTCATTTTGAAAGGTGTTCTACTGTGAGGTAAAATGCTATCCAACAGCATGGCACACTACAGATAAACCTTTCATCAAAGGAGTCAAGTGATGCAGCAAACTTTACTGTTGTTTTATTTTAAGAAATCGCCACAACCACCTCAATCTGCAGCAACCACCACCTTAATCATTCAGCAGCCATCAACACAGAGGAAAGACTCTTTATCAGCAAAAATTAAAATTCACTGAAGGCTCAGATGATCATTTGCATTTTTAGCAATAAAGTAGTTTTTAAAGTATGTAATTGTAGACATAAGGCTATTGCACACTTTATAGACTATGGTATAGTGTAAAAAACTTTTATATGCAGTGTAAAACCAAAAATTCAAGTTCTTATTACATTGTGGTTGCCTGGAATCACACCTGCAATATCCCTGAAGTATGCCTGTACAAGAAATCATGGATAACATACTAAAATAAATTTGGGAAACAATTCATTAACAGAATGATAGTTCTGAAGTAGAAATAGATATGATAACAAAAAAACAAATAGAAATTCTAGATATAGAGAATACAACAAACTAAAAATTTAATACAATGCTTCAGCAGCTGATTTTATTAGCAGAAAAAAAGAATCAGTGAGCTTAAAGAAAAAACATTTGAAATGATTCCATCGGGGAAAAACAACAACAAAAAAGAATAACAAATGCCTATGGCAATTATGGGACTCAATCAAACAACCCAACTTTCATATAATATCAGTTTCTGAAGGAGAAGAAAAAGAAAAAGGCCTAGAAAGCATATTTAATGAAATAATGACTAAAAATTTCCCAAACATGAAGAATGATGACAACATTGAGGTATGAAAACTGCAGAGGTCATGAATCCATTTCAATCCAAGAGGCATTTATCAACACACATCACAATGAAGTTATTAAAAATGAAAAACAAAGAATACTGAAAACAGCAAAAAAACAAGAAATACATCACATTCAAGGGAGCTTCAATATGGCTTTCAGTGGATTTCTCTGCAGAAAACCCTACAGTCCACGAGAGAGGGATGATGTATTCAAAATGCTAAAGCAAACAAGCAAGCAAACAAACAAAAATGCCAATCAACAATACTGTTCCCGGTTGGGTGAACTGGCTCATACCTGTAATCACAGCAGTTTGGGAGGCCAAGGCAGGTGGATCAGGAGGTCAGGAGTTCAAGACCAGCCTGGCCAACATGATGAAACCCCATCTCTACTAAAAATACAAAAATTAGCTGGGCATGGTGGCATGGGCCTGTAATCCCAACTACTCGGGAGGCTGAGGCAGGAGAATTGCTTGAACCTGGTAGGCAGAGATGGCAGTGAGCAAGCTTGAACCTGGGAGGCGAGATCACACCGCTGCACTCCAACCTGGGTGACAGAGCAAGACTCCATCTTGAAAAAAAAATGCTGTGCCTAGCAAAGCTGTCCTGTAGAAATGAGGGAGAGGGAGATATAAAAACCTTTCTATACAAAAAAAAACTAATAAAATTTATAATCAATATCCCTGATTGATCAGAATTACTAAAGGAAGAGCCTTGCATTGAAATAAAAGGCTAAATAGTAAGAAAAAACACATAAAAGTAAAAAGCGTCAATGCTATCAGTAATACACAGTCATGTTCCAAATGCTCTAATATTCTAAGGGTGGTTTGTAAAGCAATTTTATCCCTACTAGTAGGGTTAGCAGACAAAGGTATTGAAAATAACTGTAGCTACAATAAATTGCTAAGGTATATAAGTATGAACTAAAAGGGTAAGTTTTGACATAAAATTGTACAATTGTAAGGGAGAGAGAATGAAAATGTAGACTTTTGGATGCAATTAAAGAGAAGTTGCTATCAGAAGTTGTTAGAGTAGTTTGTTATAAGAATATGATATTTTAGGTAAGTTTCATGATAACCACAAAACAAAACCTATCATAACTGCACAAAATAAAAAAGTTTATTTTGCAATTTATCCAAAATTTTAAAGCATACCACCACAGAAAGCCATCAAGCTATAAAATAGTTCAGCAAGAGAGAAAAAGGGAACAAAGAACTCATAAAACAATCAGAAAAAAAATTACAAAGTGGCAGTAGCAAGTCCTTCCCTATAAATAATTACCTTGATAGTAAGTGCATTACATTGTCAAATAAAAGGACATAGAGCATCTCAATGGATAGAATAAAAAACAAGATTCAATCATGTGCTGCCTACAAGAGACTCACTTTACCAGTCAAGACATATATAGGCTGAAACTGAAAAGATGAAAAAAGATATTCCATGCAAATGCAAACTAAAATAGAGCAGGGGAGCTATACTTACTATTAAAAGAAATAAACTAAGTCAAAACCTATAAAAGAGATAGGGTTCACTGCATAACGATAAAGGAGTTAATTCATCATGAAGACATAATACATGTAAATATATATGCACTCAAGGTCACAAGACCTAAATTCATAAAGCAATTATTAAATAATCTCATGAGAAAAATATACTGCAATACTATAATAGTAGGAGACCTCAATACTCCAATTTCAACCATGGAAAGATCATTTAGAAAGATAATAAATTAAGAAACATTAGATTTGAATCACACTTTGGAGCAACTGGATCTAACAGATATACCCAGAACATCCTATCCAACAGCAGAAGTGTACCTGTTCTTCTGAAATGTGGGTGGAACATTCTCCAGTATATGTCATATGTTAGGCCACAAAACAGATCTTAACAAATATTAGAGAATTGAATTATAGAAAGAAAATTTTTGCATCCCAATGGCATAAAGCTAGAAATCCGTAACAGAAGAAATCTTGAAAAATACATAAAATAGCAAAATTTAACATATTCATAAATGGCCCATGAGTTACAGAAAAAATTTAAAAACATATTTTAAGACACACAAAAATGAAAACACAACATACCAAAACTTACAGAATGTAGTTAAATCAATCATTATACCTCAATGAACTAGATGAGAAACAAAGCCAAGAATTAGCAGAAATAAGAAAATAGCAAAGATTAAAGTGGAAATAAATAAAATAGATATGAGAAACCCAATGGAAAGAATTAATACTGAACTTCTTTTTAAGGCGATAAACAAAATCAACCAATCCGTATCTAGACTAACTAGAAAAAGGACTATTCCAACAAATAAGATCAGAAATGAAATAGGAGAAATTACAACTTTTAACTCTAAAATACAAAGGATTACAATTGTTCATATAATGAACATTTGTATGCCAACAATTTGGATAACATGGAAGAAATAAAAACATTTCCACAAACATACAACTTACCAAGACTGAATCAAGAAGAAACAGAAAATCTGAATGGACTAATAAATAATAAGGAAATTGAAGCAGAATTTTTTTTTTTTTGAAGCGGAGTTTTGCTTTTGTTGCCCAGGGTAGAGTGCAATGGCACAGTCTCAGCTAACTGCAGCCTCCGCCTCCCAGGTTCAAGCAATTCTCCTACCTCAGCCTTCCAAGTAGCTGGGGTTACAGGCGCCCACCACCACACCCATCTGATTTTTTGTATTTTTAGTAGAGACAGGGTTTCACTACTTTGGCTAGGCTGGTCTCGAACTCCAGACCTCAAGCAATCCACCCACCTCAGCCTCCCAAAGTGCTAGGATTACAGGTGTGAGCCACCAAGCCTGGCCTGAAGCAGAAATTAAAAGCCTCCCATGAAAGAAAAGCATAGGACCAGAAGGCTTCACTGCTAAATTCTGACAAACCTTTAAAGAACTAATACTAATTACTCTCAAACTCTTTCAAAAAAGTGAAATAGAGGAAATACTTCCAAACTCATTTTATTAGGGTACCATCATTCCGATACCAAAGACAGACAAGGACACTACAAGAGACGAAAATACTAGGCCAATGTCAGTAACGAACCCTGATTCAAAAATCTTCAACAAAACATTAGCAACCAAATTTAAGAATATATGAATGGAATCATTCACCATGATAAAGTGGGATTTATCCTTTGGATGCAAGTTGGTTTCAACATATGCATATGAATACATGTGATAAAATGCATGAACAAAGTCAAAGACAAAAATCATACGATTCTCTCAATACATGCAGAAAAAGCACATGACAAAATTTAAAACCCTTTCATGATGAAAGCTCTCAACAAATTAAGTGTAGAGAAAATGTATCTCGACACAAAAAAGAACCGTGTATGACAAGCTCTTAGCTAACATTATTCTCAACAGTGAAAAGTGGAAAGCTTTTCCTCCATGTTCAGAGACAAGACAAGGATGACCAGTCTCACCACTTCTTTTCATCGTTAACAGTGGAATTCCTAGGCAGAACAATTAGACAAGAAAAGAAAAGCATCCTACTCAGAAAAAAGTGAAATTATCTCTAATTGCAGACAACATGATCCTGTATACAGAAAACCCTAAATATTCCACCAAAAACTGTTAGAACTGATGCATGAATTCGATAAGGTTTCAGGATACAAAATAATCTAACAAAGATCAGAAGTGTTTCTGTATACAAATAACAAACTACCTGAAGAAATTTTTTAAAAATCCCAAGTATGATAGCAACAGAAATTAAATACTTAGGTGTAAATTTAAGCAAAAAATTAAAGGTCCTGTATATGAAAAACTATAAAACACCAATGAACAAAAATTTAAAAACACAAGTAAATGAAAAAAAAATTCATGCTTGTGGATGGGATGAATTAATATTGTGAAAATGAACAAAATACCAAAAGCAACATATTTGATGCAATCACTATCAAAATTCCAATGCCATTCTTTTACAGAAATGGAAAAAAATCTTGACATTTGTATTGAACAGACCTAAAATAGACAAAATAATCTTGAGCAAAAAGAACAAAGCTAGAGACAGCATGCTACCTAATTTTATTACATACTGTAAAACAATTGTAATCATGGTAGTGGCATATAAATGGACAAATTTGCTAAACAAAATGGAAAACCCAGAAATAAATCCACACACGTCAACTTATCTTTGACAAAGGTGCCAAGGACATACAATGGTTAAAGGATAGTCTGTTCTACAAATGGTGTTGAGAAAACTGAATATCCACAGGAAAAATAAAGTTAGTCCCTTAACTTACACCACATACTAATATCAACTCCAAATGAAGATTTAAATAGAAGGCCTGAACTGTAAAATTACTAGAAGAAAACATAGAGTTAAAGCTCCACAACACTGGTCTCAGCAATACTGTTTTTGATGCAACCCTGATAGCAGTCAACAAAAGCAGAAATAGACAAATTTCTTGTGGCTTAGTTTTGAATTTCTGGTCATTTACTCAATCTGGTCATTACTTTCCCACACTTCATGGTTACAAGTACCAGCCAAGACATGGATCCACCTTCCTACTGCAGTATCTGAAAATCACTGTCTGTTCTATCCTCGGCCTGACCCTCTCTGGCATTCTCGGGATCTACATTTTGATGGAAATGTAATGCTCTGGAACCCTAGGCATATATGAACCAGAAACATGTATGCAGACTCTACTTACCGACAGCAACATAGTTGGAAATACAGTAATCACAGTTGGATAGGAACAAATATTTTATATCTCTTTCTTAGAGATCTGGATTCCACTAAAACGGATTCATGGATGTCAGGGCATTAGGGGTGTGGACTGATAACAAACCTCTCCTTTTTCAGTGCCAAACCAACTTAGAAATAAAAACAAAAGGTCAGATCAATATCCAAATACATTATTCCTCCTAAAGCTGATTTAGAAACTATGGCTTAATGTTGACCAAAAAAGACTTCTAATATTGCCCCCTAGCCTTGACTTTAGAACCTGAACAAAAAAAAGTTCATCTGAAGAACAGTCAGTTACCCACCCAGTGCAGGGAGGGTCTTCACCTGCCTTCCAAGTCTCCTGTTCAGAATCCAGAGGAGAAAGAGAGACTAGATGTACTCATTGATCACTGAGTAAGTTTGCCTTACTAATAGGCAAACGTGGACCAATGGATTTGATGGGACCAATGGATAAGATTTCCCATCCACCAAATAAGTCACATCTTCTCCTGGCTCTGGGAATGAGCCAGATAAAGGTGAAGAGTTGGCAGTGTTTCTACTCAATATTTGTGAGAAGACCGAAGGTGTTGTCAATGGGTAGATAGAACTGGAATGAGGTGGGAAAGTTTTACTCGTTTGACCAACTTCTTTTTATTCAAGTTGTATATGCTGAAGGTAGCCGCTAGAAGAATTGACTTCTGGAAAGATGATTCCCCTCACAATTGCTTGATCTTGAGTATTTTTATTTTTGTGTTAAAGAACTGATGTTGGTTTGTGTACACTGAAATAATGGGGGGAAGCTCTGTATGGAAGGAAAAGAAAGTTTCCTTTCTTTTCTAGAGCCGTCTGTTCAGGTTATCGGAGTCTCCCTATTCATGGGATGAGTGTCCACAACAAACTCCACAATCCTGTGTCTGCTCATTGAAGGTATGTATCAGAGTGACACTTGGAAGCATGGTATAAAGAGGAAATATGCATTTGTCAAATGAAAAATTAAAATATAAGAAAAAGTTTAAAAGGAAAAACAGAATGAGAAGGGCAGGGGCTTGATTAGAGTTTTGTCAACTGGGACAAACTTTGCAGTTTTAGTCAAATATTGCCATCTTTCTAGTGGAAGACTTTGACATGTAAGTTCTAGATTATACTTTCATTTATAAATAACTGTGTAGCTTAATGAGATGGCCCCTGTTAGTATCTTAGGCCATCTATTGAAGGTTTACTAAATTCTTCCAAGGCACGTGAGTCTGCTCCTCAGCAAAGCAGTGACAAACCTGCTTTTCCCTGGTTTCCCCAACTATGTAAAACCTTATTAAAGAATTCCTGAACAATATAAAGTTCCCTCAGCAAGACGGAACTTCCCAAGCTCTTGTCTCAGGAGAGAATGTGGATTATAGAAAGATTGTGGGTGTGAGTGGAGTGGGAAGTTATTTAGGTAGTAAGATTTTCAGGCTCGGTGCAGTGGCTCACACCTGTAATCCCAGCACTTTGGGTGGCCGAGGCGGGCAGATCACAAGGTCAGGAGATGGAGACCATCCTGGCTAACAGGGAGAAACTCCATCTCTACTAAAAATACAAAAAAAAACTAGCTGGGCACCTGTAGTCGCAGCTACTCGGGAGGTTGAGGCAGGAGAACCGCGTGAACCCAGAAGGCGGAGCTTGCAGTGAGCCAAGATCTCGCCACTGCACTGCAGCCTGGGTGACAGAGCCAGACTCCGTCTCAAAAAAAAAATAATAAAAAAATAAAAAGTTAAAGAGGCCAAGAAACATCATTTAAAACACGATATAAATTTTCATCAGACATAAAAGATAAAAAATATTTTCATTTAATAAATACTTTTGCATGTCACACATTTAACGGGAAACAAAATATCATGTTAACAGCCTAGTAATACAATTTTATTGTCTTAGATTTTTTTCGTCAGCATGTATTCTTTCTGTTTTGTTTTGCATTTGAGATGGAGTCACTCTGTTGCTCAGGCTGGAGTGCAGTGGCACGATCTTGGCTCACTGAAACCTCTGCCTCCCGGGTTCAAGTGATTCTCCCACCTCAGCCTCCCGAGTAGCTGAGACTACAGGCATGCACCACCACACCCAGCTAATTTTTGTATTTTTAGTAGAGACAGGATTTCACCATATTGGCCAGGCTGGTCTTGAACTCCTGACCTCAAGTGATCCACCTGCACTGGCCTCCCAAAGTGCTGAGAATACAGGCATGAGCCACTGCAGCCAGACAGCACATATTCTTGTTATGCTTTTAAAACTAGTTATTGATTTAAATTTTACTCATTAGTAGATTCTAGTGCAGAAGCTATAGAGCAGCAGTCCCCAGCCTTTTTGGCACCAGGCAGCAGTTTTGTGAAAGATAATTTTTCCACAGATGGGGGTTTGGGGGATGGTTTCAGGATGGTGATTCAAGCGTATTACATCTATTGTGCACTTTATTCCTATTATGACTACATTGTAATACATAATGAAATAATTACACAACTCATCATAATGGAGAATCAATGGGAGTCCTGAGCTTGTTTTTCTGTAACTAGATGGTCCCATCGTGAAGAGATAGGAGACAATGACATATCATCAGGCATTAGAGTCTCATAAGGAGCATGTGACCTAGATCCCTTGAACGAGCAGTTCACAGTAGGATTTTCACTCCTGTGAGAATCTAATGGCTTTGCTGATCTGACAGGAGGCAGAGCTCAGGTGATAATGTGAGCAACAGGGAGTGGCTGGAAATACAGATGAAGCTTCACTCGCTTGCCTGCCACTCACCTCCTGCTGTGCAGCCTGCTTCCTAACAGGTCATGGAACTGTGTGTGGCCTGGGAGTTGGGGACCCCTGCTATAGAGGATTCAGATTTAAATTCAGAAGTTAGAATGAAAAAGAATTATATTCTTTATCTAAATGATTTCACAGTTAACTAAGAGAAAGTCAGTATATGCTGAAAAGCTTATCAGTGTTAATAAGAATGAAAAATATGTACAATATGCAATTACTATTAAATATAATTTGCCCATAGTTGCACACCGAATTCATTATCATGGCAGTTAAGTATCAGAGCTTCTGGTTTCTCACTCTTCGTTCATGTATTCAGCAACCATGTGCTAAGGTACTAGGACAAGCACTGGAATTACAAGATAAAGATGATACGGTCCGCCCCTCAACAACTGTATGCTATAATCTGAAAAAACAAACAGGCAATTCCCATACAGAGTCATACATACAATGACAAGCATAAGACAGCACTTATTGGAAGACATAGAAGGGATACTAGCCCAGGTTTGTGTCAATATTGTAGGCTTTTTGGTAGAGGCAATTCATAGGTTGATATCTGAAGGGGAAGGAAAACACATGTAGGATAGAGGGAAGAAGTAAATGCAAACAGCTGGAGGTGAAGACGATCACTGTGGAGCTCCATGTAGTCTAGTTTGGCTGGATGCTAGAACAAAGGTGTAGAGTATGGTAAGTGGCGAAAGATAAGGCTGAATAACTTGACAAGAACCACACTGATGTGAGAGTTTTGATTCCATGCTAAGGAATTTTCAACTTTTCCCAGGGGCAAAAGTAAACCAATGACAAAGTCAATGACTAGAGATTTAAAATGTCACTGGTCAAGTGACTGCTTGTGACCTGTAATTGCTTAACTAATTATTATCACACGAGTGTGGGGTCTCTTAGCCTTAAATCACTACCTTAACCTTGAGAAGTTGATAATGCCTTTGTTTTGTGAGAACAGTTTCAGTGTGCAGGCTGATAGTCTATAGGGGTGGCAGAAGAAAAGTGTAGGGCCAGAAAAAAAGGGATACACAGATTTCTTGCGATTTTTTTAAAGCTATGAAACATGATGAATTAACAAAGCATAAGTACACCCTTCACTATGAATGTTTATGTTTTCACATCTTTCACTAGATGTGTGTAAGAAAAAATATTTAATGTAGCATTTATTAACCAAGCAATTGAGAGGGAATACCGTTCACTACTTAGAGTTTATTTCAGAAATCAATGATTTGAATTTAATTCATAAATTTTGGCAACATACCTTCATCTAGCTCTCAAACACCTGCAGCATCTGAAATAAATCAAATATTACTTATAATGTTTCAGTCAAACAAGAGACATTATCATGTAAACCCACTGTAAGTCAAGGAGCATCTGTACTGTAGATTGATCATCCCTAATCTAAAAATCTGAAATCCAAAATGCTCTACAATCTGAAACTTTTTGAGCACGGACATGACACCACAACTGCAACGTTCCACACCTGACCTCATGTGACAGGCTCTGGGGAAAACAGTAAAAACTTTCTTACCTGCAAAAAATTACTGTAAAACATTGTAGAGAATTACCTTCAGGCTATGTGCATAAGGTATATATGAAACACAAATGAATTTCATGTTTAGACTCAGGTACCATCCGCAAGATATTTCATTAGGTATATACAAATATTCCAAAATCTGAAAAAAATCTACTTTTGGTCCCAAGCATTTTGGACAAGGGATATTTAACCCATCCTACTGGAAAAATAAAATTCCTTTTCAGTATGACAGAAATTAAGAGATCAGCTTACCAAACTTGAATGCTGCAGGATTTTCTCAAGCCGCTCAATTTGGTCATCCTGTTTTTTAATAATTTTTCTCATCATCACATGTTCTACTTCAAGCCTAAAATGTGCATTTTAAAATAATTACTCTCACACGTAATTTTTTTTAAATCATGTAAATTCTAAACAAACTTCTGAAGGTATAATTACACAAATTCTTAGCAATCACAAAAGTAGACGATTGGGCTACTGTGTCATTTTCTACCTGTGTTTTGGTGATAATATGCAAAATTTAGGAATAATGTAGAAAAATGATGTATTTCGATATAGCTTACAAATGAAACTTTTTTGGCTTCACAAAGACATACTAATTATCATAACTGATACAATTTTCATACTACAGTGCTCTTTTGCTTTATAAATACTCAAGTTATTTTGTGTGCTGCTTCAAATTTTACTTTTGTGTGTCGCCTTCCATCTCCTTAGTACATCTTATAGTAGCTGTAAGTTGATCCTGTATTTCTTGAAACTGAAACAAAGAATTTTAAAAAATTACATTTGGAAATGACCTAAATGTCCATCAGTAGATGAATGAATCAACAAAATATATATGAAATATTTTAGACTATCACAATCTTTTTTATTTATAAAAGGTCATAATCTAGGAGAAATCATCCCATTACCTGTTTTTTGTAAGTAATTTTAGTGGGACACTGCTACACCCCTTCAGTCTGCATATTGTTCATGGCTACTTTTGTGCTGTAATTGCAGGGCCGAGTTATTGCAACAAGGATCTTATGGCTCACAAAGCCTTACATAATACTATCTGGCCCTTTACAGAAAAGTTCACAGACCCCTGCTCTAGGACTAAAACACAACATTCTTCTTGCTTTTGAATTACATTTTATCAATTAAATACTCAAACTTACAAACTGGTAAAATGTGGAAAGATAAAGGATTACCTCACGCTAAGCATTTATATTTTGAATTCCAAACACTACCACATCAACTATAATTTTATTTTTTGTATGTATGCATTTAGTTTTATTATAGCAAAGCAACTTGCACATTTTTAAATATTTAAAACTAAGCATCATCTTTCCTTTCTAGGGAAACAACAAGAAAATTTAAAAACAAGCAGGAACAAAATTAAAATCGACAAAGTCAGTTCCAAATAAGATCCTACAGGATCTTATTGACTCTCCCATTGAATAGCAGGACTCAGGTCATCATTAGGAGAGAAGTAATTTAAAAGCGTCATCTTAAACTGCAAAGATGTCCATTAAACATGCCAAAGGAGAAGCCCTGTTGTCTAAATGCCCACTTAACCAACCCAAACATCTCAAACCCATCCTTTGCTGACCTTCTATAACCCCCTTTTTAGTTTAGCTTTTTCTACAAATAAGAGAAAATAGATACATGTTGGCAAATGCTAACTGTCCATATTCATATAGAGACAGAGTGTGCTCTCTGAGCCCAATACAAAGGAAGTAAGGATTTTCATCGAAATAAAAATTTATTCAGTAAAATGGCCTTTCTGAACAAGTTAACCTGAAATCTAAGAAATACGTATACACAGGTTCTTTATACATTCAGAAAAGTAGAGACTAAAAAGAAGATAATTTTCTGAAACATTCCATTAGACATTATCCTCTGAATTAACCTGGCTTGCCTCACCATGCCAATAGAGAAATCATTAAAAATAGACTGTTTAACAGGAAAAAAAAACTCTCTCAACTTCTGTGAGAAATGATGCATAATTCTCAACTTTCCTAAGGTTAAATATTTAAGAAAAAAATATATGTATAAAAAATGGCAGAATGAAAGCCAGAGATTAAGATATAGGTGCATTATAATAAAATCTTAATAAAATTAATAATAAGGAAAATACAGAAGAAAGCCATCCACTATAAAATTTTAATAACATTAATTATCATAAAAATACAAAAGAAAGCCATCCACTAAAATTAGTACCCCAAAACACTTTATATTAGTTAACTAGCTACAGATTAACAGTTGTTGGTGTGCAAAGTTGCATACATACTTGACTTCTCATCTGGTCTAATTTCTTCCTTGAATCCTGCATCCCATTTTCTAAATAGGTGCAGTGACGCGATGAAGCATCCAGCAGAGCTTTTGTTGCTGATCCTTTGTTTAAGACATCATCTCGTTTTTGTTGAAGCTGTCTCACAGCTACCTGATAAGATGTTATTTTTGTTACTGATTTTACAAATCACCTTATTATTAAACCATTAATAATATTTAACTCTAAAGCATACTCTTTGAAAAATATCACCACACAGACCGATTCACCTTCTTTTCCTCATGTGTACACATTCCTGTGTATTACTGAATCCAGTTAAGGATACAGAAGGTGTTATCTTCCTGCCAAACTGGTATTGTTATTCACACAACATATTCAGCCCACTAGTCATTCCTCCCTTGATGAATCTGCAATGCTTAAAAACCTTCTGAAGTCTCAAAAAGAAATGAGTATGTGGGTGAGACTGATGGTAGTAAATTATACATTGTGGAATGATTTCCCTCTTTTTTTAAATTAGAAACTCAAATCAACCTCAGAGTTCCTCACATTAAATCATCTGCTTAAATCCTTCCAATAGATGTCTATCTCAGAAGAAAAGTAAAATTCCAGTGGCCTTAGATGCTCTAAGTAACCCGCCCTCCACCTCCCGCCCTGACTCAGCTGCTATATCTCTCCTCCGTACTCACTCCATTCCTACTCTACGTGAATCCTGCCACTCCTCGTTAGTCTGAAATCCTCCTTAGTCTGAAAATGGGGATCCAGTGTCAAACTAATAAATCACAGATAGCTATGCCTCTCTTTGTCCTGGACAAAGTTATATCCAAATGATAGTAATTGAGCCTTGAAATAAAAATTATGAACAAATTTTTTATTTAAAAACTGAAAGTAAATTATAAATGCCAGTGGGAAGATTAAATCAAACATGATTTGGCTAAAATTTACTGCATTTGCCCCATATTATAATAGAAGTAAAATTAGATGCCTTGAAAGAATAGAATGGTCATATCTATACATAATTTGAGATTGAAATAGTTTCAGATTTAAGTCAAATTGACATGAAGAAAAACAAAATTTTACCAACTAAGACATATTTAAAGCTACTGAAGAAAAGTAATTATGAAATAGGGAATACACTTCAGTTCATCTAGGAAATCTGAAATTCACTGTCAAAGTACCCCACTTAATTGAATCAATTTCAAAATACCATTTTAGGTATGAGCATTTCCATATACCTGATTTATCATGGTCTTAAAATGTTGCAACATAAATACATTAAAATTATTACTTCAGCAGTATAAGACTACATTATTAATGTTAGTCTATGTTAACATTTTATAACTTAAAATTTTATAAGCGACACATTGACTTTAATCAGAGGAAAGCATCTCTCAGTTCTAACTTTGACTTGCTGGAGACAAGGAATGTTTCTAAGCAGATATATTTATCATATGTATCCTTTTTTATATTCAACTAGATCCAACATTCAGCTGTAACCAAATATTACTTTAAATTTTACTTCAGGAAGTTTGAAAAATACTTATTTTTCTTGATACTTACTTCTCTTTCTGCTTTCTCTTTTTCATATTGGCATTCTTTTTCTTTCGAATGATTCAGTTCATTGACCAACATTTTATTGTCTTCTTCTAGTAAAAGACGGTGCTTTCTGCACTCAGCTTGAAGGTTTTGTACTCTAGCATCACATCTGGCTTGAATATTAAGTATTGCTTTTTCTTGATTGTCAGCTTTGTTGCGAGCATCATCCAGTTGCTGTTGAAGCAACATATTTTGTTTTTTTAGTTGACAAAATCTTTCCTGTTTTTCTATGCATTTTTCCATTGTATTGTATCCACTTTTGTACATTTTTTCAATGTCCTTCATTTGACTCTGTTTTTGCTTTAGCTCACTTTGCACGTGTTCAAAAACCAAAGCCTTTTCTTTCAGAGCCTCTCCTGTGTAATGGAGCTCAGTTTTGAGGACTCTGGACTTACTCTCAGCTTTAGAAAGTTGCAGAGAAAGAATCAGAACATGAGAATTCAAATTTTCCTGTAAGTGACGACATTTATCTACTGTGCCCTGGAAAGCAAGCTCTTGGTCTCTTTTTGATGAGTGACTTTGATCATGATCACATCGAGCAGCATTCAGTCTACAACGGTATGATTGCATTTCTGTTTCCAGTCTTTGCCTGCTCTCTCTTTGCTTCTCCAGTTTGGAACGGAGCGTTGTGTTTTCATCTGTCAGAGCAGCAAGCTGTCCACTATAACAGGCTATCGTTTTTGCTAATGTTTCCCCATTCCGTTTTAGAGCCTTTTGAAGGTCTTCATGCTTTCTTTTCACAATTTCAAAGTCTTTTAAGTATTTCTTTTCCAGGTTTTGGTTTTTTATTGTGTCTTTTTCCAGCCTGAGCCTGGCAATTTCATCTTGCATCAAGCGGTTTTCATGCAGCAGGTCTTCTTTTTCATCAGTTTCAGAAACCTAAGTAAAACAAAGCAAACTTGTAACTAGTATCCAATAGGATAACATATTGTGATTGCTTCTGAAATTAAATAATAACCCGTACATTTATACAATGAGAGGTTGCCATAACTGGATATCTAACTGGGAAAAAAGAAGTTAAGTCAAAACCTCAAACCTCATACAGCATAAATTCCCCAAAGTTCAAAAGTTTATTTGAAGACAGTGAATCCATGAAAGCAAAAAAGAAGCCACTAGATAATTTTTTTAAATTTCAGGATAAAAAAAGGCTTTTACTGAATTACAACAAATTGCAAGGCATAAAGAATTAATAACTATGACCACATTAAAAAATTGGGTTTACACTCTAACATCTAAACTATACCTCTCCCTATAGTGAGAGCCTTAGCTTGGCAGATATTTGGACAGATGAATGACATTTTCCAAATTCTTTAAGTTCCCTTTTTCTAAAATATTGTATAGATATTCTACTTTTCTAATATTGTTATGGTCAGTTTTAAGAATGACATTTATTGATAAATGATAAAGCTAGGCATTATACTAAGCACTTTTACGTGCACAAATCAATGAACTCATTTAGTTATAATTCTATAGCAAAAGGTTAAAAATATAAGCAAGCTGCAGGATTTTTCCCAGCTTTTCTGACTCTATTCCTAGTGCTCTTCCACCAAATCAGTAACTTCTGTGAGGTAGATATATACATACAAAAATAATCTTTTATTTCAAGACACCAAAAGTCAAGAAAATTAGATCTATAAAACTCTTCTTAGAAAATCATGACATTATTTGCTATTGTGATAACTTTTATTCCTTTTCCATAACATTTGAAATGTAATTAACATGAAATAGGGGAAATATGCTGAACTATGTCACTAGGAACAAAATACTTACAATATCATTAAGTATATATTGTAGAATAGCATTGTTTTCAAAAGGCCTTTGAACTAAAATAAAATATTTCAAGATTTATTATAAATAATTATAGCTATAAATGCCATGATTCATTTTTAAGATGAAATAAAATTTGGGGATTGTTCAGGCCTAAATAATATATGTTAAATGAAAGAGATGGTATAAGTAATATTAATAAGAGTAGAAATATGAAGTTTTACCAAACATTAATTTACCTGATTTGAATTATTTCCTCCTGTCTTCAATTCCACCTCTGCTGATTTGAGAGCCGGTTTAATTGGTTTTGTCACATCAGCTTCTATCCTATATTGCTCTTCTGTTATTCTTAACTTTTCCCTAACTTTTTGGTGCAACTCTTCAACATTTCTTCTTTTCTTTTTTTCTTGCTGTATGGCAAATCTGTAAATATACTTATCTTAGAATTTATCTTATCAGTGAGGACTAAGCTCTAATTTTTTATCTTGCCCAAATTCCTACCTAAGGGGTCCAGGGAGTCGTGCCCTACAAACCATGGATTCTCATCAGATGGGTTTTATTTGACCCTGTATATTGTGACTTGCTTTTCAATCTGACTCTGGCATAACCTTACGAGACAAGGAAGAAAATATTTAATCCAAAATATATTTCCTTGCCATGCCTTGAAATTGCCCTGCAAAGTCTCTTGTGGGAAAAATCCACATTCTATAGAGAACCCCCTTTCCCCTTTGTTTTCCTTCCTTTCTATGCAGATCCAGGGGATATTCAGCTGAGAGCCAGGCACCCTTTTGGGTCCGATAAGAAACATTTTACAATCTGCTCTCTCTGAAGTCTGCTGAGAGATTCCTCTGCACAGTAAAACTTGGTCCCCACAATCATTTATCTTAACCTGAACATTTCTTTCCATTAATCCCAGGTCTTCAAATAAACTCAAGCAATTGTCAACCAGAAAATGTTTAAATTTACCTACAGCCTGGAAGCCCCAGCTTTGAGTTGGCCTGCCTTTCTGAACCAAATCAATGTATTTCTTACATGTATTTGATTGCTGTCTCATGCTTCTCTAAAATGTATAAAACCAAGCTGCACCCCGACCACTTCGGGCACATGTTCTCAGGACCTCCTGAGGGCTGTGTCGGGGGCCACGGTCACTCATATTTGGCTCAGAATAAATGTCTTCAAATATCTTACAGAGTTTGACTCTCTTTGTTGATATTAGAAAATAAAACATTCATATGTTGGTTTATTATCCTAATAAAGTTTCTATGTTCTTAAATACTATTTTTCTTTCTAGTTCTCATGTTTTTAATTTCTCACCTCAATCTCATCCAAAGGGCATGTATAAGTTGAAATGTATTGATAAAAGAACATCCTGCATAAGTTTCTATTACTAGTAACTCTAGCAAATATTATGAAAAAGGACGTTGAAAATTATTCAGTAAAGTTACAAGATAAAAATTATCTTTTCTTCACAGTAATTACTCCTCAATTAGGATGAATCATTTAGAGTTAATTAACATAAAGTTACTTTTTATAAACAAGTTGGTACATTCACTAGAAATACATTTTCATCTTCATGAAACATTCATTGCAAGTATCCCTAAACATAATTTACATTGCAAGATAGCATTTTCGATGTCTTTATGAAACATATATCAGCAGATTACTGTAATCCAAGACTAGGTTAAGAATGTAATATGTTACCCTACACTTTTTAAGATTGTTTTTTGGGTAACACTTTCAGTCTATCCTGCTGATTAGTATGTACTTTATAACCAATTGTAAAATCTGTTTTGGAACAACACAAGATCTAATATTTAATTAAACAATAAAGAATAATACATGTCTTCAGCATAAAACTGAATTAATTTTATCTACATAGCAGAGAGATGTTGAATAAGCTAATCAGTAATCACTTTACATTTTACTTTTTATTCCCTGCATATTAAGAATAAAACTGGATACATTTTTTTTTTTTTTTTTTTGAGAGGGAGTCTCCTACTATCACTGGGCTGGAGTGCACTGGTGCAATCTCTGCTCACTGCAACCTCTGCCTCCCAGTTTCATGTGATTCTCCTGCCTCAGCCTCCTGCGTAGCTGGGATTACAGGTACAACCACCATACCTGGCTAATTTTTTGTATTTTTAGTAGAGATAGCATTTCACTGTGTTGGGCAGACTGGTCTCGAACTCCTGACCTCGTGATCTGCCCACCTCGGCCTACCAAAGTGCTGGGATTACAGGCATGAGCCACTGCACCCGGCTGATAATTTTTAAAATAATTATTCTGGGTAAAGAAAAATATCTGTTTTATACTCTGTTGGTTGAATTATAAATTAATATGAACATCCTTAAGAACAATTTAGAAATATTGATCACAGATCTAAAACAGATCTAAAAAAGTTTCTATACTTTAACCAGAAGAATTTATCCAATGTAAATAATTAGAAATGTAGAAAACTATGTGTATATAAAAGATGTTCCTTGTAGCATTATTACAAAAACTTTTTAAAACCTGAAATTCAATTCATCAATTAAATAATGAGATTTCCAAAAGGTAAAATTCTATACAGCCATTAAAACTATGATTTAAAAGAATATGCATTTAATTATTAGAGAAGTATTCACAATTAAGAACTTGTGATATTATATCCAATAATTTCACACTCCATAAGATTAAGAAGCTTTCTTCCCTGTTAAATCCTAGAAGGAAAGTTCGCAATTACAAAACTTCTCCTTATACGTCTTTAATATAAAACAAACAGTTCAAACATTTATTTAAAACTAGGTCATACCTCAAACTACAGAGTTCTTTTTCCAATTCAAGTATTTCATGCTTTAACTGCGATTTTATTTCTTCTTTTTCAGATATTCTCTTTTGTAGTACACTAGCCTTATTTTTCAGTTTTCGAATTTTTACTCTAAGTTGCTCACAGTGGTTATCTTTAAGTTTTATTAATCTTTTCCATAAACAAAATGTATTTTTAATTTTCAATAGGTGAACACAATCTGTAACCAGGAAAAAACAAACTAGAGATAAAATACATGAGTAGATTTTTGGATATAAAGGACTGTGCATTTTTAACATGTATTCATTCATACGTTGAACAAGTATGTACATATTGAGTGCCTACAAGGTGGAAGATATTATAGTAAGGTCTGCAGATAAGACAACACCTCTGCTATTGTTTTAGCTTAAAGTATAGTGAAGAACCAAGATAAAAAGGTGACAGTTATAAACTCAGATAGGTCCTGTAAAAAAAAAAAAAAAAAAAAAACATAGTTATGTGATTGCATAAGATAATTTGATCTATACTTCACCCAGGGAAGATTTCCCTGAGGAAGAGATGCTACACTGAGAAATGAAGGATGAGAAAGAAGCAGTTAAGCAAAGAAGAAAGCAAAGCACTCTGGCTAGTTTGCAGCATGTGCTGTGCTGAAGCTCTGCTGCAATCTGTTACTAGCTCTGATGGAGTAACAGATACTGATTTTTCATCTTATCTGAATGAATAAAAAACAAAACAGACACAATACATTAAACTGATTTTCAACACAGTGGACTTCAGGCAATGAAGATGGTAGGTGATCACTGAAAGACAGAAAACAAATACAGCAGGCCTTACAAATATCCCAGCTCTTTTGACAGAGTTTTGACGGAGGTTCGAGGCCATCACAAAGGGAGAAAATCTGACATAGAGCTGGGGTGATGACGCTGAGAGGCCAGTAAAACCAAAGCAGATAGAGATCACAGGACAGAAAACTGGAGAGAAAAAAGCAGTACAGGAAACAAATCCTGGAGATGTGCAGAGATTCCCTCTTGGGTATTTAGTGGAGTAATGAAAAGTGCTTGTGTACTAGGAAACTTCCTAAGAACAATGAAAAATAAAATAAAAAAAAACAACAGTTAAAGAACATTAGCAGAAACGATGTCTGGGGTTCACACAATGACTGGAAGAGGGTCCATTCCCATGAGCCAGGCCAAAATACCGCATACTTCACAGGACAATGAATACTCCGAAAGGTCTTGCCTCAGGAGTGAGGAATTACCCCAAATCTAAAAGCAAGAATGGAAAGATTATAAGTAAATCTCTGTACTCCAAATAAAACTCAAGATAATAAGTGGAGGCAGGGAAGGTTTTTTTTTAAAAAAACACAAACCATACTTGTAGAGACACAAATTACATTGTCATAAGTAAAAACTATAGTGGATGGAAATAAACACAAATTAGAGATAACAAAGGAAAAATTCCTAAATTTGACACGATAAACTGCAAGAAACTTTCAAGCAGCTAATAGATAACTCCTCAAATAAAAAAGAAGAGACAGAAAAAAAATTAAAGAAAAAATGACCAAAAATATTCTAACCTTAACACAAACCATAATCCCACAGATTCAGGAAGGAAGTGTCTGGGACAGAAAAAAATGAAAATGTATCATTGTCATTTTTTATACCATCTAGGATGTATAATATTACTGAAGGTGAACTGTGATAAGTTAAAATTATATACTAAAAATCCTAAACACTAAGATAGCAAAACAGTTATCGCTAATAAACCCAAAAATATATATAAAATTGAATCATAAAAAACAGTTGACTAATCTAAAGGAAAGCAGGAAAAGAAGGGGAACAGAGAACAGTTGGGACTAATAGCAATCACACAGCTACCAGACAAACATAACTATATCAGTAATCACATTACAAATGACACTTGTCTAAGAACCTCAACTATAATACAGACTGTCAGGCTCAGCAAGAAAGCAAGACCCAACTACAGGCTGCCTATAAGAAATGCACTTTAAATGTAAAGACACAAATTGGTTGTAAGGATGGAAAAAGATACATGCTAACAGTTGGCAAAGGCAGCTGAGCAGGTGTGGCTGTATTAATACCAAAGTAGATTTCATAGCAAAAAAAAAAAAACATTCCAGCAATAAATAACAAAGGTCATGTCACAATAGTAAAAGGTTCAGTTAATCAACAAAACATAACAATCCTCAGTCTTTATGCCCCTAATAACAAACCAGCCTCACAATATATGAGACCAAAGTGGATAGAACTACAAAAAGTGACAGACAATTTCTAGGTAATCTGAGGTTTCAATACCCTTTACTCAATAAGTGATAGAACAAGAAGGCAGAAAATCAGCGAGAATAGACTTGAACAACACTATGCTTTCCAAGTACCCACGGAACACTTACCAAAATAGACCATATTTTAGGCCATACAACAACTCTCAATTAAAGGATTGAGTCAGAAGGATTTAACTCATACAAAGTATGTGCCCTGACCACAAATCAATCAGATTAAAGACCGATAACAAAAATAACTCTGGGAAATACACAAATATTTGGAAACTAAGTAACACACATCTAAATAACCCTGGGTCAAACAGGTAATGAAAATAGAAATAGAAAATAGAAAATATTCTGAACTGAATAAAAATTCATCAACCAGAATTTGTGGAATGCAGCTACAGCTGTACTTGAATACAAATTTTTAGCACTGCTGAATGTCTACATTAGAAGAGTCTTAAATCAATGACTTTGACTTCTACCTTAAGCAACTAGATAAAAGAAGAGTGACATAAACCCAAAGCAAGCAGAGGAAAGGAAATAATAAACATCTGCTGTGGTCTGAATGTTTGTCTTCCCCAAAATTTATATGCTGAAAGCCAATCACAGATGTGACGGTATTAGGAGGGGGGATTTTTACAGGTAGTTGGTCATGAGAGCGAAGCCCTAATGAATGGGATTAGTGCTTAGTGCTCTATACAACAGACCCCAGATCTCCTTCACCCCTTCTGCCAAGTGAGGGCACAGAGAAAAAGCATTCATGAACTAGGACGTGTTCCCTAACCATACACCAAACATGACAGCATCTGGATCTTGGACTTTGCTGAACCCACAACTGCGAGAAATCAACTTCTGTTGTTTGAACCAGTCTATGGTATTTTGTTATACTGTTGGTTCCAGAAGAAACAATAGAAAAAAATCAACAACACAAAACACCTTGAGGAGATCAATAAATGTGATAAAGCTCCATTTAGCCAGGCTGCTCAGAATAAAAGAAACAATACAAATTACTAATTTCAGAAATAAACAATGTGACATAATTATAGATTCTACAGATACTAAAAATATAACAAGATATTATAATTTCTATGTAAGTAAACAGGACAACTTAGATAAAATTAACAAATTCCTTTAAAAATGAAAATTAGCAAATCTCAATCAAGAAGCAATAGATAACGTGAATTGCCCTATATCTATAGAAGAAAGTTAAGTTATAGTTAAAAACCTTCCTAAAAGAAAACTCCAGACCCAGCTGGCTATGCTGGTGATTCTACAAAACATTTCCGGAAGAAATTAATACAATTATACATAAACTCTCCCAAAAGAAACAGAAAGAAGGAGTATATCTCAACTCAGTCTGTAATGTTAGCTTTACCCTGAACCAAAACCAGAAAATATTACCAACAAGAAAATTCCCTCATGAGCACGAATGTAAAAATTCAACCAATTTGTGATGCAACGAAGACATCCTCCCATAGTGGAGTGAATAAACTGTGGTTACACAGCCATACAGTGGAATATCACTCTACACATAAAGAAATGAGCAATCAATTCATGAAAATATGTGAAGGAACCTTAAATGCATATTACCAAGTGACATAAGCTCATCTGAAAAGGCTACTTACTGTATGGTTCCAACTATATGATCAGGAAGAGGCAAAACTATGGATAAAGTAAAAGGGTGCCTAAGGGTAAGAGACAGCAGGAAAAGATACATAGGCAGAGCACAGAGGATTTTTAGGGAAGTCAAAATAATTTATGTAACATGGATACACATCATTGTACATTTGTCCAAATCCATACATGTAAAGTACCAAGAGTGAACCCCAATGCAAATTATGGGCTTGGGGTGATTGTGATGTGTCAATTTAGGCTCATCTATCATAGCAACTACCACTATGGTGAAGGATACTGGTAATGAAGGAGGCTAAACATGTATTGGATTGGGGGTATACAAAAAAATATCTGAACCCCCCTCTCAATTTTGACAGGAACATAAAACTGGTCTAAAAAATAAAAGTCTTTATAATAAATTCTAAATGAGACTTTAGTAAACTGTATCCGACAGTATAATGAAAAGGTAATACATCATAAACAAATGGGGTTTATTCCAGAAATGGAAGGTTGGCTTAACATTGAAACATCATCATTATTTACCACAAAACAAACTGAAAGAGAAGACCCATAGGATCATCCCAACAGACACAGGCATCTGATAAAATTTACTCCTGATGTCTCAAAGAAGAAACACTCTCAGTAACATAAGAATCCAAGGGAAGTTCTTCAGCATGATAAACAACGTCTATGATGAACCTACAGCTAACGTGCATCATAGTGAAAAACTGAATGCATTTCCCATAAGATGAGGAAGAACATGGGAATGTCTGCTTTCACTACTTGTTTGTAGCATTGTTCTGAAGATTCTAGTTAATGCAGTCAGGCAAGAAAAAGAAATAAGAGGCATCCAAGTTTAAAAAAAAGAAATAAAATTGTCTTTATACACAACCATGACCATAAAATAGGTATGGGTAAACCCCAACCTGTGGGCCAGCTTCTTGTCCGATAAGCTTTTATTGGAACACAGCTGTGTTCATTAATTTATGGATGATCTATGGCTGCTCTCATACTAAAATGGCAGAGTTTATCAGCTGCAAAAGAGACCCTTTTGCCACAAGCCTAAAATATTCACTATCCTTAGTAAGAGGGTAGTTTGAGAAAGAAAGGTTTAACAACCTTTGGTCTATGAAGAAAATCTGATCAAATCTACCAACAATGTGCCAGAACTAATAAGTGAGTTTAACAAGAATGAAGGATACAAATTCAATACAGAAAAATTAACTGTATTTCTATATGCTAGCGATAAACAATCAAATGAAAATTTTAAAACTATCATTTTCTATAGTTTTATAAAAGTGTATATTTGGATTAGCAATGCTCAACCTGTATAAAGAAAGTCAAATACATCTACACTAATTAAACTATCATTTACAACTTCATCAAAAATGAAATACAGATAAATCTGATAAAATATGAAAAGACCTATAAACTAAAAACTACAAAATACTACTGAGAAAATTAAATATTACCTCTATAAAAGCAGACATACACTTTATTGAGGAGTAGATTCGCTATTGTTAAGATGTCAATTCTCCCCAAATTAATCTATAAATATGACCCAATCCCAACTTAATTTCCAACAAGCGAGCAGTCTTTATTTTATTGATAAGCTGATTCTAAAGTTCATGTGAAAATGCAAAGGATCTAGCATAGTCAAAACAGAACAAAGAACAAAATTGGAGGATTCATTTCAAGAATTACTATAAATCAATAGTAACAAAAACAGTGTGCCACAGGTACAGGCTGAATATCCCTTATTCAAAATGCTTCAGACTAGAAGTTTTTCAGATTTTGGATTTTGGAATATTTGCATATACATGATGAAATATCTTGGGGATAGGACCCAAGTCTAAACACAAAATACATTTGTTTTTCATATTTACCTTGTACACAAAGACTGAAGGTAATTTTAAATAATACTTTTAATAATTTGGGGCATGAAACAATGTTTGTATACATGAGGTCGGATGTAGAATTTTTCCACTGTGCTGTCTATGTTGGCAATCAAAAAGTCTGGGGTTTTAGAGCATTTCAGATTTGGGATATTTAAATCAGCAATGCTCAACCTGTATAAAGAAAGTCAAATTCAGACAATCCCCAACTTAAGGTGGTTTGACTTACTGACTTTACAGTGGGTTTACTGAAGTATTAAATTGCTTTTGACTCAAACACTGGGTTTCCCACAATTTGGGGAGCACCTGCAAATTAATAAAATTCAACAGACAGTCCAGAAATAGATAACACATAAGCAACCAGCTTATGACTGACAAAGGCAGGATGGCAATGCAGTGGAGAAAGGATAGCCTTTTCAACATGCGGTGTTGGAACAACTGGCTGTCCATATCCATAAAGTGAACTTGAATCCATACCTCACCTCACTCCATAGACAAAAGGAAACTCAAAATGGAGCACAGATTTAAATGGAAGATCCAAATCTATAAAATTTCTAGAACAAACACAGGAAAAATCTTTGTGACCTTGTGCTAGGCAAACATTTTTACATATGACACAAAATGCAAAATCTGTAATTCAACAATTAAATTGGATTTCATTACAATTAAAATCTTCTGCTCTTCAAAAGATACTACAAAGCAAGTGAAAAGTCAACCCAAAAACTGGCAAAAATACCCTTGTAAAAAAGTAGCTAAAAGTAATAGTATCCAAATACATACAGAATTATTAAAATTCAACACGTAAGAAAACATCAACCTACTTTTTTATATGCAAAAGATGTGAAAAGACAGTTCAACAAAGAAGATGTACAGATGGCAAATAAACACATGGAAAGATGCTCAACATTTTAGTCATTAGGATCATGTACATTAAACCCATAAGAATATACATAATACACCCATCAGAATAACTAAAATTTAAAAAAATAAATACAGCAGTAGTGTGACAACATAGCAACTGGAATGGTCATTTACTGCTGATGAGAATAGAAAATAGTACAAATATTTTGGAAAACCATTTAGCAGCTTTTAAAAACAGGAATATGAAGGGCCATGAGGAGACGTTAGTGGGTGATGGATATATGTTGACTATCTCGATGATGGTAATAGTTTCACATGTGTATACATCTGTTAAAACTTATCAAATGGTACCTTTTACATGTGTGCACTGTATCGCATATCAATTTTACCACACTAAAGCTACTGATTGTAGGAGCAAACACCTAAGGCACTGGCTGTGACACAGAGAAGGGTATGCAATGATGCAGTATAAAGCTCGAGGACTGAGATCCATATCTTATAGCAATAAATGGCAGCTGGGTTTTCAGCAAGCAGGTAACATGATCAGGTGTGATTTTTTACAACTATATAATTATGATTGCAGAACAGGCCATGGTTTTGGAAGGTGGAATAGTAGGAAAGACAGTTAGAGGGTTATCACAGTATTTCAGGTGGGAGGAAATGGTAACATGACCATGGGTAAATGGGTAATGGCATAGAAGAGAAGCAGAGTAAACAAACACACTGTGTGTATCATTCACACTGAGAAAAGTACAGTGAAATGATCATAGCTCTTTGGCTGAGAAGGTACAAGATACAGTTGCTTTCATTCTATTTTAACATAAGGCATATTTCTGAGATGAACATTCTTGTAACATATCAGTACTCTATGGTACAGTGTTAAGCAATGTGTGCATACATTGCTATAGGATTTTTAAAAAGCCTTATATTTATGCATTGGTCCTACCTTTACACTTCATTTCATGTTGATCAATGAGTAATATGACATTCTTACAATTACAGCAAAGCGAGTCACCGTCCTCTGAGACTGTTTGAGATGACTGAATTATGTCATCAAGGTCATCCCTAGAATGTATTTGGTTTTTCACCTACAAAATAAATAACACTGTTTCAAAATGTCCCCAAAATATTTATAGCATATACTAAATGTACAGAAGTGGGAATTGCCCATCTGTTTCTATGAGCACAAACACAGGTACCTGTTCCATACTTTTTTTTTAAGCAATTTCCTTTATGTTGACTCTAGTTCAGAAGACCACATGGTCTATGGATAAATTAGTTTCCCAGTTCCTATGCTATTTAGAAAACTGACAGAGAGACTTGGGTTAATTAAGGAACAAAGATTAAGAGAATGTCTTCCTGAGCTTGAGTTATTTTAATTGCAAAAACAATCTATTTATACATACAATTAGGTATTTAGATTACCCCATTTTACACAAGAGATTTTCATAAGTAAAAAAATTCAAATGGATCAAATAATTGGTGAAGAGAAAAACCAGAGTAGCAGCAAGTGACCCTCTAAGTCTTTTGGAAGTTGAACTTTCTCCAAAGCCAGGAACTCTACTTTACTTGTAATATGCTTACCTCATTCTTAAATCTTTGCATATATCACTTAATTCCACTTCTAGACATACTGCTGATGTTCTGTCACCATGTGGTGGAGAATAATGCACATTTTCTAATTCAAGTTTTATGCTTTCATATTTATTTGCACTACAGTTGTCACATAACGGCTTCTGGAACACATTCTGTATTGGTTTTGTACTGTTGTGTTTGTAACAACAGAAACACCATCATCTTTTTTTTTTTTTTTAAATCACATGCTTCATTTCTTTGGAGCAGGTAAGCCACATACCTAAAAGGCTTTTTGAATCACTAAATTGAGGCATATGTCCGATGTTTAATTTCCAGTTAGCGGTGTTTTGGTTTTTTGTCATTTGCCTCACAACCTATTTGACTTCTTTTATTTCATCCATAACTACTTCTGGGTTTCTTGCTTTTGTACTTTCAGTATCATTATAAAAATTTTCCTTGTCTGAGTTAAAAACATGTTCAGTATCTGGTTTGTTGTCATTTTCACAGTCTACTTTATTTCTATTTAAATAAAGCTCCGAAGGTGACTGGCAAGCATATTCTGGAGACCCAGAGTATGAATGAGAAAGAAAGGCATTTTTGAGACTGGGTTATTTTTGTTCAGGAAATATCTGGACTACTACAGAGACAGACATGCCAGATGCATCACTTTCCTAACAATCAGGTGAATCATTTGTCAAATTAGAGGGTATTTACTTAAGTTTGTTCTTCCTGTAGAGTTATTATGTAGTTGCTCTTCCTCAATACAAGCAGTTTTGTAATTTTCACAAATTTCACTGAAACTCTACTTTAACTTATTTGTGATGAATTTTAAAGTTTTTTTACCCTAATTTGTCTTGTTTGATCCACATTCTCTCATACTTTTGTGCACAAGTAAGTCCTGAATATATAAAGAGGTCCTTTCTATCACAACACTTTTTCACTACTAGTTGTTGAGACAATTTTTGCACATGCAAAAGTGGAAGATAAATTTGCTAGTTTTCTTTCTCAGATGTCTTTTCTGTCAGAGTACATGTTTTAGAAATAACTCTATCTTTAAATAATCAAGTGTAAAAAGAGAAAAATTTTAAAATAATTAAAGTTTAATATCAAACTTCTTAATCTATGTTTACCTACTGCCAAATCACTGGATTGTAACTAAGAAGTGAAAAATAATTTGCATTAGCCTAAAATCAGTGAAAAACACAAATCATGAAACTTTAATTTGCCACTGTTTGTTTGAACTAAACTTGACTAATTCATTATGTGTTAAATTTCCCAAAAATGAATTAGGAGATGACTTGTGGTACTATAAAGGCACTGTCACTTTAAAAGATTTTATCACTATATGAACAGTGTACACTTGAGTGCTTTTTCCTAATATTACTAACTAATGATTAGGCAAACTTTAAATTATTAGGAGCCAAAATCACCACCAGTCAGTAAGAAAAGCAAATTCTTTGTCTGGCAGCCAAGATGGCCAAATAGGAACAGCTCTGGTCTACAGCTCCCAGTGTGAGCGACGCAGAAGATGGGTGATTTCTGCATTTCCATCTGAGGTACCAGGTTCATCTCACTAGGGAGTGCCAGACAGTGGGTGCAGGATAGTGGGTGCAGTGCACTGTGCATGACCTGAGGGAGGGTGAGGCATTGCCTCACTCAGGAAGTGGAAGGGGTCAGGGAGTTCCCTTTCCTAGTCAAAGAAAGGGGTGACAGACAGCACCTGGAAAATTGGGTTACTCCCACCCTAATACTGCACTTTTCCAATGGGCTTAAAAAATGGCGCACCAGGAGATTATATCCTGCACCTGGCTCAGACAGTCCTATGCCCATTGAGTCTCACTGATTGCTAGCACAGCAGTCTGAGATCAAACTGCAAGGCAGCAGTGAGGCTGGGGGAGGGGCGCCTGCCATTGCCCAGGCTTGCTTAGGTAAACAAAGCAGCTGGGAATCTCAAACTGGGTGGAACCCACCACAGCTCAAGGAGGCCTTCCTGCCTCTGTAGGCTCCACCTCTGGGGGCAGGGCACAGAGAAACAAAAAGACAGCAGTAACCTCTGCAGACTTAAATGTCCCTGTCTGACAGCTTTGAAGACAGCAGTGGTTCCCCCAGCCTGCAGCTGGAGATCTGAGAATGGGCAGACTGCCTCCTCAAGTGGGTCCCTGACCACTGACCCCAAGCAGCCTAACTGGGAGGCACCCCCCAGTAGGGGCAGACTGAACCTCACATGGCTGGGTACTCCTCTGAGACAAAACTCCCAGAGGAAAGATCACACAGCAGCATTCGCTGTTCATGAAAATCCACTGTTCTGCAGCCACCGCTGCTGATACCCAGGCAGACAGGGTCTGGAGTGGACCTCTAGCAAACTCCAACAGACCTGCAGCTGAGGGTCCTGTCTGGTAGAAGGAAAACTAACAAACAGAAAGGACATCCACACCAAAAACCCATCTGTACATCACCATCATCAAAGACCACAAGTAGATAAAACCACAAAGATGGGGAAAAAACAGAGCAGAAAAACTGGAAACTCTAAAAAGCAGAGTGCCTCTCCTCTTCCAAAGGAACACAGTTCCTCACCAGCAATGGAACAAAGCTGGACGGAGAATGACTTTGACAAGTTGAGAGAAGAAGGCTTCAGATGATCAAACTACTCTGAGCTACAGGAGGAAATTCAAACCAAAGGCAAAGAAGTTAAAAACTTTGAAAAAAATTTAGATGAATGTATACCTAGAATAACCAATACAGAGAAGTGCTTAAAGGAGCTGATGGAGCTGAAAGCGGAGGCTCGAGAACTACGTGAAGAATGCAGAAGCCTCAGAGGCCGATGCGATCAACTGGAAGAAAGGGTATCAGTGATGGAACATGAAATGAATGAAATGAAGCGAGAAGGGAAGTTGAGAGAAGAAAGAATAAAAAGAAATGAACAAAGTCTCCAAAAAATATGGGACTATGTGAAAAGACCAAATCTACATCTGATTGGTGTACCTGAAAGTCACGGGGAGAATGGAACCAAGTTGGAAAACACTCTTCAGGATATTATCCAGGAGAACTTCCCCAATCTAGCAAGGCAGGCCAACATTCAGATTCAGGAAATACAGACAACGCCACAAAGATACCCCTCGAGAAGAGCAACTCCAAGACACATAATTGTCAGATTCACCAAAGTTGAAATGAAGGAAAAAATGTTAAGGGCAACCAGAGAGAAAGGTCGGGTTACCCACAAAGGGAAGCCCATCAGACTAACAGTGGATCTCTCGGCAGAAACTCTACAAACCAGAAGAGAGTGGGGGCCAATATTCAACATTCTTAAAGAAAAGAATTTTCAACCCAGAATTTTGTACCCAGCCAAACTAAGCTTCATAAGTGAAGGAGAAATAAAATACTTTATAGACAAGCAAATGATGAGAGATTTTGTCACCATGAGGCCTGCCCTAAAAGAGCTCCTGAAGAAAGCACTAAACATGGAAAGGAACAACCGGTACCAGCCACTGCAAAATCATGACAAAATATAAAGACCATCGAGACTAGGAAGAAACTGCATTAACTAACGAGCAAAATAACTAGCTAACATCATAATGCCAGGATGAAATTCACACATAACAATATTAACTTTAAATGTAAATGGACTAAATGCTCCAATTAAAAGACACAGACTGGCAAATTGGATAAAGAGTCAAGACCCATCAGTGTGCTGTATTCAGGAAACCCATCTCACATGCAGAGACACACATAGGTTCAAAATAAAAGGATGGAGGAAGATCTACCAAGCAAATGGAAAACAAAAAAAGGCAGGGGTTGCAATCCTATCTCTGATAAAACAGACTTTAAACCAACAAAGATCAAAGAGACAAAGAAGGCCATTACATAATGGTAAAGGGATCAATTCAAAAAGAAGAGCTAACTATCCTAAATATATATGCACCCAATACAGGAGCACCCAGATTCATAAGGCAAGTCCTGAGTGACCTACAAAGAGACTTAGACTCCCACACAATAATAATGGGAGACTTTAACATCCCACTGTCAACATTAGACAGATCAACGAGACACAAAGTTAACAAGGAGACCCAGAAATTGAACTCAACTCTGCACCAAGTGGACCTAATAGACATCTACAGAACTCTCCACCCCAAATCAACAGAATATACATTTTTTTCAGCACCACACCACACCTATTCCAAAATTGACCACATAGTTGGAAGTAAAGCTCTCCTCAGCAAATGTAAAAGTACAGAAAGTATAACAAACTGTCTGTCAGACCACAGTGCAATCAAACTAGAACTCAGGATTAAGAAACTCACTAAAAACCGCTCAACTACATGGAAACTGAACAACCTGCTCCTGAATGACTACTGGGTACATAACGAAATGAAGGCAGAAATAAAGATGTTCTTTGAAACCAACGAGAACAAAGACACAACATACCAGAATCTCTGGGACACATTCAAAGCAGTGTACAGTGGGAAATTTATAGCACTAAATGCCCACAAGAGAAAGCAGGAAAGATCCAAAATTGACACCCTAACATCACAATTAAAAGAACTAGAAAAGCAAGAGCAAACACATTCAAAAGCTAGCAGAAGGCAAGAAATAACTAAAATCAGAGCAGAACTGAAGGAAATAGAGACACAAAAAACCCTTCAAAAAATTAATGAATCCAGGAGCCGGTTTTTTGAAAGGATCAACAAAATTGATAGACCGCTAGCAAGACTAATAAAGAAGAAAAGAGAGAAGAATCAAATAGATGCAATACAAAATGATAAAGGGGGTATCACCACCAATCCCACAGAAATACAAACTACCATCAGAGAATACTACAAACACCTCTATGCAAATAAACTAGAAAATCTAGAAGAAATGGATAAATTCCTGGACACATACACCCTCCCAAGACTAAACCAGGAAGAAGTTGAATCTCTGAATAGACCAATAACAGGCTCTGAAATTGTGGCAATAATCAATAGCTTACCAACCAAAAAGAGTCCAGGACCAGATGGATTCACAGTCGCATTCTACCAGAGGTACAAGGAGGAACTGGTACCATTCCTTCTGAAACTATTCCAATCAATAGAAAAGAGGGAATCCTCCCTAACTCATTTTATGAGGCCAGCATCATCCTGATACCAAAGCTGGGCAGAGACACAACCAAAAAAGAGAATTTTAGACCAATATCCTTAGTGAACATTGATGCAAAAATCCTCAATAAAATACTGGCAAACCGAATCCAGCAGCACATCAAAAAGCTTATCCACCATGATCAAGTGGGCTTCATCCCTGGGATGCAAGGCTGGTTCAATATACGCAAATCAATAAATGTAATCCAGCTTATAAACAGAACCAAAGACAAAAACCACATGATTATCTCAATAGATGCAGAAAAGGCCTTTGATAAAATTCAACAACCCTTCATGCTAAAAACTCTCAATAAATTAGGTATTGATGGGACGTATCTCAAAATAATAAGAGCTATCTATGACAAACCCACAGCCAATATCATACTGAATGGGCAAAAACTGGAAGCATTCCCTTTGAAAACTGGCACAAGACAGGGATGCCCTCTCTCACCACTCCTATTCAACATAGTGTTGGAAGTTCTGGCCAGGCCCATTAGGCAGGAGAAGGAAATAAAGGGTATTCAATTAGGAAAAGAGGAAGTCAAAATGTCCCTGTTTGCAGACGACATGATTGTATATCTAGAAAACCCCATTGTCTCAGCCCAAAATCTCCTTAAGCTGATCAGCAACTTCAGCAAAGTCTCAGGATACAAAATCAATGTACAAAAATCACAAGCATTCTTATACAACAATAACAGACAAACAGAGAGCCAAATCATGAGTGAATTCCCATTCACAATTGCTTCAAAGAGAATAAAATACCTAGGAATCCAACTTACAAGGGACGTGAAGGACCTCTTCAAGGAGAACTACAAATCACTGCTCAAGGAAATAAAAGAGGATACAAACAAATGGAAGAACATTCCATGCTCATGGGTAGGAAGAATCAGTATCGTTAAAATGGCCATACTGCCCGAGGTAATTTATAGAATCAGTGCCATCCCCATCAAGCTCCCAATGACTTTCTTCACTGAATTGGAAAAAACTACTTTAAAGTTCATATGGAACCAAAAAAGAGCCCGCATCACCACATCAATCCTAAGCCAAAAGAACAAAGCTGGAGGCATCACACTACCTGACTTCAAACTATACTACAAGGCTACAGTAACCAAAACAGCATGGTACTGGTACCAAAACAGAGATATAGACCAATGGAACAGAACAGAGCCATCAGAAATAATGCCACATATCTACAACTATCTGATCTTTGACAACCCTGAGAAAAACAAGCAACGGGGAAAGGATTCCCTATTTAATAAATGGTGCTGGGAAAACTGGCTAGCCATATGTAGAACGCTGCAACTGGATCCCTTCCTTACACCTTATACAAAAATTAATTCAAGATGGATTAAAGGCTTAAACGTTAGACCTAAAACCATAAAAACCCTAGAAGAAAACCTAGGCATTACCATTCAGGACATAGGCATGGGCAAGGACTTCATGTCTAAAACACCAAAAGCAATGGCAACAAAAGCCAAAATTGACAGATGGGATCTAATTAAGCTAAAGAGCTTCTGCACAGCAAAAGAAACTACCATCAGAGTGAACAGGCAACCTACAAAATGGGAGAAAATTTTCACAACCTACTCATCTGACAAAGGGCTAATATCCAGAATCTACAAAGAACTCAAACAAATTTACAAGAAAAAAACAAACAACCCCATCAAAAAGTGGGCAAAGGATATCAACAGACACTTCTCAAAAGAAGACATTTATGCAGCCAAAAAACACATGAAAAAATGCTCATCATCACTGGCCATCAGAGAAATGCAAATCAAAACCACAATGAGATACCATCCCACACCAGTTAGGATGGCAATCATTAAAAAGTCAGGAAACAACAGATGCTGGAGAGGATGTGGAGAAATAGCAACACTTTTACACTGTTGGTGGGACTGTAAACTAGTTCAACCATTGTGGAAGTCAGTGTGGTGATTCCTCAGGGATCTAGAACTAGAAATACCATTTGACCCTGCCATCCCATTACTGGGTATATACCCAAAGGACTATAAATCATGCTGCTATAAAGACACATGCACACGTATGTTTATTGTGGCACTATTCACAATAGCAAAGACTTGGAACCAACCCAAATGTCCAACAATGATAGCCTGGATTAAGAAAATGTGGCACATATACACCATGGAATACTATGCAGCCATAAAAAATGATGAGTTCATGTCCTTTGTAGGGACATGGATGAAATTGGAAATCATCATTCTCAGTAAACTATCGCAAGGACAAAAAACCAAACACTGCATGCTCTCACTCATAGGTGGGAATTGAACAACGAGAACACGTGGACACAGGAAGGGGAACATCACACTCTGGGGACTGTTGTGGGGTGGGGGGAGGGGGGAGGGATAGCATTAGGAGGTATACCTAATGCTAAATGACGAGTTAATGGGTGCAGCGTACCAGCATGGCACATATATACATATGTAACTAACCTGCACATTGTGCACATGTTCCCTAAAATTTAAAGTACAATAATAATAAAATAAAAAAAGAAAAGCAAATTCTTACATTTTAATGCAAATTACATATTGTAATATGATTGACAGTGTTATATATTTATATAGATTATAGGCTTAAGTTCTAAGGTCTACTAATGACAGTGGATTTAATAAATTTAACAATATTTAGAGATTTTCTATATTGAAATTCATTAGGCAGTTATTGTTTGTACACTAATACCAAAGGTGCCATTTTGCAAGGTATAATTCTCTTGATAGCCAGTTGGGTTGATTTTATGACCCATTCTCTCCCTCAACATAGAAACTGAAGTCAGAGATCAAAAGGGAAAATAAATTCTTAACCTTGGTATTAGTGACTGGCAATAAAAAAACTGCAAAGTTTGAACCACTAGCAATAATTACTCCTTTAATCTGAATCCAGTACGGTGGTCATCACTGTTAAATTGTTCATAATTTCTATTGCTTAAAATTGTAATTCAATATTTGATGTTACCTTCTTTATTATAATAGGAAGTTATAAAAATAGAAGTGCAAACAATATCAGGAACTTTTTAACTCAATTCCAAGAGTAAAGATTAGATACAAGTTGCTATAGATTCCAACACTATTTTAAGTTTTATAACTAAATGTTTTTAAAATGAAATATTAAATTATAATCAACTGATACTAAAAGGCAAATCCAAAGGTAAATTCATTTCAAATATGCTGTATTACCAAAGCTAGGAAAACAAGATTAAACCAGAAATTTGATTTTAAATTTTTACATACCTGTGGCTGGTTATTTTCATATTCTTCAAGCCTCTTTTGCTCTCCCTCTGATGCCATTTCTAAGTCTTGTTCTGCTAAAAAAATTATATATTTAGTTAAAATGAGCTACACAGAACAGTTAGATAAAAGCCATGGTCAGCGGTGGCTCACGCCTGTAATCCCAGCACTTTGGGAGGCTGAGGCGGGTGGATCACGAGGTCAGGAGATAGAGACCATCCTGGCTAACAAGGTGAAACCTCGTCTCTACTAAAAAATACAAAAAATTAACTGGGCGTGGTGGCAGGTGCCTGTAGTCCCAGCTAGTCGGGAGGCTGGGGCAGGAGAATGGCGTCAGCCCGGGAGGTGGAGCTTGCAGTGAGCTGAAGATCTCACCACTGCACCTCCAGCCTGGGTGGCAGAGCGAGACTGTGTCTCAAAAAAAAAAAAAAAAAGCCATATTCTTTCTAAAACCAGAAAATAAAAGTGTTTCAACGAAGCTTAATCTTTAGTATAATATGTACTTCTTTAAGAAAGGCTTTTAATCCTCCAAAACTTCAGCAAACCACTTGGGGAGGCACTAGATGTCACCAGGTTCAAGCCATGCAAACGTGGTCAAAGATTCACTCACAAATTCATCCACCCAACATCAATGAACAAAACCATCAGAAATAAGACAAAATGTAAAAATCCAATAGAAACAGAAAAAGTAACAGCACACTGTTCTTTACTTCACAATAGTACCTTTAGAACAGCACATTGAGCCTGCTGTTCATTATTAATCATTTCCAAAATGACTGCTACTGTTTACACTTTCATCAATGTACAGTCTCTTCTTTATATCTAAAATATTTTCCTCAACTATTCTGACAGATTTCTTTCATAATTTAAGACTCAGACAGCTATGTGAAGTCTTCCTTGATTCCGGCTATCTTTCCTCAGATAAATGATTTTATTTAATACAGGTTTTATAACATATGTAGTTAAGGTTTCAAAAGTGAGATTATGTCTCAACTAACTATAACTGAAATAGAAGAGTGTATCTATTTCAATGTAAACATGTTGACTGATAATGAGAAAAATGATCCTTATAAAGAATAGCAAATCATGATCCTAAGACAGTAAGTGTCAAAGCTGATGGGAGGATGCTATGGCCTATCTTTAATGCAATACTTCAGATTCAATTACACCATTATACTACAAGCATTTATCATGTCCAACTATTTTTCCTATTATTTAGGAAGTACAAAGTTGTGAGGACACTTCCAATAAATATACAATTTATTTCTCATCAGAGAAACTGTTTAAAATTAATCAGCTTAGATAGACAGTTGTAGAATAAAAATTAATAAAACTATTCATTTTTTTCATTCCTAGGTAGGCTACTGCTATGTCTACATTGCTTGTATCCTGCAGTTTGGCCCTGTCAAGAACTTTCTGAATCCACTCATGCAAGAAGATATGTAAACCACATCAAAAATAGTGTATAGGCTGGGTGTGGTGGCTCACGCCTGTAATCACAGCACTTTGGGAGGCTGAAGTGGGTGGATTACAAGGTCAGGAGGTCGAGACCAGCCTGACTAACATGGTGAAACCCCATCTCTACTCAAAATACAAAAATTAGCCAGGCATGGTGTCATGTGCCTGTAATCCCAGCTACTCAGGAGGCTGAGGCAGGAGAATCGCTTTAACCCGGGAGGTAGAGGTTGCAATGAGCCGAGATTGTGCCATTGCACTCCAGGCTGGGAGACAGAGCGAGACTCCATCTCAAAAAAAAAAAAAAAAGTGTATAATAAGCTTTCAATATGTAAATAATTGTCAAAAATGAAAAAATTAAATTTCCACAGACATTAATAACATTTTATACTTCAAAATCAGTACAACGTTCACTGATTATTTTGGTTTTGTTATTCAAAGAATGAATGCTATAACTTTTTGTTTCTAAAATTAGTTCGATTTGATATACCATGCTAATCTCTAAGGCACTTTCATGGAACTGTGATCTTATTAAAAAAATAGGTTTCTTAGTAAAATCAGTCAAAGTTTCTTAGTTCAAATAAATTTCATTTGATTAACTAATATCAACACTTCTATATAGCTCTTATAAATTATTCCCACCACAAATGAAGAGGAAAGCCTCTTAATTTAGCAGTAGTACCTTACATGTATAATTTCTATTTCCTAAATTTGTGTTCCTTTCCCTCTGGCTAGAAACATGCTCAGAAATAGTAGCAAAATGACACTGTTATGTTTCAAACTGCTATCAGATGGCAAACAGGTATACGGAAAGGTGCTCGACATCACTGATCATCACAGAAATGCAAATCAAAGCTACAATGAGGTATCATCTCACCTCAGTTAAAATGGCTTTTATCCAAATGGCAGGCATTAAGAAATGCTGGTGAGGATGTGGAGAAAGCAGAACCCTCGTACACCATTGGTGGCATTGTGAATTAGTACAGTCACTATGGAGAACACTATAGAGTCCTCAAAAAATTAAAAATACAGCTACCCACATGATCCAGCAATCCCATTGCTAGGTAACGATTCAAAAGCAAGAAAATCAGTATTATAAAAGAGAAATCTGTCCTGACATGTTTATTGCAGCACTTTTCACAATAGCCATGATTTGGAATCAACCTAAATGTACATCAACAGAAAAATGGGTTCTAAAAATGTGATACATATACGGCTCAGCCATGTGAAAGAATAAGATCCTCTCATTCGCAATGACATGGATGGAACAGGAGGACATTATGTCAAGTAAAATAATCCAGGCAAAGAAAGGAAGCCTTCACATGTTGTCAGTCCTTTGTGGGTGTGAGAAATTTAAAAAATAGAGCTCATGGAGATGAAGAGAAAAATCACCATTACCACAGTCTAGGAAGGGTGTGGGGGTGGTAGGAAAAGAGGATGCTTAATAAGTACAAACTATAGTTAGAAACAATGAATAAAATGTAGCATTTTATAGCACAAAAACATGACTACAGTCAGAAATAACTTGTTGTACATTTTAGGATTACTGAGGAAGTACAAATGAAAAGATAGCACAAAGAAATGGTTAATGCTTGAGGTGATGGATAACCCATTAACCATGATGTCATTATTACACATTGTATGCCTGTATCAAACTATCTCATCTACTCCATAAACATAAACACCTACAATTTACTCATTAAAATTAAAAACAAAAAAATAAAACACACACACACACACACACACACACAGTGTGCTAATCAGAACATCCGATTGGCTTAATATAATAAGTGTAACAAAATTGACCAGAACCAATAAAAGTTAAAACAAAATATGTTACAAAATAAAACATTTCATTAGCTAAAAGCCATAATTTTAATTGACTTTTAAAGCAAAACAAATATTTTACAGTATCAAAATTGATCTCTTTAATTCGCTAAAAACTATTGAATTCCAAATTGGAAACTTCAGAGTATCAAAATGTAAAAGTAGAAACATCTGAATAAAACCTTATATTTTTAGGCCAGGCATGGTGGTTCACACCTGTAATCCCAGCACTTTGGGAGGGCGAGGCGGGAGGATCACCTGAGGTCGAGAGCTCAAGACCAGCCTGACCAACATGGAGAAAGCCTGTCTCTACTAAAAATACAAAATTAGCCGGGCATGGTGGGGCATACCTGTAATCCCAGCTACTCGGGAGGCTGAGGCAGGAGAATTGCTTGAACCAGGAAGGTGGAGGTTGTGGTGAGCTACAATTGAGCCATTGCACTCCAGCCTGGGCAACAAGAGCAAAGCTCTGTCTCCAAAAACAAAAAACAAAACAAAAAAAAAAACCTTATGTTTTAAAAATGTATTTTCCTTATGCATGTAAATCTCATTTTTGAAAATATAAATAAAAATGATAACAGCTGCATTATTTAGATGAAATCCTGAAATAAAATATAAAAAGTGAAATAATTGAGAATAGAAAGACTATGAGCATTACAAACAGATTAATGTACTTCTTTCCAGAGTTAAATCTACAATGCAAAGTTTACCTGGTGTGGATGTTTGTACCTCCTTCATTTTGGTGGCTGTATTCAGAACAGAATCTTTATTTTCAATTGTAGCCTGAATGGGTTTTAAAACAAAGTGATTAGCACATGATGTATATTGGTATAGGTTATGCAGTTAATAATTAAAAATATAAATGTAAGAGTAATTACCTTCAAGGTGCGCAGATTCTCAGGATACTCTAACAAGCAAGAGAAATATATAATCATATGTAAATATGGTAAGGCCAACCATACATTCGTGGAGTGTTAGCATCAAACTGAATACTCTTGCCTGTATTAGTGTAGGGTTTCATGTTTTTCTAGTTTGTTTCTTTGGGACAGTAACATGATAGAAATGCAATAAAGAAAATAGGAATACAAGCTTCAAAAACATACAGTTACAAGTTAAAAAGTGAGATTATGCACCACATCTATTGCTAAAAAAAAGTGTTAATATCAATGTGGATATACTGATTAACAAGGAGAAATGTGATCTAAAATCAGAGGAGCAAGTCATAACCCTAGAAATAAGTGTAAAAGCTGGTGCTAACTGCGACTACATGACTTTCATACAAGACATCAGAAGGCTTTATACCAGTATAACATAAACATTCATCATGCTCTTTAGCTTGTCTGATAACTGAGAAGGTACACAATTACAATGACACTTCAGTTGAACGTACACTTCACGTATCTTCAGTGTAAGTGTCCTGAATTGATCTGCTTGGATATATGTTTGGTGAATCCTAGTAGTTAATATTCATTATTTATCATGCCCATGTGGTGTAATAGTCTGCCTACATTTCTTATATCCTCTAGTTTAGCCTTCAGAAAGTTTCTTCATCCACTAATGGCAAGAAGGTCTAATATATAAACCCCATCGAAAAGTATAATAAATTATACATATTTATACAAAATGGAATTGCTCCAGGCATTAGATATTAATAAACTTACACATTTGGAAATCAGTCCAATATTCATTGAAAATAATCACTTTAAGATTCAATTAATGCATTCAACATTATTTTTGTCTGTAAAATTAGTCTGCTCTGGAATATCACTTTACTATAAAGAATTTTCATTAAATAGCTATTTTAACAAGACAGCCAGCACTTTGGAAAAAACTAAATATTCATATTAAATTTCAACTCATTTGAATAACTAATAAAGAATATATGTCTGATGTCTGATACTAATAAACATGAATAATGAGGCACTGTGATTTATCCCAATTCTAGCACTCCTTCCTGATTACAGTAGTCATTGGAGCAGCCAGAAATCAGATCTTCTGGTATGCAAATATTCTAAATGCATGTGAAGTGAGTTCACTCAGGCTTCCTCAGCAGAAACCCCAAAATTACCTAAATAACTTCTTCCTTCCCCTCTTTCTTGCCTTGCAATCCCTCTCTTGATGAAAATAATTACTACATCAGTGGTCACCTTGCTCCTCATTCTCCAGTGTTTATGGGTTATTATGACAACTTCCTCCCTCTGGTTTAAGCAGTACCATCTGACATCTATAATTTCTATTACTTTTTTCTCTTTCTCCTTCCCCTTTCCATAGAAACATGCTCTGAAATAAGAGCAAAATTATGCTGTCCCCGGATCCTCTTATCTCTTATGTCTTGAACTGTTTTCCAACGGTTCTTCTACACAATTTCAATGTAGGGAAGTCTATAAGCTTGTTACTAAGATCATGGCCAAGGACCAGCAGCATCAACAACACCTGACAACTCAGTAGAAATGCACAATCTCAGGCCTGCTGAATCAGAAAGTGCATTTTCAATGAGCCCCCTGCTGATCTATTCAGGGGTGGGACGTTGTCTTCTATCTTGAGTGCACATGACATTAAATGTATATTGCCAAATTACCTGTTCCAGATTTCCCACCGCCCGTTATTCTTGTGGCAATATTCAAAAGAGAAACTTTCTTTTTAAATATAACCTGAATGGAAAGAGAAACAAAATAGTCAATACATAATATATATTTCATAGGCTATGCAATAAATAATTCAAAATATAAATGAAAGAGTAACTACCTTCTGGGCCGATTGTTTCTGAGGAGACACTGAAAAGTAAAAGAAATATATAATCCATCATATGTAAATATGATAAAGTTATCCACACATTCATGCAGTGTTAGCATCAAGCTGTATCCTCCTGCCTGTACTAGTGTAGGATTTGATGTTTTACAGTTTGTGTCTTTGGGACAGGAACATGAGGAAATATGCTGAAGAAAATAGGAATACACGCTTCCAGAAAATATTCAGTCAGAAATTACAAAGAGGTATTTTGCGTCATGTGTGTATTACTGAAATAAAAAGTGTCAATATCAATGTGGATATGCTGAATGATGAAAAGAAATGTGATCTAAAATCAGAGGAGCAACTCATACACCCAGGAACCAATGTCAAAGAAGGTACTAAATGCTACTGCATGTTTTTCATGCAAGACATCAGAAGGATTTATACCACTGTACTGCAAGTATTCATCATGCTCTTTAACTTGCCTGGTAATTGAGCAGGTACACAATGACAATGACACTTTAATAGAATGTACACTTCACAAGTCCTCAGTGGAAGTGTCGCAGCTTCATCAGCTTGGATATAGGTTGGGATAATCCTGTATACAATATTCTTTATTTCTCAAACCCATGTGGTGTAATAATGTGCCTACATTTGTTGTGTCCTCTAGTTTAGGCTACAGAAAGGTTCTTCATCCACTCATGGCAACAAAGTATAATATATAAACCATATCAAAAAGTATAATAAATGATCAAATGACAAACTTATACAAAATAAAGTTGCTACAAGCATTAGATATGAATAACCTTTTACATTTGGAAATCACTACAATATTCATTGAAAATAACAATTTTAAAAGTCAATTAATGAATTCAAATTAATTTTGTTTCTAAAATAGTCTGGTTTGAAGTATCATGTTACTCTCTAAAGCATTTTCATTAAATTGCTATTTTATCCAAAGTTAGCTAATTGAAAAGCCAATATATGCATATTCATGTTTATTTCATTTGAATAACTAATATCAACAAAACATATATCTCTGACACCCAAGAGTAACAAAGAGGAGCAATGAGTCACTGTGGTTTATCCCAATTCTAGGAGTCCTTCCTGCTTCCACTGGTTCCTAAAGCAGTCAAAATCAAATCTTCTTTTAGGAAAATATTCGAATATGCATCTGAACACAAGTTTCCTCAGAAGAAACAACAAAATTACCTAAATAACTTCTTATTTTCCCTCCTTTCTGCCTGACAATCCCTCTTCCTTGAGGAAAGTAATTGCTACATCAGCGGTCTCGTTAGTTCTCATTCTACAGTGTTTATGGGTTATTGTGATCACTTTTCCATCTGTTTTTAGGAACGCGATGTGATATCTGTAAAATCTATACTTCATCTCTATCTCCTACCACCCTTGGTGAAAACATGCTGTAGAATTAAAGCAAAATTATGCTGTCCCCTGAGCCCCTTATGTCTTGACATGGTCTCCAATGTTTCTTCTTCCCAATTTCAATGTGGGGAAGTCTATAATCTTACTTCGAAGATCACGTCCAAGACCAGCAGCATCAGCGTCACCCGAGAACTTATTACAAATGAAGAATCTCAGGTCTGCAGAATCGGAATGTGCAGCTGCGACGAACCCCCCCGCTGATTTATTTGGGGAAGAGAAGTTCTTTTCTATCTGGACTGAACATGACATTAAATGTGTTTTGTAAAATTACCTGTCCCAGATTTTTCTCCATCCTTTATTTCTCTGGCTATATTCGAAACAGAATCTTTCTCATCACCTGTAGTCTGAATGGAATTTGAAACAAAATAATAAATAAATAAAGTATGTTTCATAGACTATACAATTACTAGTTCACAATATAAATAAGAGTTTAATTACCTTCAAGGCTGGTCGTCTCTGAGAAGACACTGAAAAGCAAAAGGGATACATAATCACCCACATGCACGTATGATAAAGTTATTCATACATTCATGCAGTGTTAGCATCAAGCTGTATCCTTCTGCCTGTACTAGGGTAGGATTTGATGTTTCCTACTTTGTGTCTGGGGATTGGAACATGACAGAAATACACTGAAAAAAAGTAATACAGCCTTCATGAAAAATATACTTACAATTTCAAGCATGGTATGATTTGTCATATGTCTAAAACTAAAATAAAACCGTGTCAATATCAACGTGGATATGCTGAGTGATGAGGACAAATGTGATCTAAAATCAGAGGATCAACTCATACACCTGAGAATCAATGTCAAAGTAGGTGGTACTTGATCCCACAGGTCTTTCATGCAAGAAATCAAAAGGATTTACACCATTATACTACAGACATTCATCATGCTCTTTAACTTGCCCGATAACAGAGAAGGTACACAATTACAATGACACTTCAGTTGAATGTACACTTCACGTCTCTTCAGTAGAAGTGTCCTAAATTGATCACCTTGGATATCTGTTTGCTGAAACTGAGTAGATAATATTTATTATTCCTCAAACCCACGTGGTGTAATAATTTGCCTAAGTTTCTTGTATCCACTCGTTTAGCTTTCCAAAAGTTTCTTCATCCATTCATGGCACCAAAGGATAATATATTAGCCTCAATAAAAATATCATCAATTATCAATTTTGACATACTTCTACAAAGTAAAACTGCTACAAGCGTTAGATATTAATATGTTTTACATTCACAAATCACTCCAATATTCATTGAAAATGACCACTTTAGGAGTTAATTAGAATTCCACATACTTTTTGTTTCTAAAATAGTCTTGTTGGGAGTATCATGCTATTCTCTAAAGAAGTTTCATCCAATAGCTATTTTACCCAAGAGTTAGCTCCTTGAACAACGAAGCCAATGTATTCATATTCAAGTTTATCTCATTTTTATAACTAAAATCAACAAAACATGTATCTCTGATGCCTAATAGTAGCAAAGAAGAGTAATGAGTCAGTGTGCTTTATCCCAATTCTAGCATTGTTTCCTGCTTCCAGTAGTTCTTGGAGAAGCCAAAATTTAGTGTTCTTTTATGCAAATATTCCAAATTTATCTGAAGTGAGTTCACTCAGCTTTCCTCAACAGAAACCCCAAAATTACATAAATAACTTCTTCTTTTCTCTCCTTCCTGCCTCACAATCCCTCTTCCTTGTGGAAAATAATTGCTACTTCAGTGATCTTGTTCGTTCTCATTCTATGCTGTTTTTGAGGTATTAGGATGACGTTTCCCTCTGTTTATAACAATATAATCTGACGCCTATAATATCTATTACTTCATCTCTTTCTCCTTCCCCTCTTGATGGAAACTTGCTGTAGAATTAAAGCAAAATGATGCTGTCCCCTGAGGCTGTTATGTGCTAAACCACTCTCCTATGGTTATTCTTCCTAATTTCAATGTAGGGAAGTCTACAATCTTACTACTCAGATCATGGTCAAGGACCAGCACCATCAGGGTCACCCGAGGACTTATTACAAATGAAGAATCTCAGGCATGCTGAATCCAAACATAAAGCTTCAATGAAACCCCCGCTGATTTATTTGGGGAAGTGAATTTCTCTTCTATTTGATCGAACATTACATTAAAGGTGTATTCCAAAATACCTGTCCCACGTATTTGTCCATCCTTTATTTCTGTGGCTATATTCGAAACAGAATCTTTCTTGACACTTGTAGCCTGAATGGGATTTGAAACAAAATAATCAATACATAAAGTATATATTCATAGACTATACAGTTAATAGTTCAAAATATATATGAGTGTTTAATTACCTTCCAGGCCGGTTGTTTCTGAGAAGACACTGAAAAGCAAAACAGATACATAATCACTCATATGTGCATATGATAAAGTTATTCAAACATTCATGCAGTGTTAGCATCAAGCTGCATCTGTCTGCAGTTATTAGTGTAGGCTTTGATGCTTTATACTTTGTGTTTTGGGATGGGAACATGACAGAAATACACTGAAGAAAACAGGAATACAGGTTTCAAGAAATATACACTAAGCATTTCAAACGTAGTATGATTTGTCATATGACTAAAACTAAAATAAAAGTGTCAATTTCAATAAGGATATGCCGAGTGATGAGGACAAATGTGGTCTAAAATCACAGAAGAAACTAATCACCTGGGAATCAATGTCAAAGCAGGTGGTACATGCACCCGCATGACTTTCATGCAAGATATCCGAATGATTAAACCATTATACTGCAAACATTCAACATGCTCTTTAACTTGCCCAATAACTGAGAAGGTACACAATTACAATGACACTTCACTTGAACGTACACTTCACATCTCTTAAGTGGAAGGGACCTAAATCGATCAACGTGGATGTATGTTTCCTGAATCCAAGTAAATAATTCATTATTTCTCACACCCATGTGCTGTAATAATTTGCCTAAGCTTCTTGTATTCTCTAGTTTAGCCTTTTGAACATTTCTTCATCCACTCGTGGCAACAAAGTATAATATATAACCTCAATAAAAAGCATCATCAATTATCAATTTTGACATAATTCTACTAAATAAAACTGCTACAAGTATTGGATATTAATAAGCTTTTACACTTGGAAATCACTCCAATATTCATTGAAAATTACCATTTTAGGAGTCAGTTGTTGAATTCAACATTATTTTTGTTTCTAAAATAGTCTTGTTAGGAGTATCATGCTATTCTCTAAAGAATATTCATTAAATACCTATTTTATCCAAGAGTCAGCTCTTTGATCAATGAAGCCAATGTATTCATATTCAAGTTTATCTAATTTCTATAACTAAAATCAACAAAACGTGTAAGTCTGATACCTAACAGTAACAAAGAAGAGTAATTAGTAAATGAAGTTTATCCCAATTCTAGCATTATCTCCTGCACCCAGTAGTTCCAGCAGCTGCCAAAATCAAATCTTCTTTATGCAAATATGCTAAATGCCTCTGAAGTGAGTCCACTCAGGTTTCCTCAGCAGAAACCCCAAAATTACATAAATAACTTCTTCTTTTCCCTCCTTCCTGCCTCACAATCCCTCTTCCTTGGGAAAAATCATTGCTATATCAGTGGTCTCCTTAGTTCTCATTCTACAGTGTCTACAGGTTATTAGGATCACTATTCTGTCTTTTTTATAGCAGTATGATGTGACATCTGTAAAATATATACTTCATGTCTTTCTCCTTCTACCCTTATTGAAAACATGCTGTAGAATTAAAGCAAAATTATGCTGTTCCCCTGAGCCCCTTATGTCTTGAACTGCTCTCCATATTTCTTCTTCCCAATTTCAATGTGGGGAAGTCTATATAATCTTACTGCAAAGATCATGTCCAAGACCAGCAGCATCAGCGTCACCCAAGAACTTATTAAAAATGAAGAATGTCAGGCCTGCTGAATCAGAATGTGCAGTTTTGATGAGCCCCACACTGATTTGTTCGGGGAAGAGAAGTACTTTTCTATCTGGACTGAACATGACATTAAATGTGTTTTGCAAAATTACCTGTTCCAGATTGTTGTCCATCCTTTATTTCTGTGGGTATATTCGAAACAGAATCTTTCTTGTCACTTGTAGCCTGAATGGAATTTGAAACAAAATAATCAATACATAAACTATGTTTCATAGACCACACAGTTAATAGTTCACAATATAAATGAGAGTTTAATTACCTTCAAGGCTGGTTGTTTCTGACAAGACACTGAAAAGCAAAAGGGATACATAATCACTCATATGTAAATATGATAAAGTTATCCATACATTCCTGCACTGTTGGCATCAAGATGTATCTTCCTGCCTGTATTAGTATAGGCTTTGATGTTTTCTACTTTGTGACTCGGGACTGGAATATGACAGAAATACACTGAAAAAGGTGAATACAGGCTTCACAAAATATACTTACAATTTCAAACATGGCATGATTTGTCATATGTCTAAAACTAAAATAAAACCGTGTCAATATCAATGTGGATATGCCAAGTGATGAGGACAAATGTGATCTAAAATCAGAGGAGCAACTCATACAATTGAGAATCAATGTCAAAGCAGGTTCTACATGATGCCACATGTCTTTCATGCAAGAAATCACAAGGATTTACACCATTATAGTACAAACATTCATCATGCTCTTTAACTTGCCCAATAACTGAGAAGGCACACAATTACAATGACACTTCAGTTGAACGTACACTTCACGTCTCTTCAGTGGAAGTGTCCTAAATTGATCAGCTTGGATTATGTTTGCTGAAACCTAGTAGCTAATATTCATTATTTCTCACACCCCTGTGGTGTAATAATTTGCCTAAGTTTCTTGTATCCACTCATTTAGCCTTCTGAAAGTTTCTTCATCCACTCATGGCACCAAAGGATAATATATTAGCCTCAATAAAAATATCATCAATTACCAATGTTGACGTACTTCTACAAAGTAAAACTGCTACAAGCATTAGATATTAATAAGTTTAACATTCAGAAATCAATCAAATATTCATTGAAAGGACCACTTTAGGAGTTAATTAGAATTCAACATAATTTTTGTTTCTAAAAAGTCTTTTTTGGAGTATCATGCTATTCTCTAAAGAAGTTTCATTCAATAGCTATTTTATCCAAGACTTAGCTCCTTGAACTTTGAAGCCAATGTATTCATATTCATTTATCTCAGTTTTATAACTAAAATCAACAAAACATGTATCTCTGATGCCTAATAGTAAATTACTCCTAAAGAGGAGTAATGAGTCACTGTGGTTTATCCCAATTCTAGCATAGTTTCCTGCTTCCAGTAGTGCCTGGAGCTGCCAAAATCAAGTCTTCTTTTATGCAAATGTTCCAAATGTATTGAAGTGAGTTCACTGAGGTTTCCTCAGCAGAAATCCCAAATTACATAAATAACTTCTTCTTTTCTCTCCTTCCTGACTCACAATCCCTATTCCTTGAGGAAAATAATTGCTACATCACTGGTCTTGTTACTTGTCATTCTACAGTGTTTTTGTGGTATTAGGATCACTTTTCCCTCTGTTTATCCCAATACAATCTGACACCTCTAATATCTATTATTTCATCTCTTTCTCTTTCCCCTCTTGATGGAAACATGCTGTAGAATTAAAGCAAAATGATGCTGTCCCCTGAGCCTGTTATGTGTTGAATTGCTGTCAGATGGTTCTTTTTCCCAATTTCAAAGTACAGACATCTAAAATCTTAGTACTTTCAGCATGGACAAGGACCACAGCATCAGGGTCACCCGAGAACTTATTACAAATGAATAATCTCAGGAATACTAAATCAGAACATGAAGATTTGACGAACCCCCCGCTGCTTTATTTGGTGAAGAGAAGATCTCTTCTATCTTGAACGAACATCATATTAAATGTGTTTGCAAAATTACCTGTCCCAGATATTTGTTCATCCTTTGTTTCTGTGGCCATATTCGGAACAGAATCTTCCTTGTCACTTGTAGCCTGAATGGAATTTGAAACAGAACAGTCAATAAATAAAGTATATTTCATAGACTATACAGTTAATAGTTCAAAATACAAAAGAGAGTTTAATTACCTTCAAGGATGGTTGTTTATGAGAAGACACTGAAAAGCAAAAGGGATACATAATCACTCATACATAAATATGATAAAGTTATCCATACATTCATACAGTGTTAGCATCAACCTCTGTCCTCCTGCCTGTAATAGTGTAGGCTTTGATGGCTTCTACTTTGTGTCTGGGGACAAGAACATGACAGAAATACACTGAAAAAAGGGAATACAGGCTCCATGAAATATATCCTTACAATTTCAAACATGGTATGATTTGTCATATGTCGAAAACTAAAATAAAGCCCTGTCAATATCAATGTCGATATGCCGAGTGATGAGGACAAAGTGATCTAAAATCAGAGGAGCAACTCATACACGTGAGAATCAATGTCAAAGCAGGTGCTACATGATCCCACATGTCTTTCATGTAAGAAATCAAAAGGATTTACACCATTATACTACAAACATTCATCATGCTCTTTAATTTGCCCGATAACTGAGAAGGCACAGAATTACGACGACATTTCAGTTGAACGTACACTTCACATCCCTTCAGTGGAAGTGTCCTAAATTGATCACCTTGGATATCTGCTTGCTGATACCTAGTAGATAACATTCATTATCTCTCACACGCACGTGGTGCAATAATTTGCCTAAGTTTCTTGTATCCACTAGTTTAGACTTCTGAAAATTTCTTCATCCACTCTTGGCACCAAAGGATAATATATTAGCCTCAATAAAGATATCATCAATTATCAACTATGACATATTTCTTCAAAGTAAAACTGCTACAAGCATTAGATATTAATCAGTTTTTCATTCAGAAATCACTGCAATATTCATTGAAAATTATAATTTTAGGAGTTAGTTAGAATTCAACATCATTTTTGTTTCTAAAATAGACTTTTTGGGAGGACCATGTTATTCTCGAAAGAAGTTTCATGAAATAGCTATTTCATCCAAGAGGTAGCCCCTTGAACAAGGAAGCAAATTTATTCATATTCAAGATTATCGCATTTTTATAACTATAATCAACAAAATATGTATCTCTGATGCCTCCTAGTAACAAAGAGGAGTAATGAGTCAGTGTGGTGTATTCCAATTACACCATTGTTTCCTGCTTCCAGTAGTTCCTGGAGCAGCCAAAATCAAATAACTTTTATGAAAATATTCCAAATGCATCTGAAGTGAGTTCACTCAGGTTTCCTCAGAAGAAACCAGAAAATTATATAAAAGAATTCCTCTTTTTCAGCCTTCCTGCCTCACAATCCATCTTCTTTAGGAAAATAGTTGCTACACCAGGGGTCTCCTTAGTTCTCCTACAGTGTCTACGGGTTGTTACAACAAGCTTTCTGTCTTTTCTTGGCAGTATGATCTGAAGTGTGTAAATTCTATACTTCCTCTCTTTCTCCTTCCACCCTTACTGAAAACAAGCTGGAGAATTAAAGCAAAATTATGTTGTTCCCCAGAGCCCCTTATGCCTTGAACTGCTCACCATATTTCTTCTTCCCAATTTCAATGTGGGGAAGTGTATAACCTTACTGCGAAGATCATGTTCCAGACCAGCAGCAACACTATCACCCACGAACTTATTTGAAATGAAGAATCTCAGGACTGCTGAATCAGAATGTGCAGCTTCAACGAGCCCCCCGCAGATTTATTCAGGGAAGAGAATTTCTTATCTACCCGGACTGAACATGACATTAAATCTCTTTTCAAAATTACCTCTCCTAGTTTTTTCTCCATCTTTTTTTCCTCTGGCTATATTCAAAAGAGAATCTTTCTCGTCTCTTGTAGCCTGAATGGAATTTGAAATGAAATAATAAATTAATAAAGTATGTTTCATAGACTATACATTTACTAGTTCACAATATAAATGACAGTTTCATTACCTTCAAGCCTGGTGGTTGCTCAAAAGACACTGAAAAGTAAAAGGGATTCATAATCACTCATATGTAAAAATGACAAAATTATCCACACATTCACGCAGTGTTAGCATCAACCTCTGTCTTCCTGCCTGTATTAGCATAGGCTTTGATGGCTTCTACTTTGTGTCTGGGGACTAGAACATGACAGAAATACGCTGAGAAAAGGGAATACAGGCTCCATGAAAAATACTCTTATAATTTCAAACAGGGTATGATTTGTTATATGCCAAAAACTAAAATAAAACCGTGTCAATATCAACGTGGATATGCTGAGTGATGAGGACAAAGTGATCTAAAATCAGAGGAGAAACTCATACACCTGAGAATCAACGTGAAAGCAGGTGCTACATGATCCCACATGTCTTTCATGCAACAAATCAAAAGGATTTACACCATTATACTACAAACATTCATCATGCTCTTTAAATTGCCCAATAACTGAGAAGGCACACAATTGCAATGATACTTCAGTTAAACTTACACTTCACATCTCTTCAGTGGAAGAGTCCTGAATTGATCACCTTGGACACCTGTTTGCTGATACCAAGTAGATAATATTCATTATCTCTCACACCCATATGGTGTAATAATCTGCCTAAGTTTCTTGTATCCACTAGTTTAGCCTTCCAAAAGTTTCTTCATCCAGTCGTGGCACCAAAGGATAATATATTAGCCTCAATAAAAATATCATCAATTATCAATTTTGACATACCTATACAAAGTAAAACTGCTACAAGCATTAGATACTGATCAGTTTCTCTTTCAGAAATCACTGCAATATTCATTGAAAATGACCATTTTAGGAGTTAATTAGAATCCAGCATAATTTTTGTTTCTAAAATAGCTTTGTTGGGAGTATCATGTTGTTCTCTAAAGAAGTTTCATGAAATAGCTATTGTATCCAAGAGGTAGCTCCTTCAACAAGGAAGCCAATGTGTTCATATTCAAGTTTGTCTCATTTCTATAACTAAAATCAACAAAACATGTATCTCTGATGCCTAATAGTAACAAAGAGGAGTAATGACTCAGTGTGTTTTTATGCCAATTCTAGGATTGTTTCCTTCTTCCAGCAGTTCCTGCAGCAGCCAAAATCAAGTATTTTTTATTAAAATATTCCAAATGCATCTGAAGTGAGTTCACTCAGGTTTCCTCAGCACAAACCCCAAAATTATATAAATGACTTCCTCTTTTCACACCTTCCTGCCTCACAATCCGTCTTCCTTGGGAAAATGATTGCTACACCAGGGGTCTCCTTAGTTCTCCTACAGTGTGTACGGGTTATTACAACAAGTTTGCTGTCTGTTTTTAGCAGTATGATGTGATGTCTGTAAAATCGATACTTCCTCTCTTTCTCCTTCCACCCTTACTGAAAACAAGCTGTAGAATTAAAGCAAAACTATGCTCTTCCCCAGAGCCCCTTATGTCTTCAACTGCTCTCCATATATCTTCTTCCCAACTTCAATGTGGGGAAGTGTATAATCTTACAGCGAAGGTCATGTTCCAGACCAGCAGCATCAGCATCAGCATCAGCATCACTCAAGAACTTACTACAAATGAAGAATCTCTGGCCTGCTGAATCAGAAAGTGCAGCTTCGACGAGCCCCCCGCTGATTTATTTGGGGAAGAGAACTTCTTATCTATCTGGACTGAACATGACATTAAATCTGTTTTCAAAATTACCTGTCCTAGATTTTTCTCCATCCTTTTTTTCTCTGGCTATATTCAAAACAGAATCTTCCTTGACACTTGTAGCCTGAATGGAATTTGAAATGAAATAATAAATAAATAAAGTATGTTTCATAGACCATACATTAACTAGTTCACAATATAAATGAGAGTTTCATTACCTTCAAGGCTGGTGGTTTCTGAGAAGACACTGAAAAGCAAAAGGGATTCATAATCACTCATATGTAAATATGACAAAGATATCCACACATTCATGCAGTGTTAGCATCAAACTCTGTCCTCCTGCCTGTATTAGCGTAGGCTTTGATGGCTTCTACTTTGTGTCTGCGGACTAGAACGTGACAGAAATGCACTGAGAAAAGGGAATACAGGCTCCATGAAATATACCCTTACAATTTCAAACATGGTATGATTTCTCATATGTCAAAAACTAAACTAAAACCGTGTCAATATCAATGTGCATAGGCCAAGTGATGAGAACAAATGTGATCTAAAATCAGAGGAGCAACTCACACTCCTGAGAATCAATGTCAAAGCAGGTGCTACATGATCCCACATGTCTTTCATGCAACAAATCAAAAGGATTTACACCATTATACTACAAACATTCATCATGCTCTTTAAATTGCCCAATAACTGAGAAGGCACACAATTGCAATGATACTTCAGTTAAACTTACACTTCACATCTCTTCAGTGGAAGAGTCCTGAATTGATCACCTTGGACACCTGTTTGCTGATACCAAGTAGATAATATTCATTATCTCTCACACCCATATGGTGTAATAATCTGCCTAAGTTTCTTGTATCCACTAGTTTAGCCTTCCAAATGTTTCTTCATCCAGTCGTGGCACCAAAGGATAATATATTAGCCTCAATAAAAATATCATCAATTATCAATTTTGACATATTTCTACAAAGTAAAACTGCTACAAGCATTAGATATTGATGTTTTACATTCAGAAATCATTCCAATATTCTTTGACAATGATCACTCTAGGACTTAATTAGAATGCAACATAATTTATGCCTCTAAAATAGCTTTGTTGGGAGTATCATGTTATTTTCTAAAGAAGTTTCATTAAACAGCTATTTTATACAAGAGGTAGCTCCTTGAACAAGGAAGCCAATGTGTTCATATTCAAGTTTATCTCATTTCTATAACTAAAATCAACAAAACATGTATCTCTGATGCCTAATAGTAACAAAGAGGAGTAATGAGTCATTGTGTTTTTATGCCAATTCAAGCACTGTTTCCTGCTTCCAGCACTTGCTGGAGTTGCCAAAATCAAATATTGTTTATGAAAATGTTCCAAATGCATCTGAAGTGAGTTCACTCAGGTTTCCTCAGCAGTAACCCCAAAATTATATAAATGACTTCCTCTTTTCCCACATTCCTGCCTCACAATCCGTCTTCATTCAGAAAATAATTGCTACATCAGGGGTCTCCTCAGTTCTCCTTCTACAGTGTCTATGGGTTATTATGAACAGTTTTCTGTCTGTTTTTAGCACTACGATGTGACGTCTGTAAAATCTGTACTTCCTCTCTTTCTCCTTACACCCTTAATGAAAAGATGCTACAGAATTAAAGCAAAATTATGCTGTGCCCCAGAGCCCCTTATGTCTTCAACTGCTCTCTATATTTCTTCCTCCCAGTTGCAATGTGGGGATGTGTATAATCTTACAGCCAAGATCATATTCCAGACCAGCAGTATCAGCATAACCCAAGAACTTATTAGAAATGAAGAATCTCAGGCCTGCTGAGTCAGAATGTGCAGCTTCGACCAGCCCCCCACTGATTTATTCGGGGAAGAGAACTTCTTATCTGGACTGAACATGACATTAAATGTGTTTCGCAAAATTACCTGTCCTAGATATTTCTCCATCCTTTTTTTCTCTGGTTATATTCGAAAAAGAATCTTTCTCATCACTTGTGGCCTGAATGGAATTTGAAACAAAATAATAAATAAGGTATGTTTCATAGGCTATACGTTTACTAGCTCACAATATAAATGAGAGTTTCATTACCTTCAAGGCTGGTTTTTTCTGAGAAGACACTGAAAAGCAAAAGGGATACATAATCACTCATATGTAACTATGACAAAGTTATCCATACATTCATGCAGTGTTTGTATCAACCTCTGTCCTCCTGCCTGTATTAGCGTAGGTTTTGATGGCTTCTACTTTGTGTCTGGGGATTAGAACATGACAGAAATACACTGAGAAAAGGAAACACAGGCTCCGTGAAATATACCCCTGCAATTTCAAACATGGTATGATTTCTCATACGTCGAAAACTAAAATCAAAGGTTGTCAACATCAATGTCCATATGCCGAGTGATGAGGACAAATGTGATCTAAAATCAGAGGAGAAACTCATACACCTGAGAATGAATGTCAAAGCAGGTGCTACATGATCCCACATGTCTTTCATGCAACAAATCAAAAGGATTTACACCATTATAATACAAACATGCATCATGCTCTTTAACTTGCCCAATATCTAAGAAAGCACACAATTATGATGACACTTCAGTTGAACGTACACTTCACATCTCTTCACTGGTAATGTCCTAAATTAATCACCTTGGATATCTGGTTGCTGATACCTAGTAGATAATATTCATTATCTCTCACACCCATGTGGTGTAATAATTTGCCTAAGTATCTTGTATCCACTAGTTTATCCCTCTGAAAATTTCTTCATCCAGTCGTGACACCAAAGGATAATATACTAGCCTCAATAAAAATATCATCTATTATCAATTTTGACATACTTCTACAAATAAATCTGCTACAAGCATTAGATATTAATCACTTTTTCATTCAGAAATCACTGCAATATTCATTGAAAATGACCATTTTAGGAGTTAGTTAGAATTCAACATAATTTTTGTTTCTAAAATAGCCTTCTTGGGAGTATCATGTTAGTCTGTAAAGATGTTTCGTGAAATAGCTATTTTATCCAAGAGGTAGCTCCTTCAACAAGGAAGCCAATGTATTCATATTCAAGTTTATCTCATTTCTATAACTAAAATCAACAAAACATGTATCTCTGATGCCTAATAGTAACAAAAAGGAGTAATGAGTCAGTGTGCTTTATCCCAATTCTAGCATTGTTTCCTGCTTCCAATAGTTCCTGGAGCTGCCAAAATCTAATATTTTTTAAGGACATATTCCAAATGCATGTGAAGTGAGTTCACTCAGATTTCCTCAGCAGAAAACCCTAAATTATATAAATAACTTCTCTTCCCTCCTTCCTGCCTGACAATCCCTCGTCCTTGGGAAAATAATTGCTACATCAGGGGTCTCCTTAGTTCTCATTCTACAGTGTTTATGGGTTATTACTATCAGTTTTCTGTCTTTTCTTCGCAGTACGATGTGACGTCTGTAAAATCTATACTTCCTCTCTTTCTCCTTCCACCCTTAGTGAAACCATGCTGTAGAATTAAAGCAAAACTATGCTGCTCCCCAGAGCCCCTTATGTCTTGAACCTCTCTCCAATATTTCTTCTTCCCAATTTCAATGTGGGGAAGTGTATAATCTTACTGCGAAGATCACGTTCCAAGCCAGCAGCATTAGCGTCACCCAATAATTTATTACAAATGAAGACTCTCAGACCTGCTGGATCAGAATGTGCAGCTTCAGCGAGCCCCCCACCCGCCCTGCGCTGATTTATTAGGGGTAGAGAAGTTCGTTTCTATCTGGATTGAACATGACATTGAATGTGTTTTGCAAAATTACCTGTCCCAGATTTTTCTCCATCCTTTATTTCTGTGGCTATATTAGAAACAGAACCTTCCTCGTCAGTTGTAGCCTGAATGGAATTTGAAAGAAAATAATAAATAAATAAATAAATGAAGTATGTTTCATAGACTATAGATTTACTAGTTCACAACATAAATGAGAGTTCAATTACCTTCAAGGCTTGTTGTTTCTGAGAAGACACTGAAAAGCAAAAGGGATACATAATCACTCATATGTAAATATGATACATTTTCCATACATTCATGCGGTGTTAGCATCAAGCTGTATCCGCCTGCCTGTATTAGTGTAGGCTTTGATGTTTTCTACTTTATGTCTTAAGCCAGGAGCATGACACAAATATACTAAAGAAAACAGAAATAGATGTGTCACGATACATTCCTAACTATTTCAAACATAATATGATTTCTCGTATATCTAAAAGAAAAATAAATCAGTGTCAATATCAAAAAGGGTATGCCAAGTGATCATGACAAATGCGATCAAAAATCAGAGAGGAAACTCAATCACCTGGGAAAATGTCAAAGCAGGTGGCACATGCACCCACATGTCTTTTATGCAAGATATCCAAATGATTTACACCATTATACTGCAAACATTCATCATCTTCATTAACTTGCCCAGTAACTGAGAAGGTACACAATTACAGTGACACTTCAGTTGAATGTACACGTCATGTCTCTGTCTCTTCAGTGAAGTGTCCTAAATTGATCAGCTTGGATATATGTTTCCTGAATCCGAGTAAATAATATTCATTATTTCTCATATCCATGTGGTGCAACAATTTGCCTAAGTTTCCTGTATTCTCTAGTTTAGCCTTCCCGGACATTTCTTCATCCACTCATGGCAACAAAGTATAATATATAAACCTCAATAAAAAGCATCATCAATTATCAATTTTGACATACTTCTACTAAATAAAACTGCTAAAAGCATTGGATATTAATAAGCTTTTATATTTGGAAATCACTCCAATATTCATTGAAAATGACCATTTTAAGAGTCAGTTGATGAACTCAACATTATATTTGTTTTTAAAATTGTCTTGTTAGGAGGATCATACTATTCTCTAAATAATATTCATTAAATAGCTATTTTATCCATGAGATAGCTCTTTGATGAAAGAAGCCAATGTATTGATATTCAAGTTTATCTAATTTTTATAACAAAAATCAACAAAAGATATATATCTTATGCCTAATAGTAGCAAAGAGAAGTAATTTGTCAATGTGGTTTATCCCAATTCTAGCTTTCTTTGCTTCATCCAGTAGTTCCTGGAGCTGCCAAAATCAAATCTTTTTTGTGTAAATATGCTAAATGCATCCGAAGTGAGTTCACTCAGGTCTCCTCAGCAGAAACCCCAAAATTACATAAATAACTTCATCTTTTCCCTCCTTCCTGCCTCACAACCCTCTTCCTTGAGGAAAATAATTGCTACATCAGTGGTCTCGTTAGTTCTCGTTCTACAATTTTTACTGGTTATTACGATCAGTTTTCCGTCTGTTTTTATCAATACGATGTGACGTTTGTAAAATCTATACTTCAACTCATTCTCCTTCCACCCTTGGTGAAAACATGCTGTAGAATTAAAGCAAAATTATGCTGTCCCCTGAGCCCCTTATGTCTTGATCTGCTCTCCAATGTTTCTTCTTCCCAATTTCAATGTGGGGAAGTCTATAATCTTACTGTGAAGATCATGTCCAAGACCAGCAGCATCAGCATCACCCGAGAACTTATTACAGATGAAGAATCTCTGGCCTGCTGAATCAGAATGTGCAGCTTTGATGAGCCCCCCCACTGATTTATTTGGGGAAGAGAAGTTCTTTTCTATCTGGACTGAACATGACATTAAATGTGTTTTGCAAAATTACCTGTCCCACATTGTAGTCCATCCTTTATTTCTGTAGCTGTATTCAAAGCAGAATCTGTCTTGTCACTTGCAGTCTGAAAGTAATTTGAAGCAAATTATCAATAAAGAAAGTATGTTTCATGGACTATACAGTTACTAATACAAAATATAAATGAGAATTTAATTACCTTTGAGGCTGGTTGTTTCTGAGAAGACACTGAAAAGCAAAAGGGATACATAATCACTCATATGTAAATATGATAAAGTTATCCATACATTCATGAAATGTTAGCATCAAGCTGTATCTTCCTGCCTGTATTAGTATAGGCTTTGATTTTTGTGTCTGGGGACTGGAACATGACAGAAATACACTGAAAAAAAAGAAATACAGGTTTCACAAAACAAACCCTTACAATGTCAATCATGGTATGATTTTTCATATGTCTAAAACTAAAATGAAACAGTGTTAGTATCAATGTGAATATGCCGAATGATGAGGACAAATGTGATCTAAAATCAGAGGAGCAACTCATACACCTGAGAATCAATGTCAAAGCAGGTGCTACATGATCCTCCATGTCTTTCATGCAAGGTATCAAAAGGATTTACACTAGTATACTACAAACATTCATCATGCTCTTTAGCTTGCCTGATAACTGAGAAAGTACACAATTACAATGACACTTCAGATGAATGTACACTTCACGTCTCTTAAGTGGAAGGGACCTAAATTGATCAGCTTGGATATATGGTTGGTGAATCCTAGTAGATAGTATTCATTATTTATAATACCCATGTGGTGTAATAATCTGCCTACATTTCTTGTATCCTCTAGTTTAGCCTTCAGAAATTTTCTTCATCCACTAATGGCAGGAAGGTATAATATATAAACCTCATCTAAAAGTACAATAAATTACACATATTTATACAAAATGCAATGGCTCCTGGCATTAGATATTAATAAGCTTTTACATTTGGCTATCAGTCCAATATTCATTGAAAATAACCATTTTAGGATTCAATTAATACATTTAACATTATTTTTGTCTGCAAAATTAGTCTACTCTGGAATATCATTGTATTATAAAGAATTTTCACTAAATAGCTATTTTAATGAAAAAGCATTCGGAAAATGCTTTGGAAAAAAGCTTTGGAAAAAAGCTAATATAGTCATATTAAATTTTAACTCATTTGAATAACTAATAAAAAATATATGTCTGATGTCTGATACTAATAAACAGGAATGAGGCACTGTGGTTTATCCCAACTCTAGCACTCCTTCCTGATTCCGGTAGTCATCGGAGCAGTCAGAAATCAAATCTTCTGGTATGCAAACATTCTAAATGCATCTGAGGTGAGTTCACTCAGGTTTCCTCAGCAGAAACCCCAAAATTACAGAAATAACTTCTTCCTTCCCCTCTTTCTTGCCTTGCAATCCCTCTTTCTTGATGAAAATAGTTACTACATCAGTGGTCACTTTGTTTCTCATTCTCCAGTGTCTACGGGTTATTATGACAACTTCCTCCCTCTGGTTTTAGCAGTACCATCTGACATCTATAATTTCTGTTACTTCTTCTCTTTCTCCTTCCCCTCTCCATAGAAACATGCTCTGAAATAAGAGAAAAATTATGCTGTCCCCTGATCCTCTTATGTCTTCAACTGTTTTCCAATGGTTCTTCTATCCAATTTCAATGTAGGGAACTCTATAAGCTTGTTACTAAGATCATGACCAAGGACCAGCAGCATCAGCACCACCTGACAACTTACTAGAAATGCACAATCTCAGGCCTGCTGAATCAGAAAGTGCATTTTCAATGACACCCCACTGATCTATTCAGGGGTGGGACGTTCTCTTCTGTCTTGAGTGCACATGACATTAAATGTGTATTGCCAAATTACCTGTTCCAGATTTCCCACCGCCCATTATTCTTGTGGCAATATTCAAAAGAGAAACTTTCTTTTTAAATATAACCTGAATGGAAAGAGAAACAAAATAGTCAATACATAATATATATTTCATAGGCTATGCAATAAATAATTCAAAATATAAATGAAAGAGTAACTACCTTCTGGGCCGATTGTTTCTGAGGAGACACTGAAAAGTAAAAGAAATATATAATTCATCATATGTAAATATGACAAAGTCGTCCATACATTCATGCAGTGTTAGCATCAAGCTGTATCCTCCCGCCTGCACTAGTGTAGGATTTGATGTTTTACAGTTTGTGTCTTTGGGACGGGAACATGAGGAAATACACTGAAGAAAATAGGAATACACGCTTCCAGAAAATATACAGTCAGAAATTACAAAGAGGTATTATGCATCATGTGTGTATTACTGAAATAAAAAGTGTCAATATCAATGTGGATATGCTGAATGATGAAAAGAAATGTGATCTAAAATCAGAGGAGCAACTCATACACCCAGGAATCAATGTCAAAGAAGGTACTAAATGCTACTGCATGTTTTTCATGCAAGACATCAGAGGGATTTATACCATTATGCTGCAAGTATTCATCACGCTCTTTAACTTGCCTGGTAATTGAGCAGGTACACAATGACAATGACACTTTAGTAGAATGTACACTTCACAAGTCCTCGGTGGAAGTGGCCCAGCTTCAACAGCTTGGATATAGGTTGGGATAATCCTGTATATAATATTCTTTATTTCTCAAACCCATGTGGTGTAATAATGTGCCTACATTTGTTGTGTCCTCTAGTTTAGGCTACAGAAAGGTTCTTCATCCACTCGTGGCAACAAATATAATACATAAACCTTATCAAAAAGTATAATAAATGATCAAATTTGACATACTTATACAAAATAAAGTTGCTACAAGCATTAGATATGAATAACCTTTGACATTTGGAAATCCCTCCAATATTCATTGAAAATAAGAATTTTAAAAGTCAATTAATGAATTCACCATTATTTTTTTTTCTAAAATAGTCTGGTATAAAATATCATGTTATTCTCTAAAGCATTTTCATTAAATTGCTATTTTTATCCAAAAGTTAGCTAATTGAAAAGCAAAGCCAATATACGCATATTCATGTTTATCTCATTTGAATAACTAATATCAACAAAACGTATATCTCTGATGCCCAACAGTAACAAAGAGGAGTAATGAGTCACTGTGGTTTATCCCAGTTCTAGTACTCCTTCCTGCTTCCACTGTTTCCTAAAGCAGCCAAAATCAAAGCTTCTTTTACAAAAATGTTCGAATATGCAACTGAACTCAGGTTTCCTCAGAAGAAACCCCAAAATTACATAAATAACTTCTTATTTTCCCTCCTTCCTGCCTGATAATCCTCTTCCTTGAGGAAAGTCATTGCTACATCAGTGGTCTCCTTAGCTCTCGTTCTACAGTGTTTATGGGCTATTACCATAATTTCTCCATCTGTTTTTAGCAATACGATGTGATGTCTGTAAAATCTATACTTCATCTCTTTCTCCTTCCTCCCTTGGTGAAAACATGCTGTAGAATTAATGCAAAATTATGCTGTCCCCTGACTCCTTATGTCTTTAATGGCTCTCCAACGTTTCTTCTTCCCAATTTCAATGTGAGGAAGTCTATAATCTTACTGCAAAGATCATGTCGAAGACCAGCAGCATCAGTGTCACCTGAGAACTGAGGAATCTCAGGCCTGCTGAATCAGAATGTGCAGCTTCAATGAATCCCCCGCTGATTTATTCGGGGAAGAGAAGTACTTTTCTATCTTGACTGAACATGACATTAAATGTGTTTTGCAAAATTACCTGTCCCAGATTGTTGTCCCTCCTTTATTTCTGTGGCTATATTTGAAACAGAATCTTTCTCGTCACTTGTAGCCTGAATGGGATTTGAAACAAAATAATCAATATGTAAAGTAGGTTTCATAGACTATACGGTTAATAGTTCAACATATAAATGAGACTTTAATTACCTTCTCAGCTGGTTGTTTCTGAGAAGACACTGAAAAGCAAAAGGGAAACATAATCACTCACATGTACATATGATAAATTTATCCATACATTCCATGCAGTGTTAGCATCAAGCTGTATCTTCCTGCCTGTACTAGTGTAGGCTTTGATGTTTTCTACTTTTTGTCTGGAGACTGGAACATGACAGAAATACACTGAAAAAAAAGGAATACAGGCTTCACAAAATATACCCTTACAATTTCAAACATGGTATGATTCGTGATACATCTAAAACTAAAATAAAACCGTGTCAATATCAATGTGGATATGCCGAGTGATGAGGACAAATCAGAGGAGTAACTCACACACCTGAGAATCAATGTCAAAGCAGGTGGTACATGATCCCTCATGTCTTTCTTGCAAGAAATCAGAAGGATTTACACCATTATACTACAGATGTTCATTATGCCCTTTAACTTGCCCAATAACTAGAAGGTACACAATTACGATGACAATTCAGTTAAATGTACACTTCACGTCTCTTCGGTGGAAATGTCCTAAATTGATCACCTTGGATATATGTTTCCTGAGATCTAGTAGATAATATTCATTATTTCTCACACCCATGTGGTATAATAATTTGCCTAAGTTTCTTGTATCCACTAGTTTAGCTTTCTGAAAGTTTCTTCATCCACTCATGGCAACAAACGATAATGTATTAGCCTCAATAAAAATATCAATTACCAATGTTAACATACTTCTACAAAGTAAAACTGCTACAAGCATTAGATATTAATAAGTTTTACATTCAGAAATCACTCCAATATTCATTGAAAATCACCACTTTAGGAGTTAATTAGAATTCAACATCATTTTTGTTTCTAAAATAGCCTTGCTGGGAGTATCATGTTAGTCTCTAAGGAAGTTTCATTAAGTAGCTATTTTATCCAAGAGTAAGCTCCTTGAACAAGGAAGCCAATGTATTCATATGCAAGTTTATCTCATTTTTATAAGTAAAGTCAACAAAACATGTATCTCTGATGCCTAATAGTAACAAAGAGGAGTAATGAGTCACTGTGGTTTATCCCAATTCTAGCACTGTTTCCTGCTTCCAGTAGTTCTCAGAGCAGCCAAAATCAAATCTTCTTTTATGCAAATATTCCAAATGCATCTGAAATGAGTTCACTCAGGTTTCCTCAGCAGAAAACCCAAAATTACATAAATACCTTCTTCTTTTTCCTCCTTCCTGCCTCACAATCCCTCTTCCTTGAGGAAAATAATTGCTGCATCAGTGGTCTTCTTAGCTCTCATTCTACAGTGTTTATGGAGTTATTAGGATCACTTTTCCCTCTGTTGATAACAATATGATATGATGCCTATAATATCTATTACTTCATCTCATTCTCTTTCCCCTCTTGATGGAAACATGCTGTAAAATTAAAGTAAAATTATGCTGCTCCCTTAGCCTGGTATGTGTTGAACTGCTCTCCAATGTTTCTTCTTCCCAATTTCAATGTAAGGAAGCCTACAATCTTACTACTCAGATCATGACCAAGGACCAGCAGTATCAGAGTCACCTGAGAACTCACTACAAATGAAGAATCTCAGGTGTACTGAATCAGAACGTGCAGCTTATATGAACTCCCCACTGATTTATTTGGGGAAGGGAATTTCTCTTCTATCTTGATTGAACATGACATTAGATGTGTTTTGCAAAATTACCTGTCCCAGATATAGGTCCCTCCTTTATTTCTGTGGCTATATTTGAAACAGAATCTTTGTCGTCACTTGTAGCCTGAATGGGATTTGAAACAAAATAATCAATATGTAAAGTAGGTTTCATAGACTATACAGTTAATAGTTCAACATATAAATGAGACTTTAATTACCTTCTCAGCTCGTTGTTTCTGAGGAGACACTGAAAAGCAAAAGGGATACATAATCAATCATATGTAAATATGATAATGTTATCCATACATTAATGCATGGATAGCATGTTAGCATCAAGTTTTGTACTCCTGCCTGTATTACTGTAGGCTTTGATATTTTATACTTTGTTTCTTGGGACTAAACATGAAGGAAATACACTGAAGAAAATAGGAATACAGGCTTCAAGAAATATACACTGACAATTTCAAATGTGATATGACTTTCTCCATATGTCTAAAACTAAAATAAAACCATGTCAATATCAATGTGGATATGCTGAGTGATGAGGACAAATGTGATCTAAAATCAGAGTCCAACTCATACACCTGGGAATCAGCGTCAAAGCAGGTGATACATGCACCCACATGTCTTTCATGCAAGATATCAGAATGATTTGGAATATTTTACTGCAAACATTCATCATGCTTTTTAACTTGATTGATCAGTGAGAAGGTACACAATTATAATGACACTTTAGTTGAAATCTCTTCAGTGGAAGTGTCCTAACTTAATCAGCTTGGATATATGTTTGGTGAATTCTAGTATGTAATATTCATTATTTCTCACACCCATATGGTGTAATAATGTGCCTACATCTCTTGTATCTTCTAGTTTAGCCTTCCAAAAGTTCCTTCATCCACTCATTGCAACAAGGTATAATATATAAACTTCATCAAAAAGTGTAATAAATTACCAAATTTGACATACTTTTACAAAATAAAGTTTCTACAAGCATTAGATATGAATAAGCTTTTACATCTGGAAATCACTCCAATATTCCTTGAAAATAACCATTTGGGAGTCAAGTAATGAATTCAACATTATTTTCACTTCTAAAATAGTCTGGTTAAAGTATCATGTTATTCTCTAGAGAATTTTTATTAAGTTGCTATTTTATCCAATAGCTCCTTGAAAAACAAAGCCAATGTATGCATATTCACATTTATCTCATTTGAATAACCAATATCAACAAAACATATACCTCTGGTGCCCAATGGTAACAAAGAGGAGCAATGAGTCACTGTGGCTTATCCCAATTCTATCACTCTTTCCTGCTTCCAGTAGTTCCTGGAGCAGCCAAAAATCAAATCATCCCTCATGCAAATATTCTAAATGCATCTGAAGTGAGTTCACTTAATCTAAGAGTTATAATTTAAAAAATCATTTTATTTATACTCATGAAGACTCCTGATGTTTTTACATTTCCTGGATTCAGCAGTTCTACCTTCTCACTGTCTCTTCGTCCACTTTTGCAAAAACATACACATCAATGAAATACTGTGTAATCAGATTCCTATGAAAATAAACTAAACAAAGTTTCTAAATCACTAGAGACTTCTTTTCTTATAAATAACCAACCAATATGACATAATACATATATATACATATGTCATGATTGTCATGATTATTGGCAGTTATCTGTTTAGTACTCTAAAAATGCATTCTTTGATTCCTTTTTTTTAAAATCTAGTTTCACATGATATACCATCAGGGTCTCTCAGGTTCTTTTACAAAATAACTACCTCAGCAAACACAGCTTTCCAAAAACAAAAACAAAAAACAAAAATCTGATGTGAACGAAGCATGTATCATTGATGTCCAAAACTTCTAGGGAGAAGAAATGAGACCCTGTGGGTTACCCTCATCCTTGTAACTTCTGCTTCTGCTTTCCATTAAGTGACTTCCCACAAGTCTCCTCATCAGAAACTTCCAAATTACCTCACTAGCTGCTTTCTTTGTTTACACCTGCCCAATTTGACATACATTTTTTTCGTTCATAAATCTAATATCCATATTGGTGGACTTGATTCTTTGACCTCCACATTCATTTCTTCATTATTTTCACCACCACTGTATGTGACATCTGTACAGTCCCATTCTGACACATGTGAAGATAAGGTTTTGCTTTATTAAAATGTTAAATGTGTCAGACACTTGACTAATGTGTACAAATTCCTTCTTCACAAAAGCAGCCCCATGGCCTCCTCTCTCCCATAGACACTCTTTCACAGCTGTTCTTCACTCACATCGGTTTGAGTATCTATCATCTCTTATTTTGTCGCTATGCTTTCACCTCATATTATGAGTTATTATCATAGGCTCAGCAGCCTATCTTACCTGTTTTCCTCTCCAGCAGACAGTACTGAGCAATAAACTAGGATTTTCCAGGATATGAACACTTTTATGTACACAACACTTTGTGGAGCTATTTTATGTTTAACTACCCATAGCACCACTATGTTTATGCTTTCCAGAGAAATAAGCTCTGAAATTTTATTGAATATAACCTATTTAAAAACTTATTTAACTACAATGACAGTCTCTCCTTGATGCACCAAAATCTTCAGAAATAACTTGTGAAGACTTGAAAACATGTCAGTAATTGACATGAAAAATGAAGCACTGACATAATTTTTTGCAGGTATAAAAAAGACAAGCTGAGATCCTTACTAGATCCAAGAAGAGCAAAGTACGTTAGACAGGAAATAAATATGGAACACAAATATTTTCACTTGTAATGAAAATTCCTCTATTTACAGTTTTCAGAAGAGAAAAAAATACACACACACACACACACACACATTCACACACAAAAACCAGAGCAATATGGCTTTACGGGGTGTTTCTTCATCAAAGTCCTATTTGCCATTTGACATCTGGGAACACTCTATAGGGATCAACAAAGGGGTTCTAAATTGTGATCTGAGTAGTTTAGAGTTTAACATTCATGAAGGGGAGCCAAGAGGACAAGTAACACTTTGACCATCGGCCATTTCCTCTCCTTACTGTCATTCTCTGAAAAGCACACACTGGATTTTCTCAGGGTCATGACATGTCAAAAAGACATGCTTTAAGGGGGAAACAGTTGCAATCAACATAGCCATGGGAGAGATGCAGCTATGCTTGCTAGGATTTCCAATACTTCTGTTTCATTTCTAATATAATACAAATCAATAAAAGCAACCACATAAGCATATCCATGCTGGTATGTCACCATATTTATGTCCATATGGTATCAACATGAAGAGAGCATAATTAAATATGCTGCCATCATCACATGGCATATCATTAGATCATACAATAAATCAAATACCTCACTGGGTCAACATGGATAGATCTGAAATATATATCACTGATTTTACAAAGACCAAGTTGCAGTCATTTTGTGCACTGTCTGAACTTTTCTACAAGGTTTTAATACACAAAATCAAGTTCTACATGTTATCTAGGAATATGCACATATGTTGTAAGAGGTTTTTAATGTGCATTTGGGTGATTTCTTTTGCTTTTTTTAAAAAAAAATTTAATTCAAGTTCTTGGTTACATGTCGTCAATAAGTTTTAGTAGTATAGAGAACCCTAAGACCATAACAGCTCAGAATGACTGTCTTAAAGGCTATGTCTACCAAAGAGTCAGGATAGCATGACTACTTACTTTCTTCATTTTTAAAACTCAGAGGTACCCCACACACACTCCCAAATAAAACTGCACACAAGTTCTTTAGTTTAATTAGATCCCATTTGTCAATTTTGGCTTTTGTTGACATTGCTTTTGGTGTTTTAGTCATGAAGTATTTGCCCATGCCTATGTCCTGAATGGTACTGCCTAGGTTTTCATCCAGGGTTTTTATACATTGAGAACTTAATTTTAAGTCTTTAATGCACCTTGAGTTAATTTTTGTATAAAGTGTAAGGAAGGGGTCCAGTCTCAGTTTCCTGCATAAGGCTAGCCAGTTTTCCCAACACCATTTATTAAATAGGGAATCCTTTCCCCATTGCTTTTGTCAGGTTTGTCAAAGATCAGATGGTGTAGGTGTATGGCATTATTTCTGAGGCCTCTGTTCTGTTCCATTGGTCTATATATCTCTTTTGGTACCAGTACCATGCTGTTTTCATTACTGTAGCCTTGTAGTATAGTTTGAATCAGGTAGCATGATGCCTCCAGCTTTGTTCTTTTTGCTTAGGATTGTCTTGGCTATATGGGCTCTTTTTTTGGTTCCATATGAAATTTAAAGTAGTTTTTTCTAATTCTGTGAAGAAAGTCAATGGTAGCTTGATGGGTATAGCATTGAACCTACAAATTACTTTGGGCAGTATGGCCATTTTCAAGATATTGATTCTTCCTAACCATGAGCATGGAATGTTTTTCCATTTGTTTGTCTCTTATTTCCTTGAGTGGTGGTTTGTAGTTCTCCTTAAAGAGGTCCTTCAAATCCCTTGTGAGTTGTATTCCTTGTTATTTTATTCTCTTTGTAGCAATTGTGTATCGGATTTCACTCATGATTTAGCACTCTATTACTGGTGTATAGGAATGCTTGTGAATTTTGCACATTGACTTTGTATCCTGAGACTATGAGGAAGTTGCTTATCAGCTGAAGGAGATTTGGGGCTGAGACAATTTGGTTTTCTAAATATACAATTATGTCATCTGCAAACAGAGACAATTTGACTTCCTTTCTTCCTATTTGAATACCGTTTATTTCTTTCTCTTGCCTGATTACCCTGGCCAGAACTTCCAATACTATGATCAGAGTGAACAGGCAACCTACAGAATGGGAGGAAATGTTTGCAATCTGTCCACCTGAAAAAGGCCTAATATCTAGAATCTACAAGGAACTTAAATAAATTTACAAGAAAAGAACAAACAATCTCATCAAAAAGTGGGCAAAGGATATGAACAGACACTTCTCAAAAGAATACATTTATGCAGCCAACAAACATCTGAAAAAAAGCTCATCATCACTGATCATTAGAGAAATGCAAATCAAAACCACAATGAGATAACATCTCATGCCATTTAGAAAGGCAATCGTTAAAAGGTCAGGAAACAACAGATGCTGGAGCAGATGTGGAGAAATAGGAATGCTTTTACACTGTTGGTGGGAGTGTCAATTAGTTCAACCATTGTGGAAGACAGTGTGGTGATTCCTCAAGGATCTAGAACCGGAAATACCATTTGAGCCAGTAATCTCATTACTGGGCATATACTCGGGGTGTGTGTGTGTGTGTGTGTGTGTGTATATATATATATGTACAGTGGCTTGTTCCTATAATCTCAGCTACTCAGAAGGCTGAGGCAGAAGTATCACTTGAGAAGCCCAGGAGTTTGAGAACAGACTGGGCAACATAGCAAGACTCTTTATTAAAAAAAAATCATACAGGCTGGGCACAGTGGCTCATGGCTGTGATCTCAGCATTTTGGGAGGCCAAGGCGGGTGGATCACACGAGGTCAAAAGTTTGAGACCAGCCTGGCCAAACATGGTGAAACCCCATCTCAACAAAAATACAAAAAAAAAAAATTAGCTGAGTGCGGTGGCACACGTATGTAATCCCAGCTACTCGGGAGGCTGAGACAGGAGAATCGCTCAAACTCAGGAGGCAGAGGTTGCAGTGAGCCGAGATTGTGCCATTCCACTCCAGCCTGGGTGACAAAGTGAGACTTCATCTCAAAAGAAAAAAAAATCATGAACTTTTGTACATGCCTTAGACCTTATAGGAAAAAAAGTATAAGACTTTGATGCTTTATTACAGAGACTCTCATGATTTGTTACAAAGCAGTTCTTTAGAAACATACTTGGAGGCTATACTAAAATTATTATTTATACTATTTGTAGGCAACTAATGAATTAAGAACTCTTATTTCCTTTCTTACGTGCTTAGCATGTACTTATCAAATGCAAAGAAGAATATATTATCAAAATTTGGTTTATCTTACATGTGAATTGCAGTATAAAATAGTCATAATTCTAACAGAATTATATCAGACTGACAGAAAATGGCATCATTAGTAGAATCAATATAATGAGTAGGCATTGTCAAAGAACATGATTTCTGGACAAATGAACCAGGTGCAGCTAGAACAGCAGTCCCCCTTATCTGCTGTATGTGTAGAAAACACATATTCAACATGATGTTCCTCTTCTCTCACACCGCAACAACAATCATCAGCACAGAAGATTTCTGTGACCAAATATGTATTTTTCCCCAGCAACAAGCAAACAATCAATTCCTATGGGTGCCCTGTAATTCTGGCACTATCTACTTGGGGATTGTGTCAGATCCCACAGGTTGAGGGCTCAGTACCACAGGCTATTCCCCCACAGCAGTTACAAGTCTGGGCCTCCAGAACTTCTAATCAACTTCCAGTTGGACTTCAAGTTGGGTTTCCCAGGACCCCCTCTTTGGTTTGATTAATTTACTAGAGTGGCTCAGAGAACTCATGGAAACACATTTACCAGTTTTTTATAAAGAATATTAAAGGATACAGATAAAGAGATGCATAGTGCAAGATACGGGGGGAAAGTAACATGCTTCCATGTCCTCCCAGGGCACTCACCCTCTGGGAACATCCATGTATTCTCCATATGCCTTCATGTATTGGAGAGCATCCAGGTAGCTGAATACAGCTACCTGGATGCTCTCCAAATCCAATCCTTTTGGGATTTTATGAAAGCTTCATTACATAGGCATGACTGATTAATTGAACATTCAGCCCCTCTCACATCCCAGGAGGTGAGGGGTGGGGCTGGAAGTCCCAACCCTCTAATCACACCCTGATCACTATGATGATGAGCCCCACCCTGAAGCCATCTGGAGGCTGCCTGTCATAAGTCAATCATTAGCATACAAATGATATCATGTTGGAAATTCTGAGGATTTTAGGAGTTGTATGACAGAAAATGGGGTTGAAGACCAAATATATATTTCATAATATGACATTGGTGGTTTTATTGACTGCAGATTCAGTTACCCATGGTCAACCATGGTCCATAAATAAAATTTATGTATACACATCATAAGGTTTAAATTGCCTAAGATTCTGAGTAGTATGACAAAATTTGAGCCCTTACATCCCAGTCTGCCCAAGATGTGAATCGTCCCTTTGTCAAGTGCATACACATTATATATGATATCTGCTCACTAGTCATTGACATAAATCTGTACCTAACATCCAACCAACAATATCATCATGGTTCACGGATCCAAGATCACGTGAAGCAGATGATCTTCTTTCTGATATATAGTCAAATAGAAGGTCAATAGTAGCCTAAGACTACATGGCAATGCCTACTGCATTTGCCTCACTTATCACATAGCCATTTTATCATCTCACATCAGTGCAGAAAGTAGGGTGACTATAGTACATGATATTTTGTGAGCTCACATTCACATAACTTTTATTACAGTATATTGTTACAATTGATCTACTTTACCATTAGATATTATTAATCTCTTATTGTGCCTAATTTATGCATTAAATTTTATTATAGATATATATGTATTTTTAAAAATTATTGTACACATAGAGTTCAGCACTATTCATGTTTTCAGGCATTCACTAAGGGTCTTGAAATGTATCCCCCATGTGTAAGAGGAAATTACTGTACTTATTTTGTTGAAACACAACAGTTTCTCCACCTCTTCAGTTTAAACTATTTAGGATAAAGCACTCTAATTCAAAAAATCTAGGTCTATGAAAACTGTACTCTATTCTATGGCAAAACACAGGATACAGAGTAGGGTCAAGGATCCCTGCAAAGACTTTTCAGCTGCCAATGCAGAAGAGCCTAAGAGAGATCAGTGTCCTTACTCTCACTAATCCTCTCCTAGGGAAGATTCTGGTAAGTTTGCTTAGTTCTAGCTATTCATTCACCCTATGTAAGGTACAAACAATCCTTAAATTCAGCTTTCATTTTTAGCTCCTTCAAAAAAACACAAACAGAGAAAATATCACTCCCTTAACAGCTTATCCAATCTGAGTGTTGTTTCCTTGTCAGAGAGAAGCTTATAAAGAAATACTGGGAATGGTATGGCAAGTTGCCAGGGAGTACTTTCTAATATATAAAATATATATAAAGGAACCATAAACTCACTGGAGCTACCAAGATGTGCCAACAGTTGTCTCACTACCTAGTGGGAAAAACAACAACAACAACAACAAATCTTTGTCACTATATGTAAACAAAAATAGTATGACTCTCTTGGCATTTTTCATGATGGAGAACCTAGTTATAAGTGAGTCATGTTATAATAATATAGACTGTTTTCAAAGTGATCGCTCAAAGAAAGAAGGTGAATAAGAAACATATTTGTATGCCTATAGTATTCACTAGCTGGTCTATTTCCAACTGCAAGGTAAATAGGAAAGACTTTCTGACTCCAGTTTTATAAAGTACAACCTCTTGAGATTGTCCCTTTCCACTGCTAGTCTATCTGGACCCATCTCACAGAAAAGGATGATCCAGTTAGTGCTGTGTAGTACACAGCATGAAGTCATTTTCCTCAACCCTCCCCATTATGTGGCAAATGTCTATATAAATTATGCTTTTTCAACATGTAAAGCATATGCCATTAAATCCTACATTAATAAACTAAAAGCAAAAAAGCACAATGGATAGCTTAATTGAATACATTCAATTATCTTGGAAATTATGTTTTGTAATATTGAAAAAGATATCCACTATGTTATCCTTAATATATGACTATGCTGGACATATCAAAACTATGGGGACAGCAAAAATATTAGTAGTTGACAGGGGTTAATTGTGAGGGAGGAATAAAAAAAGAGACAAATTTCAGGGCAGTGTAAGTATTCTAATGGCGGGTACATTTATTATACATTTGTCCAGCTTTATAGAAGGTACAATACCAAGAGGGAACTTAAATATAAACTATGGACTTTGGATGATTATGATGCATCAATGTAAGCTTCTCAGTTGTAACAAATGTACCACTCAGGTGGGAGATGTTGAAAATGGGGGGAGCTATGAACGTGAGGGGGGATGGCGTATGTGAAAAATCTCTTTAGGTTCTTTTCAATATTGCTGAGAATATTAAACTGCTCTTAAAATAAAGTTGTTAATTTTTTAAAAAGATTTTCACTGAATCTTCTATTACTAATATATTGCTATATTATATTACCATATATTATAGCAAGACGTACTCAATTTGAAACACAATATAAATATTCTCTCCAGAATTATAGTATATAAAAGCACATAAAGCAAATAACTTAACTGTATTAACAGGCAAGAAAATAACTGATAAATGATTGATTTTTTTAATTTCATAATTATAAACAGAAATTTAACAAAATATAAAACAAAACTGAACCATCTACATAATTAAAATGAAACAAATTTTTTATTTCAATTTTAAATGAGAAATCATTACTTATTTTATCTAACCATTTTACTGAAAGGTTAATCGAATAAGAACAGATTATAATTACCTAATATTGCCATAGTAACTTCTGTACAGAGACCTGTTAAATATTCACCAAAATTCCAAAATCTAACAGCACAGAAACTTAGTATTTCATATTAAGTTGCAACTGACTCAAATGAAATAAGCACCATGCTATGTTATATTACCATGTTATTCACTATCAAATAGAATTTTTAAGACACCTAAAATTAAGTTGGGGCTGTAACTGCTGTGAAGAAAATAATTCATATAACAGTCATAAGACTGTCATTCTTAGAAAGGCCTACATGCAAAACTGGCCATTTGCTGGTGTTTGGAAATTTGCATTTTAAAGGTTTGTCACCATTTCCTGAGAAAAGTAGCTCACTGTACCTAAACTGTTTGCATAAACAATGTGGTTGACTCTGAACAGCTGCTTTTCTTCTGGAAGTGTGGAATTTTTGTATATGTGTGAGACAGCATGCCTATGTAACTAGCTTCCATAAGAACCTTGGATACTGTGTAAGTCTCTAGTCAGACTCATACTGGTAGACAATATTGCCCATGTGCTGTCAAAATTTGAAGCTACAGGAATTCAGCACATCCTGGTAACTCCACAGGAGAGGGCTCCCGGAAGCTTGTGCTTGGCTTCCCCAAGACTTGCCACATGCCCCTTTGCCCTGAGCCAATTTTACTTTGTATTCTTTCACTGTAACAAATCAAAGCCCAGAGTAGGACTGTTTGCTGAGTCCTTCCAAGTGAATCACCAAACACAGAGGTGGTCTTGGAAACTCTGACATAGTGGCATTATATGAAATTAGTTTTCTTTAAGGTGATGTGACCTGTGACTACGATCAGAAGGCTGTTTATAAAACACCTTTCCCTCATCTGTTTTCCTTAACAGTTGCCTTTGAGATTCCTGTATTTCTGCATGAATAAATCCATAAGGGAACAGAAATAATTATGCCAAAAAATGATGAAAAACAAGCAGCAATCCTATTTTAACCAGAATAAAAATTTGAGAATATGGATGATTAAAAATATATCCCATAGTATGAAAGCTTCTAGAAGAGAAACAAAAAGATCACAGCCAATTGTCTTCAACTCACCAAGGTTTCTTTTATAATAATTGGGGATCAGGCCAGGTGCAATGACACGCACCTGTAGTCCCAACTACTCCAACGGCTGAGGCAGGAAGATTGCTTGAGATCAAAAGTTTGAGGCTGCAGTGGAGATTGTGCCTGTGAACAACCATTGCACTCCAGCCTGGGAAACAGAGTGAGACCCTGTCTCTAAAATGCATTAGTAGGCTGGGGGCGGTGCCTTACACCTATAATCCAAACACTTTGGGAGGCTGGGGCGGGCGGATCACAAGGTCAGGAGATGGAGACCATCCTGGCTAACACAGTGAAACCGCATCTCTACTAAAAATATAAAAATTAGCTGGGCGTGGTGGTGCATGCCTGTAGTCCCAGCTACCTGGGAGGCTGAGGCAGGAGAAGCGTTTGAACCCAGGAGGCAGAGTTTGCAGTGAGCCGAGATTGCGCCACTGCACTCCAGCCTGGGCAACAGAGCGAGACTCAGTCTCAAAAAAAAATCTATTAATAAAAACATAAGTAAAATAATTTGCATCATTCAGGTCATTGTGATAATTATAGAAATATATGTAGCCATTGGATATAATACTTACTATCAATCATAGAGCTCATTTAATTTGTTTCTAATCTTTTTTCTTAAGTTCTTATAAAACTAAAAATATCTATAAAAACTAAAAATCATCTGTTAAGGGCCGTTCTTCATAGAACAGGTCAAAAAGTCAAAAACTGCATTTAAAATGTAGGATGAGTTATCCACTTCTCCTCCCAAACAGTGGGTTTTTCTTATTAAGGGCCAATAGGACTTTAAACTCCCTTTGGAGAATAAAGGAAGTTATAGACCAGCACGATGGCTCATGACCATAATTCCAGCACTTTGGGAGGCTGAGGCAGGAGGATCACTTGAAGCCAAAAGTTTGAGACTGGCCTGGGCAAAAGAGAGAGACCTTTGTCTTTAAAAAATAAAAAATAAAAAAGTTAGCTTGGTATGGTGGCATATACTTGTAGCAGTCTCAATGACTTAGGAGGCCGAGGTAGGAGGACCACCTGAACCCAGAAGTTTGAGGCTGCAGTGAGCTATGATCACACTATTGTACTCCAGCCTGGGAAACAGCAAAAGACTCAATCTCAAAAAAAAAAAAAAATCAAGAAACTTATATATAGATGGTTAAAGGTGTGGTAATCCAACTGACCAAATATTCCAGCTAAGTAACAGATTACCAATATTTGAAGAAATATAATACCAGAAAAGTGTTTTACATTAAAACTATGTCGTTTGAAAATTTAGAATTTAAAATTTAAAATTTAAAAAAATTTAAAAGACACCTTAAGTGTCTTAACTTAATTTGAAAATTTAAAAGACATTTAAAGTTTGAAAATTTAAAAGAAACTTAAAATCTTAAAGGAGCAGCATCACTTACACTGTCACTGTGCTAAAGATATAAAGAAGTTTAGCATTAAAGATTAATAGAATACCAGATATACTTTAGAATAGGTAGCTAATTCTCTTAAAAGAAAATCCTATATAGTTGTCAAAAATACCTGTGTTAGAAATGTGTTCTAATAATATTTTCTTTAGGGACGAAATTAAAAAAAAAAACAGTAAAAGCAGAGATATTACAAGAGGTCATGAAAAGGGAATTGCACTAAAACAAAGTGTCCCAGAACACAGAGACTTGGTATACTTAGCATGTCACCTTATATTTTTCTCCATGACATTATATAAAAGACGTCAGCTTCTCCAAACTGCTCGTCTGTAGGCTACTTCTTTTTTTTTTTTTTTATACTTTTAGAGTACATGTGCACAAAGTGCAGGTTTGTTACATATGTATACATGTGCCATATTGGTGTGCTGCACCCATTAACTCATCATTTAGCATTAGGTAGATCTCCTAATGCTATCCCTCCCCACTCCCCCCACCCCACAACAGTCCCCGGTGGGTGATGTTCCCCTTCCTGTGTCCATGTGTTCTCATTGTTCAATTCCCAGCTATGAGTGACAACATGCGGTGTTTCGTTTTTTGTCCTTGCCATAATTTGCTGAGAATGATGGTTTCCAGCTTCATCCATGTCCCTACAAAGGACATGAACTCATCATTTCTTATGGCTGCATAGTATTCCATGGTGTATATGTGCCACATTTTCTTAATCCAGTCTATCATTGTTGGACATTTGGGTTGGTTCCATGTCTTTGCTATTGTGAATAGCTACAAACCACTGCTCAATGAAATAAAAGAGGATACAAACAAATGGAAGAACATTCCATGCTCATGGATAGGAAGAATCAATATCATGAAAATGGCCATACTGCCCAAGGTAATTTATAGATTCAATGCCATCCCCATCAAGCTATCAATGACTTTCTTCACAGAATTGGAAAAAACTACTTTAAAGTTCATATGGAACCAAAAAAGAGCCCACATCACCAAGTCAATCCTAAGCCAAAAGAATAAAGCTGGAGGCATCACGCTACCTGACTTCAAACTATACTACAAGGCTAGAGTAACCAAAACAGCATGGTACTGGTACCGAAATGGAGATATAGACCAATGGAACAGAACAGAGCCATCAGAAATAATGCTGCATGTCTACAACTATCGATCTTTGACAAACCTGAGAAAAACAAGCAATGGGGAAAGGATTCCCTATTTAATAAATGGTGCTGGGAAAACTGGCTAGCCATATGTAGAAAGCTGAAACTGGATCCCTTCCTTACATCTTATACAAAAATTAATTCAAGATGGATTAAAGACTTACATGTTAGACCTAAAACCATAAAAACCCTAAAAGAAAACCTAGGCAATACCATTCAGGACATAGGCATGGGCAAGGACTTCATGTCTAAAACACCAAAAGCAATGGCAACAAAAGCCAAAATTGACACATGGGATCTAATTAAACTAAAGAGCTTCTGCACAGCAAAAGAAACTACCATCAGAGTGAACAGGCAACCTACGGAATGGGAGAAAATTTTTGCAACTTACTCATCTGACAAAGGGCTAATATCCAGAATCTACAAAGAGCTCAAACAAATTTACAAGAAAAAAACAAACAACCCCATCAAAAAGTGGGCAAAGGATATGAACAGACACTTCTCAAAAGAAGACATTTATGCAGCCAAAAAACACATGAAAAAATGCTCATCATCACTGGCCATCAGAGAAATGCAAATCAAAACCACAGTGAGATACCATCTCACACCAGTTAGAATGGCAATCATTAAAACGTCAGGAAACAACAGGTGCTGGAGAGGATGTGGAGAAATAGGAACACTTTTACACTGTTGGTGGGACTGTAAACTAGTTCAACCATTGTGGAAGTCAGTGTGGCGATTCCTCAGGGATCTAGAACTAGAAATAGCATTTGACCCAGCCATCCCGTTACTGGGTATACACCCAAAGGATTATAAATCATGCTGCTATAAAGACACATGCACATGTCTGTAGACTACTTCTGATTGAAACTTGAAACTCTCGAAATGCGGCTGTGTTATGATTCCATGTTGGAGAGAGTCGGGATGTATGTGCTTTGGACAAGGTGGTTCCAGTTACTGCTGCCAGACTTTTGTTTCAGAATGCATCCAGAAGAACTTATCAGGGATTTCAGTACAAACTAAGTATTTCCACAAGGAGCAGATAAGAAGACCACAGTTTTTCTCACACATTACCCTTAGGTTTTGACAATTCTGTAAAAGTGTGGGCACATGTACTCAGAAGTCAAGACCATTTTCCCTGACCCTGTGCACGTAGCTTCTGCAGTTACAAAAGGGTTACGCAGGATCTTGGTAGATTTGTTCCTCCATATTTGGACAACAGACATACCAATCACATCAATAGCCCACATTACACCTCAAAAATGGTTCTTTTGAAAAGGGTACCGCCAAAGAGCTTTTAAAAGTTAAATCTAATTGGCTTTTGAGTAATCTTACTTGTTAGAATTCATACTCCCTCCTTAAAATTCTCACTTTTTTTATTTTTGCAACATCACTTCCTCTGACTCCTCTCCTACTTTTCTCTAGCCACTGCTCATTCTCCTTCACCAACTCTTTTTTTCCTGGGGGTGGGGAGGGAAAGTTGACATTCCCAGGGTTTTGTCACAGGATAGCTTCTCATTCTACATCTGCATCATGGACAGCTCATTGAGATCGATGACTTTGCCTAATAATTATAATAACATCATTCTACGTCTGCATCTCCAACCTCAGATTTGGAGGGAAGGGAAGTTATTCTTCCCTGTTGACCAGCTGTACTTCTCCATTCAGTGAACACGTCCTACTCCTTTCTTGTGTGCAGTATAAAGGCCAGTACACAACCTGGAAACCTATGAATGATCCAAGATTTCTCTCTCCCCACTAATGTTTTACATTCAATGTTCACTAAATCATATTAACTGTACCTCTTTTCTGCTTCTGCTTTATATTTCTACTGCCACCAAATAAATATGTTTATATTTCCTAGATCAACATGGCCTCTTCACTGATGGTTTTCACAGGAAAAGATCCCTATCAACTATTATTGTTTTTTTATAAATAAAAAATTAAGTAAAACAAATAAAGAAGGCATACAGGCAAGAAAAAGACCAACATTTTAAAATGAGTAAATGGAGTAAATTTACTTTATTTTACCGTGGATGGGTGAACACCTTACACTAGATTGATAGTAGTTCAAGCATCGAACTACAAGGAAACTACAGCTTTAACTACTGCAAAATCTTCCTTTCTCTAGCTTACTTTCTTGTACTCAGAATACAATATATAATATATATAACATACCAAATATGTATTTTCAACAGCATGGGGATTGGCAGCACTAAATCCCATGTTGTTCAAGGGCCAACTGTAATTATTGATTCATTTAGTAATTGCAAAGAATTTATTTTACAAATTAAATAGAAGTTCTAATTATATAAAAAGTCTAATTCATTATCATGTGACTATTAAAAAAATACAACATAATAACTTAAAAATTTGTTTTCTTATTTACACAAAAAGGTCATCTAGAATACTAGGAACGATAATTAAATAATAATTTTTTTCAAACAATACTGAGATTATAAATTACCTACAATTAACTTTTTAAATAATTATAAAATCTAGACTACTAAGTATTTTTTAAATGTGTACAATTTAAAGTGATTTTTTTAAACTGCTTTTTTGTAATCAAAACATCTTTATTCTTTTTTATCTATGGTAGTACCATCAAGAGTAATTCACTATCAGAAATCTCACCTGGATTGCTATTTATAGGAAGATCTTCATATCTCTTTCTTTTGTATTCATAAATTAGATCAAAAATGCTATGCATAAAAATAAATGAAATTAATATTTTAATACTATTATCAAAAACATTTACCAAATATACTAAATTATTAGAGTATCTTGAACAATATCAGGATGTTAATTATCCTATACACTTCTCTTTTGTAAGCTCTACAAACTTCTTAGTACCTTTCTAATTAAATAATAAAAACAGGTGAAGTACTCATGAAGTGAAGGCAGTATAGCTCAGCAAACTATCTCACATCAGCTTGACATAATGGAAAGTCACCTTCCTGGCTCTTACTGGAAGGTCCTGGCTCTATAGCCAACAGGTATTTGCTCTTAAACAAGTTGCTTCTCTTAGGCACAATGTCTTCTTCTAGATTTTACTACCTTCTTTCACTAGGTTGTTATATAGGTTTAATGAAGCAGCATTTTTAACATTCACAGAGAAATAGTAAAGCAGTGGAGCTTGTTCTTGAACTTTATCGCTGAAACTATTTTGAAATCCCAAATCAAACCCAATGTGTATTTTTTCATAGGTTCTAATATTCAAATGCTTCAGTTTAAGAAAAATGTTAAGTCCTAATTTTGCTTATTGTTCTATTATTTCTGGCTTATAATTCAGTGTATCTCAACTATTTCATAATTCATAAATAAATTAATTTATGAATATATTATTTCATTAAAATAGGTAACACGATTGTTAACTATTATTGAGCTCATCAATTCCAAGGGCAGAAAACTAACAGATGTCAAGATCTGGCTTGGGCTACCACTATTACTTCTCTACAGACTCTAACTGAATGAGCAGATGTTTGCTAGAATGATGGTTCATCTCCATCAGTGATGTTATCTCCAACTGACATGGAAGACAAAACCCTACTTTCATTTTTTTTAAGTTCCATGAAGTAGATGCAAGTTGACATTTTCTCATTTCCAAGATACATACTAACAAAATATTTACACAACACCCCATGTGTTACTTATCTCCATTCTCAGTTTATAGATCACCTTACACAAATGTTTTTGTAGTGAAAAATCACAATTCTAATATAAGGGGCCACCCATTTTGTTTTGATTCAAACTATGACTTAGCTAGCCAGCAAACAGTCAAATGACCTTCCCGTGACTGCAAAATATGAAATGCTTCACCATGCTAATTTTCTCCGTATTGTTCCAATTTTAGTATTTGTGCTGCCAAAGCAAGCACAAAGCCTTACTTTTACATATAACTGCTGATAAGTCATGGATGAGGGTTAGCTCTGTTAAATCTAACTAACAAACTTGAGACTCAGATAATTCCAATGAATGGCTTCCTGTGAAATAGAATCCGAAAATATTTTATAAACTTGAGATACTGATGCAAGCAGCTTGAGAGATCTTCATTATTATAGATAACAGATCACTTGAGGGGCCAACCACAAGTTGATGCCTACTACTCTAAGGAAGGATGGCATAGAAGCTTCCACTACCTGAGAAAAGCTCTTACGCTGTTTATATAAAAAGTCTCAGGGTACAGATCTGGTAGCAATAAAGAAGAACACTGTGATCTCTTTCTACAACATTATTTGAATATCTCTGACAGTTTAGAACTATCCTAACTAATATTTGCTTTAAAGAGAAAAAAAAGGGACTCAAAAAATAACTCACCATGAAGGTCTAGAAGCCCAGGTTAAAATGTGGGCTTTACATCAGGTTTTGAGTGTGGGTGAAAGTGTCAATTTGCTCCGTATGTGTGTTGATAAAGTTAGAATATCCAGCTAACAGAGCAAGGTTCTGCTGTTTTGGAAACAATGGCTGAGCATATAAGTATGTGCAACTGAACTAAAAAAAACAGTTGTAACTTTGAAGCCTTTTTATGGATCAACATGAAGATTGAGGGATCTCAAACAGAAAGGGCATGCTGGTAGCAAAGGTTAATCACTACCAGACTGCAAGAGTACTTTCAATGGTAAGAAAGCAGCAACAGAATCAATGAAAACAAAGCAATGATTAGAATGTCCTTTCCCCTTCTCCTTCTGACTTGTAGACACTGATTGTCTTCCTTGGACTTAGGGAACCCCTTAGGTTCTTGAAAAATTCCATGATCAGGCTATAGTAGATGGTCCCCAGTACACAACTCAAGGTTTTTTGATAAACTGGACATTTTGAGACCCAAATAACTAATTAGAAAAATCAAAGATGTGAAACTACTTTACCCTATGCATAGGGGTTATACTGGAAATAAAATGGACAACATTGGAATCCCTAAGGAGAAAAGTCCTGAAAGTTTCAATATCAAGAATCTTGCACCTACTGCTACTTATCTAGCCTTTTTCTTGATTTCTGGCTGATGAAGTTGCACAACTCTCGAAAACTTAAAAACTTGAAAATTTGTCACTTGAAAACTACTTGAACCAAACTATGCAATCTCACCTGATATATAAGATGCAATTGTTACAATTATTTTAAACTTCAATTTAGTGTTCATTAGCCTTTTTACGTAAAGACTTACACTCTATTCTCAGCCTCACTGGCATAATCTTCTGCAAGCTTTCCATACACATCTCGAGAAAACACATCAATATTGTGCTGCAGAAGAAGAATGACTATATCTTTTTCTCCAAGAGTAACAGCAAGTATGAGGGCTGATCTAAAATAACAGAGAGGTAATTAAAAACTTTAATGACATTTTAAAAGCTAAGTTTATATACTTTATCAACTTAACATGTTGCCTGTCCATGTAGAATTAACCCAATTACATGTACTAAGAAACAAGCATCTTGGGTGCTCAAGGGTTTATCTTTGCAAGTTACCACAAAGGTTAAAAGCAAGGAACAAAAAGGAAGCCTCTTGTCCCACTGTGGTATGACATAAAGTTGCTAACTTAAAGTCCTTTGATGGGCAAGAAATATGCTCAGGCCACCTATCTACAGTAGGCAAATTTAAGTGAAAAATTATTCATTTCTTCCCTAGTCTGATACTATACATTATAATGCAAAATCAGCTGAAGGGTCAGATAAGAGCTATCTGCAGGCTTAAAACAATAATATTAATAGGAATGCTAATAGTAGTAGTCATAGCTTCAGTTAATGATGCTCATAAGCATGTGCTAGGCATTTAATTAAACACTATATATATATATATATGGAGGATAATAATATATCCTTCAAGGGTGGTTGTGTATAAGTAATATCACATATATATAAAATATATATAGTATATTATATATAATCTATAAAATATATAATATATAGTATATTATATATTATCTATAAATATATATTGTATATATTATATATTATATATGATGTTAGTTACATTATATTCTTACATACATATGTGTGTATATATATTATATGCACATACTTATATGCTCAGCCATTGTTTCCAAAACATCAGCACCTTGCTCTGTTAGCTGGACATTCTAACATTATATATATATAATGTTACTTACACACAACCACCCTTGAAGGATATATTATTACCCTCCTTTTCACAGAAGAAAACATACTTGGTAAGTAATGTTACCAAGGTCACACATCTAGCAAGTGGGAAAGCTAGGGATTAAACCCAGTCCTGTGTGAACCTAAAGCTTGTCTTCATTGAAGTAAAGTTTTATCCATCTAAAGCTATCTTTTTTCCCCCTCCCCATATCAATTAAAAACAACATCAAAACACAGTAGAAATGAAAAACTAACATGAAACCCCTTTAGCTAATGTAAGATCATACAATCAAAAGCATCACATTATTACATTGTAAATAACACCACATCATCTTACAAATAACAAACATCTATCAATATACAGAGCTTTCTATATATAGAAGCCTTTTATGTGTATAATGTCTATAGAGAGAGATGAATCCTGCTATACACTGTTCTTTATGTTACTCAGTCCAAATAATTGTTTTTCTACCTAAGTGATGATCTGTGTTGATATTTCTCACTATATCCCAGTAATTAAAAGTTAGTCTTCTTACTAATGTAATATTTGTGACTTGAGTGACTGCTACCACTCTAAAATGACACTCAGGTTTAAAAACAACACAATAAGAACTAAGGTCTGTACCTGCCAAGATAATCAATGGCATTTACATTTGCTTTTTTCTTTAATAAAAATTCCACCATTTTCACTTTTCTTCGACTCACAGCAAGTAACAGTGGCTGATATTCATTCTGTAAAATAACAGCAACAATTTATAATCACAAAATTACATATTTATCAACTGAAATGAAAACCTTATGTAAGATCCTGTGAGCTTCAATATATACAATTGAAAGGTCGTAAGAGGTAGTCCCTTTCTTTTCCCTCCTCGGTGCTTTTCTATGTTCTGCTCCTTCCCCTGGAAACAACCTCCTCTGCCTCACCACAAGAACTCTGGTCATCTCCAAAACTCACTTCAAACATTTCCCAGTTCCAAGAATCTTTGCTTCTGTCCCAGCATTTAGCATGGCATGTTTCAAGGATTTAATTGTTTCCCACCTGAACCAAGAGCTTCTTGAGGGCAGCAGCTGTATTTTTTTCTCTATGTCCTCAAACTCTAAGACACAGTAATAAATGTTTCAGGTATTTTTATTAATGATCTAAATTATTATCTATAGAGCGGTGTTTCTTAAACTATTAATATATTCCAAAGGATATTTACTTTACCAGAATTTGAACATTATACCCCAAAAGAGAGACTCCATGATCACCCATGTTTGAAAAATGTTACAAAACTGTGCATTATGTGTCTAGTATTTGAGAAATCTTTTGAACTTCACCTAATCCCTATTTGTAAATACTTATTTTGGAGAATGTTAACATTTGAGAAATGAGAGTTTCAGGGATACAGTTGTGAGAGCTTACCAGTAAAGGTAGAGGTTTCCTCTGGGTGATACACACTTGCCTCATTCTCTTCTATCGATGGTGTGAGAATCTCAGGTGACAATGTCAGGAGCTCCTGAGCACCTGAGCACCTGACATTGTCATCTGAGATTCTGACACGATTGACAGTTCATTTGAAGCCTATCTCTTTTTAATTCGGAGAGCCGGGCTCTGAATTAATAGAGATAGGCTTCGAGTGAACTTTCACTGCTTATTATTAAATAGTCCATGGGTTTTCTCTAGTAATATTTTTATCTTAGCTGTCAGAAAGCTCTGTATGAAATGTTATTCTCAATTACAATCTTAGGACCCTGATGCAAATATTTATGTAATTATAATCTTAGGACCCTGGTACATAACTCCTTTAAAAATCTATTTGTATTCTAGTTTCCAATTCATTCTTACCTAACTTATTTTATTTTAGGTAAAATATCAATCAGAAATAAAAATACAATGGCTTATCAATTAAAGCTCTAATAATGACCTATATGAATTATTTATAGCATAATGAAAACCACTAAATTATTTGCATCATTTATTTATTTATTTATTTATTTATTTGAGATGGAGTCTCGCTCTGTCACCCAGGCTGGAGTGCAGTGGTGCCATCTCGGCTCACTGCAACCTCCGCCTCCCGGATTCAAGCACGAGAAATTCTCCTGCCTCAGCCTCCCGAGTAGCTGGGACTACAGGCGTGTGCCACCACACCCAGCTAATTTTTTGTATTTGTAGTAGAGAGGGGGTTTCACCGTGTTAGCCAGGATGGTCTCAATCTTCTGACCTCGTGATCTACCTGCCTCTGCCTCCCAAAGTGCTAGGATTACAGGCGTGAGCCACTGCGCTCGGCCAATTACTTGCATTTTTAGGAGGCAATGCTGAAGAGAAAAATATAATGTTGTCTGCAATATGCATAACCTATGCAACTATACCATGATTCACCTTAAAAAGCTTACATGCATTCTAATGGGAAGATGATTATTTATGGTATGTATAAATAGTTTATAAAACACCACCATCTAAATTCAAAAGTTCAACCCGATTACCAAAGGATTTATATAAAATATAGACTCTACATTTAAATAAATATAAAATGTCTTGAAAACCTTGAAATATTTACTAAAATATATTATAAAACAGGGCTTGTAAAGTCATCCCTACAGAGGCAAGGGAGATGACCTGAGGAAGTGAAGTACCTAGGTAGGCACAGTAGCAAAATGGAGACCACATGCCTCATAGAAAGGGGCAACCTCTGCACAGCATCCAAAACCTGAGATAGGCTCAAGGGACACCAGATTGGATTCTTGAAGAGAAGCTTGGAATCCAGATCTGTGCACGAGTCTCCTAAACCTTCCATGTTGAGACAATTTGTAGACGCAAACTAAACACATGTATGGGACACATTTGGACTATATACCTTGTATTTTTATATTTGCTATGGATATGTCTCCAAGCGATTGTATGTAAAGCAAGTATTTTCATGTAAAATACTTCCTTTCTTTAGTTTCAGATTTTTTTTCCAAAATAGGCCCAAGAATGCAATAAAAATTGTTACTAAGAGTCATAATACCCACTTTGAGCACTTTTACAACATTCATTCATTTATAATTTATGTTTAATTTTCCCAGATTGTTCACCAAATGGATAATTAGTTCATAGGACTGCTGCAACTAAATTATTAAAATAATATTAAATTATAATTCTAGTTTCTATATTGTAACCTAATTTTTTTTATTTTAGGTAAAATATAAATCAGAAATAAAAATACAATGGCTTATCAATTAAAGCTCTAATAATGACCTATATGTATTCTTTGTATTCTTACTAACTTCATGGTTTTCAGTGTTTAAAACTGCTATCCTGATTATGCCACAGTTCTATGTACTTAACTGACATACTGAGGCAGTCCATAATAGAGCTTCAGCTTTAAAAAAAGGTTTAGAATTTTTTGCTATTGTAATTGAGAGAACCCCGCTTTTAATAATGATGTATTGACCTAATCACCAGAATGATAACAAAGAGACTCAGAGTCCTGAAAGAGTCAGTCTCTACTTATTAAAAGAGTCCACAATAGCAAATTTCTAATGACCCTATGAATGGCAGTGAATAAGTGATGGTGGCAAAGAAAAGGTGTTATTCTTATGCTGATAGATACTGCAAATAATAGTCCTTTCCACTTCCCAACCACAGAGGTAGAGACAGGTAAAAGTCAGGCCAATATTATTGGAAAGGAGAAATTTAAAGGAAGCAGCACCTATCTCCAGCTCTTCTAGAGATTTTTTGTGTGTTTGAGATATGGGAATTTATATTACACTTATCTATTCAGTGGTTCTTAACCAGCAGCGTATCAGTGTCCCAAGAAATGTTTTATTGTTGTTGTTGTTGTTGTGTTGTTGCTGTTAGAGGCAGTGTCTTAATCTGTTGCTCTGGCTAGAGGCACCACCATGCCCAGCTTCAAGGAAATATTTTAAAACATACATGCCCAGTAATATTTAATAGTAAATATTAGATTTACTATATTAAAATCTTCAGGGGATATCCTAGACTTAGAGATTTGCTTTTAATTTCCCCAGGTTACTGCCATGCACAATTCTAACTGCGAACCAGCACAGTTGATAATCACTTCAGTCTCATTTCTCACCCACGTGGCAAATTCCCTTTATCGTTTGGGATTTGGCCGAAAAGAGGAAAGAGCAAAAGATAGAGCCATTCACTGAAGACTTCATTTACTTTTCCTGGGTAGGGGTAGGGAAGAGACTAGTAAGCTCAAAATCCAACTTGATTTTACTATTTATAAGCTCCGTATCTCCCACCTGCCCATCAAGACATTCTGGACTTGAGAGTAGAGTTTAGATGCTTATCTGAGTGGCTGTTTCTGCCAGAATTGAATAATGTCCATTAATTATGTGTTCTTCTCTCTGCTGAACTGTGTGCCGCTTCATCACCACTATTCACTGCCAACCTGGTTTCCTCAGAGTCTTACCAAAATTGATCCCTGGGCAATTTCACAACTCACAAACTCTTTCCCAAAGTAAGAATAATCATCCCCAAAACTGAAGCGATCTTTGTCTAAACATATAAATTGAAAACAAACAACAAAACACACAAAAACCCTCTCCACAGTATTTTCCCTCATTACCTAATTTCCAAATTAGCTTGTGCATTTCTGATTGCTCTCCTTTTCTTCATTTTTCCCTCTTAAGCCTTTCCACAGAGGAATCACTTTCAAATGAAATCACCTTCACATACAACACTTGTCAACAGCAACAACATGTACATTTATTGTGAAATTCTTTAATTTTCTTTGACATTTAAAATAAAGCCTATTTATAAGGGACAATTTTACTTTCCTGTGTCACTTCACACTGATTAGAAAAAAAGTAATTTAGTGGAAAAACACTTAACTATTACCTTTCCCAAATTCAGTTGTCATGAATTATAAATTTATTGTAATTCATTTGTTTTTATAGTTATTTACCATAAGTGCATGAAAAAAGGCTGTTCCCTATAATGCTTCTTTAAAAGTTCCAATATTTAAAGTAAAATCTTAGACAGTTAAGGCATTTCAAAATATTTTCATTCAAGGAATGTTTGAGCTTCCAAATATGAAAAATTGACCCTTACATGTGTCAATGTTAAAATAAATGCATTTCAGATAGTTTGAAAATAACATTGGTTGACCTATACCTTGCTGCATTCTTCAATATTTGTACCATGTGAAAGAAGTTTTTCTATCATGGATGTATCTTCATTATACACAGCGTAGTGCAGAGCAGTCCTTCCAAAGACATCCGTAATATTTGGATCGGCGCCATTTTGCAGCAGAAGAGTTGCACAAGCCTCCTGCCTCAGTTGTACAGCCTGTCAGTATTAGACCGAGAAACATGCAAATACTGAAAAAATCAAAATAAACACTCCGTAGGATTTCCTACTAGTTATATGGTGGTATTCCAATGAGATAAATTCATTTTATCCTATGTACTTCAACCAAATCCATCTCATGCTCAAAGAGTCAGCTACTATGTACCTTGATCAGAGGTGTCCTGTCTTCACGGTCGCAGAGGTTAAGCTCACATCTTCTGGACACCAGGAGATGTACCATTTCCGGTTGGCCAGTGGCACAGGCCAAATGTAGGGCAGTCCTGTGAGAGTGACAGGACTTTTTAAAACATGTAACTGTAAGCATTAATTAGCATGTTATTTCTCTGTCTTCAAAACAAATATGTAATTTTCTTGTGAAGAAAGTACAACATTTGTTAGCGCTTATTACTCACCACATTAATGAAAGAGCAGGCTATTTAATAGAAAAGGCTTGGCTTTTGGATTCAGTTTAATTGGGGCTTAAAATTTACTGTAAGCTCTGTCACTTAGCTGTTATTTAGCCTTTCTTTGCTTCAATTTCCTTATCAATAAAATATGTAAGAGAATAGTAGCTAGCCCACAGAACACTGCTGTGATGCTTACATAAGAATCTATGCACAGCATTTAGAACACTTTCTAACACAAATAACAGCTCAATAATTTTTAGATATCACTACTTACAAAGACAAAGACATTTTAATTAAGTAAAATGATACAATCATATCTACATTGAGGTATCTATTAAAGATTAGATGTATCATTGTATTTCAGTCATTCTCAGATGCTCATTTTCTCACTATTCTCTTATATAAGCTACTATTCTCTTATATATTAACATCTCCTGACATTGGAAAACTGTTTACAATTCATTATTTATTACATTTATAACTGGCAACATTTTAAACATTATCTTATCGATATATAAAGTAATGTGGCATCACCCAATCCGTGATGCCTTACATTAAGTGGGATACAGTTCATAGAACAGGCAGTTCTATTCATATAATTGGCACCTAAATGAAGTACTGTGGAAAAAGAAGGCAAAAATAAAAAAACAAATTTTTAAAACAAAGTAATTCTTACTTCAACTTTCAAAAAAAAATAATCCAAAGAAAACTCAGGATTCAAATGAATAGGTATGGCTCATTTTTTTCAATACTTACAGAATGTTATGTAAATTAGGTATTTGCAATGATTAATAGTAGTATTTGAGACTGTCATAAGTTTTTGAAATGGCAGTTAAAGGTTATCTTTCACTATTTTCTAACTTCAGAATTGCTTTTGTTTAAAAAAAAAAAAAGGAATAAAAGATCCAACTGGGATTCAGTCCTAATGCTTCCATTTTAAATCTCAGCTTGCTCAGGCTGGGCAGGTAAACATGAAGTTGTTAAGGGTGGAAGAGTCCTGAGAGATGGTGGAATGTGTCTGCTACATAATAGGTATTCAGGTTATGCTTGATGAATAACTGGATTGAAAGAATGCATACATACAGTTGGGAAGTTTATTGTGAAAAAAACTATAAATTAAAGCAGTGCTTTTGGAATAGTGATAATCACTTATATTTGCTCATTTTCATTTTCATGAGGACACTGATAAACTAAAATAATTAATTTAAAATTGTTTCCTTATATGTAATAAAACTATAATAAAAACTTATGTATATACTAAAATCTATGCATAATAAAATAATCAAGCACAAATAAAAATATTCCCTCTGCCTCTGAAGAGGCTAAAAGTTCACAGAAGATACCAATAAACAAAAAAATAAAAATAAGGCCAGGCACAGTGGCTCACACCTGTAATCCCAGAACTTTGGGAGGCCGAGGCGGGGGGATCACCTGAGGTCAGGAGTTTGAGACCAGCCTGGTCAACATGGTGAAACCCCGTCTTTACTAAAATATACAAAAATTAGCTGGGCATGGTGGCGCACACCTGTAATCCCAGCTACTCAGGAGGCTGAGGTGGGAGAATCACTTGAACCTGAGAGGCAGATTGCAGTGAGCTGAGATCATGCCACTGCACTGCAGGCTGGGCGACAGGGTGAGACTCCATCTCAAAAATAAACAAACAAACGAAGAAATTAATAATAAAATAGAAACTGAGAATTTTTTTTCTTTGCAAGATTTATATTTCTTCTTTTCCCAAGGATAATTTCATTAATAAAAAACATTTACTAGAAGTTTTAAACATGCTGATCATTTATACATCACAGATAAGAAAAAATATCACAATACACCTGCCAGAAAAGAAGAAATGTTATATTTTGTACACATATTTGGCTTACTAACACCATAGATTGTTTGTGTGTATGTATAATCAAACCAACTTTTTTTCAGAGTACATCTTCACACCTCAACATACATCTGTATCTACTGACATCTGCAAAGGTCCCATATTGTCCCATCCTATGGATGCACTGAAATTTATTGATAAATTTATAAAATTTATAAAATCCACTATAAGGGGTTTTCCAAATACACTGCTATTTTAAGCAGTGCTGAGAAAAACAAATTGCATGTATCTCTATTTCCTAGAGATATTTTAGTATAACGGAATTGATGGGTGAAGGGCACATACATTTTTACAGTGTGATACTTACCAACAAATTGTCTATTTGAAAAGTCATCAGAAATGTAAACTTTCAACAGCAGTATATGTACTGCTACCCTTTACCCTCACAAACTTGTGGATAGAAAACAGTATTTCATTCTTTTTTTAACTTAAATACCTTCTCCTCCCAGGAACACTAAATATTTTTTCCCATGTGCATAGGTTGCTTGAATATCTGAAAAATAAATGCTTTGCTCTATTTTAAATGAGAGTTCTTGTTTATTTGAAGAATTCTCTGTAAAATGAAAATCACTTTTTTATCTAATATGTATACACACATATTGTCTTTTGTTAATTTTTTCTTATAAACTGGATTTTTTTTATTTTGCTAAATCGACCTTCAGAATGTGTGCTTGTGATATTTGTAGGAATATAAACATGCATCAATATAAGTAGGCATTTGTGTTTTTTTCTGTTATCTTTCTTATTTTGTGCATTTAAAATTTTTAATCTACATTCCATAACGAACTTATTTCTGTGACATGAAAATCTAGCCAGATTTCTCCAAATAGTTAGCAGGCACTTCATTTATGAGTAATTCATCTTTTCCTACTAATATGAAATGTCACCATTATCCAATTCTATTAGATTGGTGCAAAGGCAATTGCGGTTTTCGCCATTACTTGTAATTGCGGCAAAAACCGCAATTGCTTTTGCACCAACCTAATATATTCTTACACATATTGGTGTGTTCCTGGATTTTCTAACCTGTTCCATTCACTGATTTGTTGTTTCAGCTGTTAGTAAATAACTTGTGGAAATTAACAGCACATTTTCATATCTAGAAAGGCAAGTCTTTTTTGACTCCATTTCAAAAGTTTTCTTAATGTCGTCACAATAGTAAAAGACAGCATGAGTAATTCAAAAATGTTAACACTTTGATAACTTTATTTGGATTATGTAAAATTTATAAACACAGAAAGAGCTCAGAACTTTAGAAAAATGTGTCTTTCTATTCAAGAACACAGACCATCTTCCCACTTCAAAGTTTCCCTCTAAGGTCCCTCAGTGAAAACCAAATTGACATAGGTGTCCATTGATATCAAATAAATATTGGATTTTTATCCAAAGAATTTTTAGCCAGGAAGTTGATATATTATGGAAATGATTTCTCTCATTATGCACCTTTCCATAATGTATGTAACATTATGCTTTAAAATGTGCACGTTAAAAATAAAACGCTGTACATGCTGAATTTTATTAGTGAAATCACTTTAAAATGATTTATAAAGAAGCAGCATGGTGAGTGATTGGAAACCAGCTGAAGTTTTGTTTTTGTTTTGCTGCTTGTGAAAATGACCTGGGTGCTCGCCCCCGCCAAGGTTTCCACATCCCAGGTGCGGCTGAGCCTGCCAGGAAAGAAAGTCCAGCCCCTTTGGTGACAGGACTCGCCCCCCTCACCTCTGCACCCCTTTCCCCCACCCCATTCACCCCCACACCTCACCCCCACCTCCAGTCCTCTATCCCATTGAACCCTCACCCCATCTCCCCACCCCACACCATCCACGCCCCTACCCCCCAAGCCTTCATTCCATCCACCTCAGCCCATTCACGCCCCCACCCCATGCACCCCCTACTCCCCACTCCCATCCCCCAACTCACTCCACACCCCGCCACCCCATATACCGCCACTCCCCAGGCCCCGCTCCACTCACTCCCACCCCAGCCAGGCACCCCCTAGCCCCCGTCCATACCCCGAGCCCCGGACCATCCGCCCCGCAGCCCTCAGCCTGCAAAGGGGTACTTCTCCACATCCACAGGCCTCCTCCCGCAGCCCCGGCTCCCGGCCCCCATTACCTTTCCTTCCTGTCTCTCTTATTGGCGTCATAATACGTGAGCAGAAGGTACTTCAGTTTCTCCAGATTACCACGTAAGACAGCTCTGTGGATCCTCTTCAGATGATACGGTTTAATGTAGTAATGGGGAAATGCGAAGCCATCCGAGCACAAGCGCTCCATGAGGGTGGGCCACCTCTCCCGCTCGTCGTCTTCCTTAATCGTCGGCTGCAAATTGTAGCCTGCAGCCGTATTTCAGCTCGCCTTCGGGGATCGCCGCCTCCGAAGAGCAACAACAGGCAAAGCAGTCTGTGCACGGACCTCCGCGCAGACTCTCAGCGCCTCCCGCCTCTCCGCAGAAACGCCCAACAGAAGGGTTAGAACCAGCGAGCACGCGCACCTTAGCCGGCCCTGCCCAACAGGCCCGAGGCAGAGAAACCGCCCTAGCAGCTCTCGCGCGCCCGGTGCAGGCGGCGGTTGCTGCGGAGGTGCCGCGGGAGGGCGGGGCTCCCTGGAGCGCGAGGCGCGCCCTGCCCCAGGGCCTGTTTAACTGTCGCCCGCGCGCTCTTCTCTTCCACAGGCTCCCGACGCTCGGAGCCCCCCGCGCTGGGCCCTCTGCAGCCCAGGGATGGGGTTGAGTGGTGCTTCTCCGCCTAGTGCCACCGCTGGGCCCACAGCCCGACATCGCCACTGCGTCGCCCCCGGGGTCCGCGCTGATGGGTGCGAGGCGGGAGGACGGTATCCGGGGTTGCCACAGCTGCAGCCAGCGCACCACTTGCAGGCGGCACTGCAGCTCGGGCTCCGGCGGGGGCTGGCGGGGCTCCCGTGGGATGGCCTCCTGAGCCCTGAGTGCGCCGCCATCCGGCCGGAGGGTGCGCGCCTCCTGCACCCCCGGCCGAAGCCCATGCCCGGCGCTCCTGCCGCAGACTGCCTGACTTGCCGCGGCCAGGCTGGCCCCGGGGTCCGCGCGGCTGGAGGCGCAGGCCTGGTCGGGGATTCCCAATCCTCGGGGACCCCTGCTCCATGTGCTGGTGGCGGCTGCAGCTGCAGCGCCCGTGGGCTGACGTGGCTTCCCGGAGCTGCGGCCGGCCGCGCCCAAAGGCCCCATAGGCTGCGCTGCCCTTGCCAGCTGCTCCTGACCCACGCCCAGAGCGCAGGACCTGGCGCTTGGCACTCCGCAGCCACCGGGATGAGGCTGAGCGCCGGTTTTCGGCCTCGTGGCGCCGCTGGGGCCACAGCCTGACTTCACCACCCCGTCGCCCAAGTCCTGTGATGGGCAGGTGTGAGGAGGGGCAATCGGGGTTCCCAAGGCTGCTGCTGCCTGCATGCCACTCCGTGAGGAAGTTGAAATACGTGATCTCTAAGAGTCCTCCCAGTTCTTCACCTAAGACAAATATAAATCAAGTAACATTCGCTATTGTGATTAGAAAAGCTGCATTTACAGACGTTAGCCACTAGATGGGGACGTGCGATTGTTACAGGGCTGAAGGCCTATTTATTTTTTATTTGGCCGCTAGAGGGCACGCCTGCACTGCACTTAAAGTTGACTACTTTTAAGGAAAGACAAAAGAATTCTTGGATTTCTCCATTTTCCTCATCACCTGTGCTTATCAGAGAATTCCAGGGGCAAGCTACCCTTTCCAATTCATCACTAATTTATAAACAAAATTCTAAGGAGTAAGGAATGCTTCTTACTTCCTATAACATATGTAAGAATGAACGCTCAAAATAAAAGTAATTTATTTAAAACTTGTGTTGAGTAATTATAACTGCAAAATTTTTGCCCATGTTTTTCATATGCTGTTCATTTGCAAATTATTAGAAATCTACATATTCTGTTCATCTCAGCATTATTTATAACAGGGAAAAATTAGACACTAGCCAAAAATCTAAAAACAGGGAACAGTAAGGAAAAAGCAAATGGTTCTTTAATCATCATCACTAAAAGTGGTTGTGACTTAAAATAATGACATAAAAGATGCTTCTCCGCTGTTGAGTAAAACATCAGGATAAATTTAAAATTCTATTTCAAGCTTAACTATATTCATTTAAAAAGAGAAAAGAAATTTTAGAGAGTTTATCTTGTTGGATTATCAGATGTTATTTTTCTCTTTTTAATGCCATATACTTTTCAAATTTTCAGTGGGCTGCTATTACTTTTGTATTTAAAAAAGAAAAATATAAGGAAAAAGAAACCTGTCACACACTTTCTAGTGGATTTTACTGATCAGTCATCTCTGTATTTCTGGCATCACAAACTGAGCCAGAAACTCAGTGCCTCCCATTTCTTTTTTTTTTTTTTTTTTAGACGGAGTCTTGCTCTGTCGCCCAGGCTAGAGTGCAGTGGCTCAAACTTGGCTCGCTGCAACCTCTGCCTCCCAGGTTCAAGTGATTCTTCTGCCTCAGCCTCCCAAATAGCTGGGATTACAGGTGCCCGCCACCACACCCGGCTAATTTTTGTATTTTGGTAGAAACAGGGTTTCACCATCTTGACCAGGCTGGTCTCGACTCCTGACCTTGTGATTCACCGGCCTCGGCCTCCCAAAGTGCTGGGATTAACAGACCTGAGCCACCGCGCCAGGCCAAGTGCCTCCCATTTCTTGTATTCACCTTTAAAACTCCTGCAATGAAGGACTCCCTCCTCCCTCATCTAACCTATTATGTGTGTGGTGAGTTCTGACTATGATATCATTCCTGATGTGAAACCGAAGTCTCTCTCTTCTAAGTCCATCCATTGGTTCAGTTCTGCCTTCTGACAGAGTCCACGCCAGACTTCACATTTCTCCCAATCTTCTTTGTCCTACAAGGGCTTTCTATTCTTCAAGCTAAAGAGATACCAGTGATTCCATTCGTTCATTCAGTTAACATTTAGGGGCCACATCTTGTGCTATGTCCTGAGATTTGCCAATGAGCAGAGCTCAGAGTATTGAAAAGACAAACACATACACCAGGCATTTTACTATGCTGTGTTGTGTGTATGACAGGAGCACACAGGGCATCCAGGCACCAGTGAGAAGGGCCTTTCACCAGACTTGAGAGGTCAGCAAAGGTGCTCTGAGGAAACACCTTCTAAACTGAGAGCTGGAAAGAGTGAGGCAGGAAAGCAGTAAGAGGTAGCGTTCTGAGGAGGAAATCTCCGAGGTGGGACAGGGATGCGTATGGAGAGAATGCCCTTCCCATCCCCACTCTTCATGAAATCTCTACTCTGTCAGGGTCTCTCTGCCCTGTGAGCTGCTTGAGGACAAAGACTGTTTTATAAAAATTTTTATTTCCTCCCTCTGTCTTCCTTAAACACCTAGCCCAGTGCCTGGAACATAAGAAGCCATAATGAATTTTTGTTAGATGAGTGAAGAGTGCTGAGTAGAGCAGAAATGTCACATGCCTCAGTTTAAATATGGGTCATCAGTTTTCTTTCTTTTTTAACATAGAAGTCAAGACTTGATCTCTTACAGCTTCGAGATACCGTTAAAGATATAATCATCCTCATGTATTTGAGCTTTGTTTTCACCCATTATGTTATGACTGCTGTCCATTGTTCCATGACACAATTCTCCATCTTTCTTCATTTTCTTCCATTTCAATTAACTCATTTATTTACATGTGGGAATGGAACATATAACGTAAAATCCACAAGTAAGACTTCCCAGATCCTCAGCTTCTTTCTCTGGCATTAGCCACTGTTTCTACTTTCATGAGCATCTGCTATGGTTTGAATGTATCCCCTCCAGAAATCAAATATTACAAATGTGATAGTATTAAGAGGTGGGGCCTTTTGGGAGGTGATTAGGCTATGAGGGCTCTGCCTTCATGAATAGGATTAGATATGCTTAGAAAAAGGAATGATGGAGGAAGTTAGACTCCTTTTGCCCTTCAGTCTCCTGCCATGTGAGGACACAGCACTCCTCCTCTCTGGAAGATGCAGCCTTCAAGGCGACATCTTGGAAACAGAGACCAGACACTCACCTGACAATGAATCTAATGGCCCCTGGATTTTGGACTTCCCAGCCTCCAGAACTGTGGAAAAAACAAATTTCTGTTCTTTATAAATTACTCAGTCTATGGTATTCTTTTATAGCAGCCCAAAACAGACAAGACTCTAGGAAATCAATTTGTATTCAGCACATCAACAAAATTCTTTACAAATGGGACCCCCCAATAGGTGGGTGTCACTAAAGAGAGGTGCCCATAAGCATGAGACAATGACCACGTGGCATGAGCAACGAACTACGATGAATGAGCACATGTTACCACCACTAAAGAAAAAACTTACATGACTAGATGACAACAAAATAATTTCTTATAATGAATTTCTCATTGTATTTTTTCTTAACCTTCCCTCCATTTAGTCAGGAATCTGGCTCTGACTCACACCTGAAGGACAGACAAGGACTTTTGTTTCCAAAAGCATAAACTGAAAGGAGAACTCGCAGAGTCTACAGAAAAGAGAAAAGACATTTGTCAACAGGGAGTGTTTATTTATCTTTTTTAACTGGAGGGAAAGAGCAGGGATGAGGAGAGGAGATGCCTTCGGTATTGGAGAAAAACAATATTGTAGAGTTTTCCATCCTGGTACTAATAAAATTATAAAGGCCAATAAGAAATGACTGATAGCAATAAAACAAGGAAAGGGGCATAGCCTAATACAGTAAAGAAACTGGTGACTCAAAGAGAGAAAGGAAAAGAACATTCTGGAGCAAAATAGAGAGGGACAGCATTTAGCTCCTAAGTTCCTCTTCCGTCCTCCAGCCCCACCCTCCACATCCACCTCCAAATCCGGTGATTTTGAGCATAGTGAAGCACACTGACACTGAAGGGTGTCCTTATACGATCCTCCCCTTGCTGGTGACTGGTGGAAACAGATGCTGGGGAGAAACAGGAGAAACAAGGTGGAGGGACATCAGGGTGCACTTCCTCTAAGAGAAGTCAAGGCTACACATGGAATGAGGAAAGCAATCCAATGCCCAGGGGAGTCCTCATGGTACTGAAACAGGAAGAGCCATCTGTTGCCCAAGCATTCTAACCAATGCTCAGAGCCCTCAGCTGCCCTTTCCCTCTACTGCCTCCCCATTCCCTTGGGCTACCAGGAAAAGTGGAGATGTTAATGGGCTCCAATCAAAGGCCACCATGAACACACCTGTAGTTGAAGAAGTGAGTTATTACTGGTTAAGTGAGGGAGAATACAAACTACAGGGAACGGTGGGGTGTCTCACTAAGAGGACAACAGAAAGGACTTAGAAGATTTGGGGTTGTGTTAGGCAATAATCTGGGAGAAGGGTTTAAGGAAATGGGGCTTCGTTCTGAATTGGGTGTTGTCACGAAGTGGGGGTAATTCTAGCATAGTAGGGTATCTTAATAAATCTTATGTGGAAAGATGTAAACCTGCATTAAAGCCTTAATGGGTTAAGGCTATAATTGGTAAAGAACGTTAAAGCTGTAGTTGGTGAAGAAACAGTAGTTACTCATCTTAGCTAGAATAGAGACACATTGGTCATTTGTGTGATATGAACAATGCTCATGCTTTGCTCATGCTCAGACATGATTATGAAGAGGTCTTGTTTTTGTCTTAAGTATTGGCACAAAATGATATGGTCTGAAGCAGATGTTCTATGGAATTGTTTATGCTCACAAGAGAACATCAACATCCATCTGTGGGTGCCAGGCAGCTCACAGCATCGCCAATGCCCAGCAGATAGGACCAGGTCAACTCCTGGCTGCCAGACACACCTCTTCTCTTTCTCAGAGGAACACAAAGTACCCAATGCTCATTCTGTAGCTCAACAGGAAAACACATTCTCAGGTGAGCTGGAAAGAAAGTCGCTCATCTAATAATGACACAATTTTAAAAGACTGGTCAATTCAACTACATCAAAGACAAACAAAACAAAATTTTTTGCATGGCAAGAAAAGACTACCACCACAGTCAGAAAACAAATGAAAGAGTGGGAAAATAGGTTTGCAACTTATATCATAGACAAAGGGGTGCTATCTCTAATATACAAATAGTTCTTACAAATTTAGGGGAAATAGACCAACAATATATTGAAAAAATTAAAAAGATACACAGAGAGATTTCATAGGAAAATAATTGGAAGTTGATCTTAAACATGTGAAAAGTTACGCAACATGGCTCATAAGAAGATAAGTGTAAATTAAACATATTTCTATGCTCTGTTGTTAGGTGCATACACACATGCAGGATTGTCATGTCTTCTTGGAGAATTGACTCCTTTTTCTTAGGTAATGTCCTTCTTTATCTATGGTAACTTTTATTGCTCTTTAAGGCTGCTCTGCCTGAAATTAATAGAGATATGTTGGGGGTATTTTTGATAAGTGTTAGTATGGTATATCTTTCTGCATCCCTTTAATTTATGCAGGTGCATCTTTATATTTAGAATGTGTTTCTTGTAGACTACATATAGTTGAGTCCAACTTTTTAATCTACACTGACAATCTCTTTTATTTTATTTCTGTCTTCCCACCTTTTATTTTAGGTTCAAGGGGTACGTGCGAAGGTTTTTTTTTTTCTCATATGATTTTTTATTATACTTTAAGTTCTAGGGTACCTGTGCACAACGTGCAGGTTTGTTACATATGTATACATGTGCCATGTTGGTGTGCTGCAGCCATTAACTTGTCATTTACATTAGGTATGTCTCCTAATGCTATCCCTCCCCCCTCCCCTCACCCCATTGACAGGCCCTGGTGTGTGATGTTCCCCATCCTGCGTCCAAGTGTTCTCACTGTTCAATTCCCACCTATGAGTGAGAACATGCGGTGTTTGGTTTTCTGTCCTTGCGATAGTTTACTCAGAATGATGGTTTCCAGCTTCATCCATGTCCCTACAAAGGACATGAACTCATCCTTTTTTATGGCTGCATAGTATTCCACAGTGTATATTTGCCACATTTTTTTAATCCAGTCTATCATTAATGGACATTTAGGTTGGTTCCAAGTCTTTGCTATTGTGAATAGTGCCACAATAAACATACGTGTGCATGTGTCTTTATAGCAGCATGATTTATAGTCCTTTGGGTATATACCCAGTAATGGGATCACTGGGTCAAATGGTATTTCTAGTTCTAGATACTTGAGGAATTGCCACACTGTCTTCCACAATGGGTGGACTAGTATACAGTCCCACCAACAGTGTAAAAGTGTTGCTATTTCTCCATATCCTCTCCAGCACCTGTTGTTTCCTGACTTTTTTAATGATTGCCATTCTAACTGGTGTGAGATGGTATCTCATTGTGGTTTTGATTTGCATTTCTCTGATGGCCAGTGATGATGAGCATTTTTTCATGTGTCTGTTGGCTGCATAAATGTCTTCTTTTGAGAAATGTCTGTTCATATCCTTCGCCCACTTTTTTGTGGGGTTGTTTGATTTTTTCTTGTGAAATTGTTTAAATTCTTTGTAGATTCTGGATATTAGCCCTTTGTCAGATGGGTAGATTGTAAAAATTTTCTCCCATTCTACAGGTTGCCTGTTGACTCTGATGGCAGTTTCTTTTGCTATGCAGAAGCTCTCTAGTTTAATTAGATCCCATTTGTCAATTTTGGTTTTTGTTGCCATTGCTTTTGGTGTTTTAGTCATGAAGTCCTTGCCCATGCCTATGTCCTGAATGGTATTGCCTAGGTTTTCTTCTAGGGTTTTTATGGTTTTAGGTCTGACATTTAAATCTTTAATCCATCTTGAATTAATTTTTGTATAAGGTGTAAGGAAGGGATCCAGTTTCAGCTTTCTACATATGGCTAGCCAGTTTTCCCAGCACCATTTATTAAATAGGGAATCCTTTCCCCATTTCTTGTTTTTGTCAGGTTTGTCAAAGATCAGATGGTTTTAGATGTGTGACATTATTTCTGAGGGCTCTGTTCTGTTCCATTGGTCTATATCTCTGTTTTGATACCAGTACTATGGTGTTTTGGTTACTGTAGCCTTGTAGTATAGTTTGAAGTCAGGTAGTGTGACACTTCCAGCTTTGTTCTTTTGGCCTAGGATTGACTTGGCAATGCAGGCTCTTTTTTGGTTCCATATGAACTTTAAAGTAGTTTTTTCCAATCCTGTGAAGAAAGTCATTGGTAGCTTGATGGGGATGGCATTGAATCTATAAATTACCTTGGGTAGTATGGCCATTTTCATGATATTGATTCTTCCTATCCATGAGCATGGAATGTTCTTCCATTTGTTTGTGTCCTTTTTTATTTTGTTGAGCAGTGGTTTGTAGTTCTCCTTGAAGAGGTCCTTCACATCCCTTGTAAGTTGGATTCCTAGGTATTTTATTCTGTTTGAAGCAATTGTGAATGGGAGCTCACTCATGATTTGGCTCTCTGTTTGTCTCTTATTGGTGCATACGAATACTTGTGATTTTTGCACATTGATTTTGTATCCTGAGACTTTGCTGAAGTTGCTTATCAGCTTAAGGAGATTTTGGGCTGAGACGATGGGGTTTTCTAGATATACAATCATGTCATCTGCAAACAGGGACAATTTGACTTCCTCTTTTCCTTATTGAATACTCTTTATTTCTTTCTGTTGCCCGATTGCCTTGGCCAGAACTTCCAACACTATGTTGAATAGGAGTGGTGAGAGAGGGCATCCTTCTCTTGTGCTGGTTTTCAAAGGGAATGCTTCCAGTTTTTGCCCATTTAGTATGATATTGGCTGTGGGTTTGTCATAAATAGCTCTTATTATTTTGAGATACGTTCCATCAATACCTAGTTTATTGAGAGTTTTTAGCATGAAGGGCTGTTGAATTTTGTCAAAAGGCCTCTTCTGCATCTATTGAGATAACCATGTGGTTTTTGTTGTTGGTTCTGTTTATGTGATGGATTACGTTTATTGGTTTGTGTATGTTGAACCAGTCTGGCATCCCAGGGATGAAACCAACTTGATTGTGCTGGATAAACTTTTTGATTCAGTTTGCCTGGAATCAGTTTGCCAGTATTTTATTGAGGATTTTTGCATCGATGTTCATCAGGGATATTTGTCTAAAATTCAATTTTTTTGTCGTGTCTCTGCCAGGCTTTGGTATCAGGATGATGCTGGCCTCATAAAATGAGTTAGGGAGGATTCTCTCTTTTTCTATTGCTTGGAATAGTTTCAGAAGGAATAGTACCAACTCCTCTTTGTACCTCTGGTAGAATTCGGCTGTGAATCCATCTGCTCCTGGACTTTTTTTGGTTTGTAGGCTATTAATTATTGCCTCAATTTCGCAACCTGTTATTGGTCTATTCAGAGATTCAGCTTCTTCCTGGTTTAGTCTTGGGAAGGTGTATGTGTCCAGGAATTTATCCATTTCTTCTAGATTTTCTAGTTTATTTGCATAGAAGTGTTTATAATATTCTCTGATGGTAGTTTGTATTTCTGTGGGATTGGTGGTGATATCCCCTCTATCATTTTTTATTGTGTCTATTTGATTCTTCTCTCTTTTCTTCTTTATTAGTCTTGCTAGTGGTCTATTTTGTCGATCTTCTCAAAAAACCAGCTCCTAGTTTCATTGATTTCTGGAAGGGGTTTTTGTGTCTCTATCTCCTTCAGTTCTGCTCTGATCTTAGTTATTTATTGTCTTCTGCTAGCTTTTGAATGTGTTTGCTCTTGCTTCTCTAGTTATTTTAATTGTGATGTTAGGGTGTCAATTTTAGATCTTTCCTGCTTTCTTTTGTGGGCATTGAGTGCTATAAATTTCCCTCTACACAGTCCTTTAAATGTGTCCCAGAGATTCTGATACATCGTGTCTTTGTTCTTATTGGTTTCAAAGAACATCTTTATTTCTGCCTTCATTTTATTATTTACCCAGTAGTCATTCAGGAGCAGGTTGTTCAGTTTCCATGTAGTTGTGTGGCTTTGAGTGAGCTTCTTAATCCTGAGTTCTAATTTGATTGCACTGTGGTCTGAGAGACAGTTTGTTGTGCTTTCTGTTCTTTTACATTTGCTGAGGTGTATTTTACTTCCAATTATGTGGTCAATTTTAGAATAAGTGTGATGTGGTGCTGAGAAGAATGTATATTCTGTTGATTTGGGGTGGAGAGTTCTGTAGATGGCTATTAGTTCCACTTGGTGCAGAGCTGAGTTCAAGTCCTGGATATCCTTGTTAACCTTCTGTCTCATTGATCTGCCTAATGTTGACAGTGGGGTGTTAAAGTCTCCAATTATTATAGTGTGGGAGTCTAAGTCTCTTTGTAGATCTCTAAGGACTTGCTTTATGAATCTGGGTGCTCCTGTATTAGGTGCCTATGTATTTCGGATAGTTAGCTCTTCTTGTTGAATTGATCCCTTTACCATTATGTAATGGCCTTCTTTGTCTCTTTTGATTTTTGTTGGTTTAAAGTCTGTTTTATCAGAGATTAGGATTGCAACCCCTGCTTTTTTTCCCTTTCCATTTGCTTGGTAGATCTTCCTCCATCCCTTTATTTTGAGCCTATGTGTGTCTGTGCACGTGCGATGGGTCTCCTGAATACAGCACAATGATGGGTCTTGACTCTTTATCCAATTTGCCAGTCTGTGTCTTTTAATTGGAGCATTTAGCCCATTTACATTTAAGGTTAATATTGTTATGTGTGAATTTGATCCTGTCATTATGATGTTAGCTGGCTATTTTGCCTGTTAATTGATGCAGTTTCTTCATAGCATCAATGGTCTTTATAATTTGGCATGTTTTTGCAGTGGCTGGTACTGGTTGTTCCCTTCCATGTTTAGTGCTTCCTTCAGGAGCTCTTGTAAGGCAGGCTTGGTGGTGACAAAATCTCTCAGCATTTGCTTGTCTGTAAAGGATTTTATTTCTCCTTCACTTATGAACCTTAGTTTGGCTGGATATGAAATTCTGGCTTGAAAGTTCTTTGAAGAATGTTGAATATTGGCCCCTATTCTCTTCTGGCTTGTAGAGTTTCTGCTGAGAGATCCGCTGTTAGTCTGATGGGCTTCCCTTTGTGGGTAACCCGACCTTTCCCTCTGGCTGCCCTTAATATTTTTTCCTCATTTCAACCTTGGTGAATCTGACAATTATGTGTCTTGGGGTTGTTCTTCCCAAGGAGTGTCTTTGTGGTGTTCTTTGTGTTTCCTGAATTTGAATGTTGGCCTGCCTTGCTAGGTTGGGGAAGTTCTCCTGGATAATATCCTGAAGAGTGTTTTCCAACTTGGTTCCGTTCTCCCCATCACTTTCAGGTACACCAATCAAATGTAGATTTGGTCTTTTCACTAGTCCCATATTTCTTGGAGGCTTTGTTCATTTCTTTTTAGTCTTTTTTCTCTAGACTCTTCTCACTTCATTTCATTCAACTCATCTTCAATCACTGATACCCTTTCTTCCACTTGATCGAATTGGCTACTGAAGCTTGTGCATGTGTCATGAAGTTCTCATGCCCTGCTTTTCAGCTCCATCAGGTCATTTAAGGTCTTCTCTACACTGTTTATTCTAGTTAGCCATTTGTCTAATCAAGGTTAGATTAAGACAAACCTTAAAAATCTTTTCAAGGTTTTTAGCTTCTTTGCAATGGGTTAGAATATTCTTCAGCTCAGAGAAGTTTGTTACTACCTACCTTCTGAAGCCTACTTCTGTCAACTCATTAAAGTCATTCTCTGTCCAGTTTTGTTCCGTTGCTGGTGAGCAGCTGCGATCCTTTGGAGAAGAGGCGCTCTGATTTTTGGAATTTTCAGCTTTCCTGCTCTGGTTTCTCTCCATGTTTGTTGTTTTATCTACCTTTGGTCTTTGATGTTGGTGACCTACAGATGGGGTTTTGGTGTGGATGTCCTTTTTGTTGATGTTGATGCTATTCTTTTCTGTTTGTTAGTTTTCCTTCTAACAGTCAGGACCCTCAGCTGCAGGTCTTTTGGAGTTTGCTGGAGGTCCACTCCAGACCTGTTTGCCTGGGTATCACAAGGGGAGGCTGCAGAACAGCAAATATTGCTGCCTGATCCTTCCTCTGGAAGCATCATCCCAGAGCGGCACCTGCCTGTGTGAGGTGTCTGTTGGCTCCTACTGGGAGGTGTCTCCCAGTCAGGCTACACAGGGATCAGGGACCCACTTGAGGAGGTAGTCTGTCTGTTCTCAGAGCTCGAACGCCATGCTGGGAGAACCACTGCTCTCTTCAGAGCTGTCAGACAGGGACGTTTTAAGTCTGCAGAAGTTGTCTGATGCCTTTTGTTCAGCTATGCCCTGCCCACAGAGGTTGAGTCTATAAAGGTAGTAGGCCTTGCTGAGCTGCAGTGGGCTCCACCCAGTTCAAGCTTCCTGGCAGCTTTGTTTACCTACTCAAGCCTCGGCAATGGCAGACGCCCCTCCACCACCTCCCACAAGGCTGCCACCTCGCAGGTCGATCTCAGACTGCCGCGCTAGCAGAGAGCAAAGGACCATGGGCATGGGACTCACTGAGCCAGGCACGGGAGGGAATTTTCTGGTCTGCTGGTTGCTAAGACCATGGGAAAAGTGCAGTATTTGGGCAGAAGTGTACCGTTTTTCCAGGTACAGTCTGTCACGGCTTCCCTTGGCTAGGAAAGGGAAATCCCCTGACCTCTTGCACTTCCCAGGTGAGGCAATGCCCCGCCCTGCTTCGGCTCACCCTCCATGGGCTGCACCCACTGTCCAACAAGTCCCAGTGAGATGAACCAGGAACCTCAGTTGGAAATGCAGAAATCACCCATCTTCTGTGTCAATCTCACTGGAAGCTGCAGAACGGAGCTGTTCCTACTTGGCCATCTTGGAAGTGACTAATTGATTCTTTAATCCATAATCTGAGCATCCACCTTATATGGGATTGCTTTTCATGATGACCACCATGAATGGCCAGATTATAACATGTTAGAAAACAAAACACACAGGGGAACTTACCAAAAGGAGTAAAAGATTTCTTAGACAAAATTTCAAAGCAGAAACCATAAGGCAGAAAAAGTGGAGGGGATTTCATGATGTTACAATCAAATAGATCTGTTGCAAGTGACACATGGCAAAATGAGAGAAGTTATGTGCAGTCTAAAACTGACAAGAGATTAGCAGCCTCAATATACGAGGAACTCCTGAAAATTAACAAGAAAAATAAATAGACAAAGGACACGAGCAGGCAGTTTTTGGGAGAGGAAACCCCAAAAGCCAGGAAGCATATGAGGAAGTGGCTAAGATCATTAGTACAGAAATACACATTCTAACAATAAGATATATGAGGAAATAGTTCTCCAAAAAAGATACACAGATGGTCAATGAGCACAAAAAAAGGTGCTGAGAATCACCCAGAATAAGGGAAATGCAGATGAAAACTACAGTGAGATAGCACTTCATACCCACTAGAATAGCTACTGTCAAGAAAACCCGAAAATACCGAGTGTTGGTGAGGAGTGAGACATTAGACCCTTGTGCACTACCGGTGGGTATGTAAAATGGTGCCGCCACTGTGGACAACAACATGGCCATTCCTAAAAAAAAATTCAAATAGAATTACCGTATGACCAAGAATTTCCACTTCTGGACGTATTCCCAAAAGGATTGAAAGCAGGATGTTAAAGAGATATTGTATATCCAAGTTCATAGCAGCAGCATTCATAGGAACCAAAAAGTGGAAGCAAGTGTCCATTGATAGACGAATGCATGAACAAAATGTGGTCTATACATGCAATAAAATATGATTCAGCCTTAGAAAGGGAGAGAATCCTGTGACAGGCTACATCGTGGATGAACCTTGAGGGCATTATGCTAAGTGGAATAGCCAGTCACAAAAAGACAGTATTCCACTTACATGTGATACCTAGAATAATCAAATTCATAGAAACAGAAAATAGAATGATTGCCAAGGGCTGGGGCAAAAACGGAATGGGAAGTTAGTATCTAATTGGACACAGTGTTTCAGTTTCACAAAAGTAGAGTTCTTGAGATGGATGGTGGTAATGGTTGCACAACAATGTGAAAGTATTTGATACCACTAAAGTGTACAATTAACAGTGGTTAAGATGGGAAACTTTATGTTCTGTGTGCTTTACTACAATTTGAACTAGATACAACCTTATACATACATGGTAGGCAAAATTCTCAGCTGAACTCCAATAGGCAAGCACTTCTGTAATCCTCTCCTGGTAAATGTGCTTCTAATTAATAGATTCTAACAAAGGTGATGATGTGCCATATGGAAAAGGGGAAAAGAATTTGCCAATGTAATTAAAGTCCCTGATCAGTTGACTTTATGTTAATGAAAAAGGACATCATCCAGGGTGCATCTAATCAGGTGAGCCCTTTAAAAAAGGATGTAAAGGTATGAGACTATCTCTCCTGCTGACATTGAAGAAGCAAGTCTCCTTGAGTTCTACAACCACTCGGAGATGAATACTGCCAGCCACCTGAGGCAGCCTGGAATCAGATCTTTCTCCAGTGGAGCCTCTGATGAGAATGCAGCCTGGCCAACACCGGGTTACAGTCTGAGCAGAGCACCCAGCTAAGCCGAGCCCAGAATCCTGGCCCACAGAAAATGGGAGATGAAAAATAAATGGTGTTTTAAGCCACACGATTTGTGTTAACTTGTTCTGCAGCTGTAGAAAACTAATGCAATCTTTTAGGCAAAACTAATCTAGGAAGAGACAAGTATTGGAGCTGGGCACAGTGGCAGATGCCTGTCATCCCAGCTACTCAGGAGGCTGAGGTGAGAGGATCCCATGAGCCCAGGAGTTTGGGGCTGCAGTGAGCTATGATCGCACCTCTAAGTAGCCAGGGCAACAAGTGAGACCCTGCCTCAAAAAGAAAAAAAAAAGAAGTCTTCATGTTGGGTGGGGAAGTGGGGAAGTTGATGAGGGCACTGCTTGTGGAGTGTAGACCAGAGCCACCATTGTGGAGGGATTTTGATCAATAGTATGCATCCCTTACACCCCTGCTATTCCATTTCCAGGTAGAGATGTAAAAGAAATTGACACATTCGTCAAACATGCACACCAAGATGTTCACTGCAGAGTTCTTTGTGGTAGTGTGGGGATGGGGGCTGCGGGAGGCACCCTAGGGTTTCTATCCTGGGGAGAACGGAGAGACAAAATGGGAATGGTCCACACCATGGAGAATTATGCAGCCACAAGGAGAGATGAAAGGCACACATAGCAACATGGATGGGCCTGAACACAGGACTGAGTTTAAAAAGGAAGAAGCAACATGGGAACCCAAACATTACCATTTGCAGACATTAAAAAACACATAAAGACTGTATCTCTTTTGAAAGAGCATTTTTAAAGCAGCACAGGAGGTGGGGGAATCTATGGGGAGCATGTTGCCCATGCAGGGGAAGGGAATGGGAGTGAGTGTGGAGACAAAAGAATAAATAAAACAAAAGTGGTTTTATTGGACCAACAATAATTCACTGAGTAGTTTAGCGCAACTTGAGGGTAAAATTAATGGCACCTGGATCTGGGGCAGCTGCAGAGGCAGCGACGTCCAGGCCTTTGTGCAGGGGGGCTGAGGTCACCCGTGCAGGTGGGGAAACAGTAAATGCCAATGAAGCAGGTGTGTGTGGTATAGAGCGAGCAAGAAAGGAGAGATTACTTTGGCCTAAGAGGGATATCTGCATTTATATTACTAATGAGTTTCCACTGTAAGCCACAGAAAGCCCGGCTCAAAGCGATTTTTTTTTCTTTACAAACAGAATTTATTGACTCAAGTGACTAAAATGTCCAGGCTGACTCCCTTGGGTGGGAAAGATGGTTGCCAGCAGGGCCAGGCGTATTCTCTCCAGCTAGGAAACCAGAATTGTGGACCTCCCTTTCTCAGAGGTTTCCACAAAAGCCCCAAGGCTGGTCCCCTTTGGTCAGAAAGAGTGACACGCCTGAACAAATCCCCAGGGCCAGGCCCGGGTCACATCGCCACCTGCAGACAGCAAGGGCTTCCAGCATAGGCATGGCATGAGCACAAGCTCGTGGAGGGACGTCTTTGGGAACAAAGCTGGAAAAGTAGGAGGTGAGGTTCCATGGCTGCCAGCTCAGGCGTGACCTTCGCTGCCACTTACTCAACTTGGAGGCTGTTGGTGGATGGAGGAGAGCCCTGGAGCATTTCCTCCCGGAAAGGAAATGCCTCCAGAAGTGCCTCCCTCTAGGTCCTTCTCACTGCCAAAAAGTCCCTTTCCCAGAGAGGAAGGAGGCTCAAGGGCTCAGAGCGTTCTCAACACAAATGACTGTGGGGAGAGCCCTCGTGGGGGCCTGGGTCATTGCAAGAGGGAGCTCATGTGGATGCAAATCTATATAATCGGTTGCCAAAAAAGTACTGAGCCGGCCTGTTTTCATCCTGTACCAGGCGGCCTGCAGAGGACAGAATGTCCACGCTGTCTCTACAGAAATCCTTTCCGGCCAAGCCCCAGGGCCTGGGGGTTCTCCAGCACTTAACCACCAGCTTTCCTGCCCTGCCCGCACAGGAGCAGCCAGTGGGTGGCTGCCATTATTGTCTCCAGGGGCACTGGGGGCGATGCTGGGCTGGGTAGGGCTGTGTGGGGCTGAGGGCAGTGTGGGTTCTGAGGGTCAGGAAATGACCTTCCTTTATGCACTACCACAACACCTCCCACAAACCACTCCTCCTGCTGCCTGGGGTTTTGAACACAGTCCTGGCCTCTTTATGGCAGTGGCAGGCAGTGTGGTTTTGGAATGGCCAGCCTGCCACAGGAGGCAGAGCTCCCACTGTGCCAGGAGGCAGAGCTCCCACTGTGCCGGCAAACAATAAGCACTGTTGTTTTTCCCCAGAGTGGGGCTGCCCGGTACTGGTCTGTGCCTGTCTCTCTGGAGCAGGAAATCGAGCAGAGGGAAATGTGTGGATTGGTTAGAGTGCTGTCAGCTGCAAGGAACAGAAAACCCAACTCAAAGGGGCTTAAACAATCAAGATGTGTCTCCTGTGCCAAGCAGTGCAGAGGTAGGACAGCTCAGGGCTGGTTAGATCAGGGCCGCAGGAAGCCAACAGGGACCCAGGTTTATTCCACATTCCATGCTGCCCTCCTCTTCAGTGGGCCAGTCTGTTTTCAGGCCAGCTTCCCTCATAATCACAAGACAGCTGCCACAGTTCCAGGCATCACCTCCAGATATGACAACACCCAGCAAAAGAGACTCTCTTCTCCTGGATCCATCTTTTAAAGAGTAAGGGAACTTTTCCCAGAATTTCACCCAGCAGCTCTTCCATCATGTCTCACTGGCCAGAATTGCATCACAGACCTATCCTTAGCCAGTATTTGACAGAGGAAACAGGAAAGCCATGACTGGCTTGAAGGGCATGGACTACCCCAATAGCACAGGGTTTGGATGCTCCTGCAGATGCTCCAACAGCCTTCACCACACCAGGAGACAGAAGTTCTTCCCAGTTGGAGATCAGCTTTATTCACCATTGAGGATGTGATGTTTGGAGCTGTAGGGGCCATCTTGCAGCAATGGGGGGAAATTCAAGAACATCTCAGACTTGCTAATGCCATGCTTTGCCTTTACTGGGCCGTGAGACAATCCTGGGACCACATAGGTTTGTTATGTGAGTAAAATGAACTCCTGTTCAATGAGGCCTCCATTAGTTGAGTTTTCTTTACTTGCAGCCCAACTGACACAGAGTTCAGTTGTTCTGGGCAGTGGAGGGACAGGAAAGGCTCCAATGGCAGCCATTCTCCTTTGGGTTCCCATCCTCTGTGATGAGAAATCCTCGTAAAAATCACCCACCAGGACACTGAGATGGCCAAGTTTCTGCTGACCTTCCATGTGTCCTTGCAAACTTCAGAGGAAACTGGACCCTGGGCAAAATGATGAAATTAGAGAGTCCCTGAGCCCTTCTTCTCACCAGAAAACTCCACCCATGACCCAAATTCCCAGAGAACATAGGAAATTATCAGTTATAATTGCAAATAATAAAGACTTAGAAACCTGACAAGAGGGTCTTAAGCAAACACGGTTTGGGGTTTTTCTATTCCTTGAGTAATGAGAAGCCCAAAGGTCAGGATCCATGATGGTCCCACTGCTGGGGCTGTGGTGAGGCTATAGGGGACCAGGGTCCTTCCAGCTCCCTGTGTTGACATCCTCACCAGGTGCCTTCATCCTCAGGGTCACAAATACCTGCTGCTACACCTTCAGGCAGAACTTTGTGCCCCAGGGAGGAATATAGGGAAGGGGAAAGGTACAGTGAAGAGCCACCAGGCCCAACAGGAAAGCAGTAGCTGTCCTGGAAGCCCCACTCTGAAGATGCCTGTCATGGGCTGTACTGTGTTGTGTAACCACCTTTGGCTTTGAGGGAGAGGAAGGGGAGAATGGCTGTGGACTAGGTAGCTAGCTGCGTCGGCCACCAGGTGTGGAGTCCGGAAACCTGGGACTCAACCCAACACTGCTTCCTGCTGCCTTCAGTAACCCCAGGCAGCCCAGGTCATTGCTGCAGCCTCAGCAGCCTCTCCTGCCTGGCAGAAAGTGGGGGAAGAGAACTGCCTCCATGAGGGTTCCTGAAGGCTGGGTGTTCACTTGGCCTTCTCCCCATCTGGGGCAATGGGTCCTAGGGCAAGCATGGAATGGGAAGTGTGGCTTATTCAAGGCTCTTCTGATGTCAAGTGATAGAAATTGATTCAACTCATCTATAGGGAAAAAGGGCGGGTGATAATTAATTTATTTCAGACCCAATGGGCAAGAGGAGCAGTCAGACCTCAGGAAGGAACTGACCTCAAGCTAGCAAGCCCTTGGAGACAGAGGCAGCCACTCCTCCTTGCTCCCCGGCCCCAGGGTTGCCTGCCTCTGCTGTTCTCCCCTCACCCACTATACCTTCTTTCCCTCTGGATGGAAAGGGGTTTCTCAGCCTCACAGCTTCTGCATTCCCATGAACAATGGGCTGCCAGTCTCTCTGAATTCGTATTTCACATTCCTAGGAGAGACTGTCTGATGATCCAGCTCACCCTGATGTCTGTCTCTTGGCCAGTCAATCCAGCCATAGAGTTAGAGCAGTTCCCAGAAAAGAGGGGCTGGATGAGGCTGACCAGCACACTGCAAAATTGACTTCAGGGGAGGAAGAGAAGCAGAGGCAGGAGGGTCCTCTTGGAGATCTGGGGGAAAGAGAGACAGGGCATTCCTTTAGGACCTGTGCCTCAAAGACCAGTGGGAAGAGACAGCTGGGTGAGGACAGGCTTCAGGTACTCTCATGTGTCCAGATCAAATACGGCTTTAACCCCTCTCTAAGTCATCGCAAATCTTTATTTTGCAAATAGCAGAAAATGCCATTCAAATGGCTTGGCTGAAAAAGAGAATGTGTGGACCCACCTAACTGAAAAGTCAGAGCCAGGAGGGACTCAGCCATGGTTCGATCCAGAGGTTCAACATTTACTTGCAATATTTTCTCTGCAAGTTTCATTTTGTTTCTGTTTCCAGTTCTCTACAAGTCATTCATCTCTATTTCTTTGCGAGACAGTTTCATTTGAGGCTGGCTTTCCCCCTGTGGCACAAGTGGCTGCTTTATGTCAGCATTTCAGTGAAGTCCTTAGATGGGCTCTGAGTGGCCCAGCTTTTGTCACATGCCCCCTCCTGAACAAATCAACTCCTGTTGGGAAGGAAGGTAGTTTGCCGATTGGCTTGGTCAAGTCACAGTCTCCCTTCTTCTCAGCCCCTTCAAGAAGGAAATCGGCTTCTTTGGGCTCACACCATCCCCCAGCAGATCTCTGGACTATGATCAAGAACAGGGAGAAAATGAAGCAAGTGTTCCCACACTAGTCATTTCCAAGAGCTGGCCAGTTAGCACAGAACAAGAAAACACACGCACGGGGCACTGGCATGTGGGCAGCTGAAGAAGGGCCCTGAAGATGTACAAGTCCTAATTTCTGGAGCCCATGAATATGTTAGGTTACATGGCAAGGAGAAGTTAAGGGCCCAAATGGGATTACGGTCACTAATCAGCTGACCTCGATGTCAGGAGATTATCCTGAATTATTCAGGTGGGATGTGCAAGAGGGAGGTAGGCGAGTCCGCGTGAGGGTGCGCAGTGTGAGAAAGCCTCACAACAATTGCTGGCTTTGGAAATGGAAGGGGGCTGTGAGCCAGGGCATGTGGGCAGCTCAGAGAAGCACAGAAAGAGATTCTTCTCCACAGTCTCCAGAAAGGAACGCAGCCCCGATGACGCCTTGGCTGTAGCCCAGTGACACCCAGGTCAGAGTCTGACCTCCAGAACTGCAAAATAATAGATGTGTGTTGTTCTGAGCCACTGAGCTGGTGGTAATTTGTTACAGCAGCAGTGAGAAACAAAAACACGGCATTCCAAGGGCAGTACTCTGCATGGCAGGAGTGACAGAGTGGTGCCCAGTGCAACGGTGTGTGACAGAAATACAACATGCACTGCAATGGGGATCTTAAGTTTTCTAGTGGCCACATTAAGAAAGAAAAAGAGGCCGGGTGTGGTGGCTCATGCCTGTAATACCAGCAGTTTGAGAGGCTGAGTGGGTGGATGGCTTGAGGTTGGGAGTTCGAGACCAGCCTGGCCAACACGGTGAAACCCTGTCTCCACTAAAAATACAAAAATTAGCCAGGAGTTATGGTGGGTGCCTGTAATCCCAGCTGCTCAGGAGGCGAGGCAGGAGAACACTTGAATCTGGGAGGCAGAGTTTGCAGTGAGCCAAGATCGCACCACTGCACGCCAGCCTAGGCAACAGAGCGAGACTCCATGTAAAAAAAAAAAAAAGAAAAGAAAGAAAAAAAACAGGTAAAATTAATTTCAATAATATATTTTAACCCAATATATTCAAAATACTATCATTGCAATGTGTCATCAATATACAAAATATTGAGAAGGTGTTTCCCATTCTTTTTAATCCCCAGTTTTAGAATTCAGTGTATATTTTACACACAGCACATCTCAACATTTCTGAGCTCCTTTTCAGTGCTCATCAGGCACACATGGTTAGTGGCTGCTGCCCTGGACAGCACAGGCCTAGTGACTGTACTTTTGGTTGTAAGGGTGGCAGTGGCTGGCATGAACCAGAACAGGGGTTTGTTTGTGACAGTGACAAGGAGACCGCTAACCCCTGCTGATCTGTGTGTCCAGTTTTATTTCTCTTTTTTCTAATTTTTTTATTTCCATACATACCCTGCTTGTATATCAAGCTCTTTTCTAATCAGGGATCCTCAAATGACAGGAGTTGACCTCTGATTGTGTTTGTGCATTTCAAAGCCCAGAGCTGTGACCTCAGCCACGGTGGGCAGGATGGGTGCTGGAGAAGGGCATTAAGGCTCCCAGCTTTGTGGGGGAAATGGCATCTTCTTGAGTGAGTGGGGAAGTGCAAATAGAATATGCACAAGCTAGGAAGGACGTTTTTAAAGCCTGTGCTTCGAACATTCTTCCTCTAAAGGATCAGGTGAGCTGGCTCAGAGCAGGGAGCCAACCGCTGAGCCAGGGTGAGAGGGCTTTGTATTTGGAGAGTGAAAAGAATACGGTTGTTTAGGCTTTGGACTCAGAGCATCAGAAACTCAGGAGAAATGAGATCAGCTGAAAAAGAAATGGGTTTGATGTTGTAGACCAAACATGAACAGTGGGGAACAGGCTGAAAAATGAGGGGAGAACAGTCAGCAGCTTCCACGGCTTCTCCCAAATGGAGGGAAGTGGGGCCAGCTCAGGGGACAGGCTGGAGGCTTATGACGGAAAGATGGTGGGGTCCAGGTGTGGCAGGACAGGAGGCAAAGCTGGGGGCTGCTATGGGACAGAGGGGGCAGAGGGAAAGTTGTGCTGCTAATGGGGTCACAAGAGTCACTTATGGCCTGGGGCCTTCAAGAACCAAGGGAAGCCCTCCCAGAGCCCAGCACCACCACAAGCAATGCTCACGGCTCCAGCCAGCAAGACTTGGGGTAGCAGCCCCCAGCCTCTCTCCCCATATTGGGGACAAAAGAGAACTGGAGAAGCCAGAGAGAGGGAGCTGGCCAAGCCTTTCCGGAGGGCACAGCCCAGGCCTCCACCATCCTCTCCCCATGTGTGCTCAACCCTTAAACACTTTGCTAAGCATTACAGGTCAGGCCCCTCCCCTGTGTGTTCAACCCTTTAACACTTTGCTAAGCATTACAGGAGTTCTTCTGCTAGAAGTGGCCAATCAAATGTCCCTGGGCTTGGCTCTTGGTCCATGGCAACATTCCTTGCTTTTGGAGAGGGTGTGGGGTCCAGGAGCTAAGTGTACCCTTCAGCCAAGTCATATATCCTCTCACTCAACCTCACAATAATCATTCCAGGTGGTATCATTCTTACCCATTTTACAAAGGTGAGGTTGACCCTGTGTAATAGTCAGGGTAGGCTTGGTTACGCTGCTGTAACACACAGCTCTAAACATCTCATAACTTAACACAGTAGTTTACCTCTCACTCCCACTCATGGGGGCTGGCGAGGGAATCTGCTCCATGCAGGTCGCTCAGGGATTCAGGCTGATTGAGGCTCTGCTGTCTGGAACAGTGGCCTCTGCCAACTCCCTGGCAGGGGAAGACACAGATGGAGGTGCGTACTGGCTTCTTTAGAATTTGGCATGATCCTGCCTAACTAGAAAGGTGCTGAGTAGTCTGAGGAACATCTGGGCTGTCTGAGGATCCCCTAGTCCCCTAGATTGGGAAGTGGGAGCGAGGCTTAACTGAAGCGTGTCTAATGTCAAAGTCCTTGCTGTCAGCCCCGCCTTATGCAGCTTCCCCCCTAAACCACTGTGAAAACGTGTGAGCTGTGTGGTAATGTGCCAATTCCAGGGGTGTCAACACCATGACCCCCAGATATTCTCATACACTGCCTCCTTAGCCCATCCCAGGCAAAGAGGGCTCTGCAAACCAGGGACCCTGCGAGGCCAGGGGACAGTGGGATTATACTGCCCCATCCCCTCTGGCCTGCCTCCCGCCCTTCCAGCCTGCTCACTGTGTCCCTGCTGAGTCCCATGACTCTCAGCTGCCCTCAGGATCCTGCCTCTGAAGAGTCCTTTCCTTCCTGTGGAATCTGGAGCCTGGTCCTCCTTCTCCAAGGCAGCACCTGCCAGGTTCCTCACTGGCAGCAAGCAGCCTTGCTAACAGCCTTGCTAATCCATTAATTACCTGCTTCTAGCAGAAGAGCTGTTAATTGAAAACTCCACCCCCTCCTTTAATTGCCTGCCTGCCTCTGGCTGTCTAGGCTTCCCTGGGTTCCCTCCAGGCCCGCAGCCCTTGGTTCTCTGCCTTTGGGCTCCTGACTTCTTCCTGGTCAATAAGGGTGTCTGTGGCTGTCTCTGCAGTGCTCATTACTGGGGTTGCCAGGTGAGAATCCGGGGCTACACTCCCTAGCCTGCAGCTAACAGCCTCTCTCCTGCCTGGCCCACTGTGGGAGGAAGGAAAGCATTTAATGCAATTTGCCCCAGAAATTAAGGGGGAGATAACAGGCCAGTGGGAGGATTCCACAGGGTAGCAGATTTTACTGAAACCAAAGGCTGAACTCCTCCAGGTCAGAGCTAGCCAGAGGGGCCAGCCACCCAGAGGGGCTGCACCACTTCCTGGAAGGGTCCACCCTGACTCTAAGTCTCAGCCCTGCCCGGAGGATTTTCTGACCTCAGTCCTTTGAGTCTGGACACACGAGGGCTCAAGGTGGCCCCGACCTTAATCACCACTTCCCTCCCAGATACATCACCAGATTCTCCAGGCACAGTTAGAATTTGGCAATATTGACAATCTGAAGAGTGAAAAAGAAGTGAATTTCAGAAAAATGAGGTCAATATCCCATTTTCCAATATAACTGTATGAATATTGTATACATATATGTTGATAAACACCTTTTTTAAAAGGTCTGATACAAACCCCACCAAACTCTTACTAAGAGTGGCTACTTCTGGAGAGTGGGAGAGGAGAGGGAGAGGGAGGACTCACAGTGGATCTTCACTGTTTGGATTATTTCACTAGAAAGGGAGCAGGCGAGCATTAGTCCTCAAAGGCCCTATGATCTTGAACAAGGCGCCTGGCCACTCTGAGCCTCAGTGCCTCATCTGTAAGAGGGAGGCTTCTCCCATGTCCCCTTTTACTCTGGATTAGGACGCGTGGTTGAGTGCAACCTAAACCAACCCAAGCTTGTCTAAGAAAAGGGGAAGAGTTTCCCGGGACACAAGGATTTTTATGCATCCAGACCTTAGGCAGCGGAGAGAATCCTGGGGAGGGCTCTGCACGTCTCCTTACTGTGTGCCTGCTTCCTGTAAGGTCCTCTGAATGGGCTGCACCATGGTCAAGCCATTGTGACCCCTGTGACCCACACGTACAGGCCTCCTGGAGTCACAAAGCCTGGAGCACTAGGAGAACCACTAAAGAAGAAGAAACAGCTAGTTCCTGCCTTAACTGATGAACTGACCTTGCAGCATTGCACCATTGTGATATGTTCCTGCCCCAACTAATCCATCCACCTTGTGATGTTGTGCCTTGTGACCTCCCCCACCTCGTGACTATGCACCTTGTGACATTCTTCCCCTGCCCGAAAAAACTGCCCCTAACTGTAACTTTCCACTACCTACTCCAAGCCTATAAAACTAACTCCACTCCCACAACCCTCCACTGACTTTCTTTTCGGACTCAGCCCACTTGCATCTGAGTGGATAAACAGCCTGTTGCTCACACTTAGCCTGTTCAGGGCATCTCAAAACACAGCAGCCAGGTTTACACCTTATGGGCCCAGCCCTCTAGAGAGTTGCAGGTCCTATTTCTAAAGTCCTGGGCAGGGATCTTACTGACTAGCTTGGTGACTGCATCGAGGCTGATAGGCTGGGTTATGTAGGTAACAAGTAGCCCACTGTTTCAATGGATGAAAATAGCGAAGTTTATTTCTGACATATGCAGTATGACCACTGAGTCAGCAGGAGGGCTCTGGGCATCACAGTCACTGGGTGACCCAGTCTGACAGAGTTTCATCTCAACAGGTGTGTCCAGGATCTCAGAGACAGGAATAGAGAACATGCTGGCCCACACAAGGGCTCCTAAGGCTTCTGTCTGAAAGTGACATTCCACCCACTTCCACCCACATTTTGTTGGTAAGAGCAACTCACATGGCCATGCTTGAATTGAAGTGGATGGAGAAGTCAACTCCTACCATGGGCCTGGCATAAAGGAGACTTGAACATCTGTGAACAGCCCGGATGACTACCATAATGACACCTCACCAAGAGCCCCTGCCCACTCCATTTCACCTGGCCCATCGCTGCAGGACTTCCCACTGTGCAGGTGAATGCTGCCAGGGAAGGAGGGAGAGAGTCCATGGAGGGTTCAGTTTCTAGCTGTTGCTATCTGGCTCCTTTTCTGTGGCAATAAATAGGTAAACATTGTCATGGCAGAGATGTAGAAGTCCCGCAGGAGGCGCCCTGTGAATCCCAGAGAGTTGCCGAGCCCAGCCTCTGGGCCTCAGAGTCACAGGAGGGAAGATGTCTTCCCAGCTCAACCCTTCCCCTCCTCCAGCAGGAAAGTTGCACTTTTGAGAGTGAAGGCCGGGTGGGGGTGAGGTGGGAGTGTGGCACCTTTGGCATTTTCTGCCTGAACAAAACTGCGGCCCCTGTCTGCCTTGGTGGCTGTCCCTGGCTTTGCTTTCAGAGACATCACCTCTCTGTGGTCATTTTGGAGGAAGATGTGCCTCGGGATCTGGGTTTCGAGCTCTGGCTCTGTCGCTAACGGGCTGGCTCTGTGACCTAGGCAGGTCAATGAACCCCTCCAGAGCCTCCGTTTCCTCATCTGTAAACTGGGTTATCATAATGTCTGCCTCCCTAGCGAGCTCTCTGGATTCTCGTGAGGACCGGCTGTTATGGGGGGCATCACGGCTCTTTGTCCAGGTGACACGTGGGAAATATGAGGGCTTATCTTTGTGCTGCTGTGGCCTTCTTGGGATTCTCCCTGAGGACTGGCCCTGCCCTGCCTTGCTCTTGCCCCTGGGAACGGCCCACCCTGTCTCCTGCCTCCCCACCCAGACGGGAAGCAGTCACTCTGCCAGCTCTCAAGGACTCATCTCTGAGGTTTTAGACAGAATAATTTCCTCTCCCTCTCACGCCTGCCTGTCCGGGAAAATCACACAACCCACGCAGGACCCCCCCTACGTGCACCCACATGCCCCACAGCCATTGTCTCCTGCACCAGCCAGCAGAAAAGCAGAGTGGGGCATGGGAGGAGGATGCGGAGGCTGCAGGAAGGGGGGGTGACACCCCCAACCCTGAGGGTCTCCTGGTGTCAGGCCAAGAGCTGACATGGACATGGGGAGACAGGAGCCAGGCTCCTTCCAGATCCTCCCACAACCTGGGTTTCAGCCACCCTCAGCCACCCTGCCAAGGCCGCAGGTGCTGCACAAGGCCACAGGCAAATGTCCGGCTGAGGACTGAGGTAGGGGCTGGATCCCACAGCCCATTGGTAACAGAGACTGGATGAGAACGCCCGAGTCCAGTGCTCTTTCTGCACTGCTTCCCAGAACTTCCTGCCACTAGGGACCTGCAGCCAGAAAGGACAGGGCAGGAGGTACAGAGAGAGCAGAGAGAGCCTGCTCCAAGGGAGAGCCTCGGGACACAGGGAGTCTCATTCCTCCCTCCCAGCACGGGCTACGCCCATGCCACTCAGGCCTGAGCCACAGGGCACTGCCTAGCCCTGCTTGGGCCGGGGCTCACCAGCCCTTACAGACAGCAGGCCCCGCCTCCAAGACACTACCCCATGGCAGGGGAAAGCCTTGGGGTCCCCATAAAATGCAGGCATCGCCAGACAGAGAATAGGTCTTCCCAGGATGGGAAGATTTACTTAGGGAGGGGCCACCCTGGATACCCTGCCCTCCAGTAGCAGCCAGGTTCCGGAAGATCCCATGAGGGGCCAGTGTGGACCCCTCCCCTTCAACCATCCAGGCCTGCAGGTCTGGGGCTAATGGTGGGGAAAGGGGGCTCCAGCAGCTGAGGCGGGGCAGAGCCAGTGGATGGAGGCAGAAGGCGGGCAAATCTCAGGCACATTTTCTGCAGTGATAAAGACCTTTTGCTCAGCAGCTAGCTTCCACGGCACTTCTCCCCCACATGACACCACATCAGGGCCCACAGGAGAAAGTCCGGAGTAGGCTGAGGCACTGGGTCCCCTCCCTTCTCCCAAACACACCTGCCTACAGGGGGCACTGCCCCCTCTCAGAGACTGGGGGTGGAAGCTTAGCTGCAGGGGGTGGGATGGCTCCAGGACAGGAGAGCCATCCAAGAGAAGGCCAGGGCTCTGGGAGAAGAGGGGGTCCTACTGCCCTCCCGGAACAGGGCTCCTGGCTCCGTGAAGCCATCTCCACAACTCCCACAGCTGCCTCCTCTTCCCCTCCTCAAACTCCCACAGCCACCTCCAGCTCCCGCACCGTGAGGTCTGCTCCACGACCGCAGGAGCCAGACAGAGGCCGGGGTAGCCTCAGGCAGACAGACACTTTTGTGGGTGTTCACCCAGAGCTAGACCTCAGGGAAAACAGGGGTGGCCTGGGGGCTGAGAATTCGGCAGTCCCAGCACATCCAGGACCATAAATACACCATGCCCTTTGACCCGCTAACCCCACTGTTTGGAATTCCTCCCAAAAACATAATTGCAAAGGGAAAAATAGCTATATGTGCACAGCTGTTTATAGCAACACTATTTATCATAGTAAACAAGTCAAGTCAGCCAAAATACTTTGCAAGTTGTGGGAGGGGGAACTGTGGGTCAATAAGGTGGGATATTTATTATACGTACAAGAAAAATGGTAAACTTGTAAAATTACTCATACAATAATGTTAACAGCAGTGAGAAGACAAACTTGCACATATCTGTTCAGGCAGCAGACAATGACTGAGCACCCCGTCTGGGCTACACAGCTGCTCCAGGTGCCAGAGAGATCCCCATGAACAGGACCAAGTCCACGCCCTCGTGGAGGGAACATTCCAGAAGTGCACCATAGGGTCAAAGGTAAATTAAAACCACAGGCAAGTACTTCCCCAAGGCAGGGAGATGGACAGAACCGAGTGTTGTCCACTGCGGGGTCCATCCTTCCTGGGCTGGTGGGTCACCAGGGAGTGGCCCCACAGAGGTCTGCAGGCTCCTAAGGCAGGAGCCAGACCCAGGATCAAAGCGAGGGGCACCTGGCCAAGGGCAGTGGGTCCTGCCAGACCACAGGGTCTTCTCCCCACAGGAGGGAAATTTGTCAGGCTGCTTTTAGGAATCCCATGAACCTTTGGGGTTTGTGCATGAACCAGGGGAGGAGCAGTCCCCGAGACTGTGAGCTCAGTTTTCTACTAACCTAACAAGCTAGGAAGGGTCACAACTGAGGGGCTGGGGATCCATTTTGCCTCCAGCATGGCCAGATCTGCAAGCAGGAGATGTCGTATGGTGGCCTGGGAGGCAAAGGGGTCTGAGTCAAAGGTAAAGGTGTAATCTGAAGGTGGACTGGCCCCCATCCTGCCGGCTCCCTGTGGTCCAGAGAGTTGGAGAAAGCCCCTTGGACCAGAGCCTTCCCACACTTGGTCCTGTGTCGGGTAGGAGATTTGCAGGAGGCCGTTTCTGCTGTTCCAGAGCCCAGACAGACTTCCCTGGGGTGCTGGGAGCTAAGGCATGGAATTGCAGTCGCCTCCCAGGTGCAGGGCCCTGGGTGGAGCTGCTGGCTGCAGCCAGGGCCAGGGAGCAGAGATCCCTCTCTGCCACCCTGCCCCACCAAAGGCAATGAAGAAACTCCAAGCTCTGGGTCTGTGGGAGGCACCAGGCAAACAGAGGAGTCAGCAAGCTAAACATGCTATTAGCAGCGATGGAGAAGTGACAATTGTCTGCACAGCTATCAGAAGCAGCTCCCCGCCGCCTGGCACCAGCACCTGGGGAGGGGCTGCCACTCATCGGCCTTCACAGAGATGCCCCAGGCTGGGAAAGAAAGACCAGCAGGCCGGATGTTCTGTGCCACCACTCCCTCGTCCTTAGCTGCAGGGATCTTGCCCTTCATCCAGAGACTGAGACCTGGAAGCGAGGCCCACCTCTGCACCTGCCCCCATAGCTGGGCCTTCGTTCCTCAAACTGTAAGCTGGGGATGAAAGTAATACCAGCTTTTGTGGCAGAATTGTTGGGAGGGACCAGTGAGATATTTTGTCTGAAGCACCTTGCAAATGGTAAAGGGCTATGGGGTCACTGCTGTTACAATTCTTCTATCAAAAATCTAATCTTCAGGGCTTTCACTGTTTCATTCACACAGAATGAAATTGAGGCTCAAGAGGTTACATGATTTGACCAAGTCACACAACTGCAAACAAGTAGGTGTCAGTTTCCAGGATCGAAACCAGGAGGAAGCTCAAAGAGCATCCAGCCCCCATGCTGTAAAAGGGATTCAAGGCCCAGAACCAGAAGGTGATTAGCCTTGCAGCAGGACAGAGGGCAGACAGCACCGAAGCCCAGGTCTGCTCACTCTGCTGGGAGCACTTCCCAGGCCACTGTGGATCTGGGCCTTGTCCTCAGCTTGGGGTGGCTGCAGGAGCATCCTGAGGAATGAACCCATGCCAGAGCACTGAAGATGCCCCCACCGCCCCCGCTGCAGACTCCTCACCCAGGTCTCTTCATCTCAAAGGGGCTGTCATAGAGGCCCAGGGCTGTGACCTGGAGGAACACACTCCACCTTCCTGACATCCAGCCCGTCTATCACTCTGATGGTGGAAAGGTGGGTTCCAGAGCCTGCTCAAGACACAGTGTGCAGAGCAGGGAAGGAGCCTGCCCAGGCACAAGGCAGGGGCCCCTCTCAAAGCCTCATGCGCTGCCTGGGGCCCTTGACAACCTGAGGCCTTCCAGGATGCTTTGAATTCAGTCTTCTTGGCCCTGCTGCTGCCCCACTTGACAGAAGAGAGATGGATGGGGAGGTGAGAGGCACTGCCCGCCTAACCACCCACCACCCGTCACTTCTGCCTTTTGAAATCACTTTCGTGGGCAGAGGCAGGGATGCTGATCACACCATGTGGGAGGGACTTGGAGGGTGGGGCGGTGACTCACAGGACAGTGGGGGATAGGAAGCAGCTCCAGAGCCTCCCTGGTAGTGAAAGGGAAGGGCGCTAGTGACTCAGGGACAGCTGGGGAGGGGCGCATGGGGAGGGAGCTCATTCCCCCCAGCTCTGTGCCCTGCATGCCTGGGGGGTGACCTCCTGTGGTGGGCCCCGATCTTGCCCCTGTGGGGCAGTCTTTGCCCTCAGCTTGCTTCCCAGCAGTAGCCAGGCAGCCAGTAGCTGCATGGTGAGTGAATTCCAATCTCGCCCGCTGCCGCCCAGCTGTGCAGACCTTCGGCAGGCTGAGTGCTCCTCTGCCCTCACATCTAGGCCTTTAGATGGAAGCAGAGCCCGACTCATAGAGCCAATTGCCCATCCTGCAGCTGTGAATGTTGCAGCTTCCAGCAGGTTCTTGCTGCAGACTTACTGAGAGGACAGAGTGCTGTGGCAGGCCACCCCAGCCTGCTGGGCACCCCCTCCAAGATGGCCCCAACAAATAGTAAATAAATGCCCCACTCCCAGGCCTGCTTGCTTCCGGTGCTCCTTTCACCTCTGCCCTGCACTGAGCCCCCTGATTATGGCTCCCTGATTCATTCTCAGCAACACCCGGTGTCCCCAGAACGCTACACACTGGGCCCTGGTGGGGCACAAGGGAAACAGCACATCTCAGACTGGGGTTTTCAAACCCAAAGAGAGTCTCCCACCTAGACAGAGGCAGAAGAGAGGCAGGCTCACGTGGTTGAACTGTGTCCCCTGTGCCCATAACACTCAGCCCATCCCCTACCACCTCCTCCCCGGCCACCTTCCCTGACATCGAGCCCATCCATCACCAAAGTCTCCCCAGAGCCCAACTACTGTCATCCCAAGCCCTGCCTCAGTCAGGCCACTGCCCCCTTCACTTTCTATCCAGGAGACCCAGCCAGCCAGTCAGCTCTGTCCTGAGATGGAAATGCGGCCACAGGGAGGAGAGCAGGGGGAGAGCAGGGGCCCAGGCTTCTTCCCCTCCTCATTACCCATCCATCCATTGGTTCATCTGTCTGTCCGTCTATCCACCTATCTACCCATCCATCCATCCATCCATTCATCTGTCCATCCACCTATCTATCTACCATCCATCCATTCAGTCATCTGTCTGTCCATCTATCCATCCATCCATCTACCCACCAATCCATCCATTCTTCTGTCTATCCATCCATGCATCCATCCACCCATTTACTCATTCCTCCATCCATTCATTCATCTGTCCATCCATCTATCCATCTACCATCCATTCATTCATCCATCCATCCATTCATCTGTCTACCCATCTATGCATCCACCCACCTATCTGTCCATTCTTCCATCCATTCATTCATCTATCCATCTACCATCCATCCATCCATTCATTCGTCTGTCTATCCATCTATCCACCCATCCAAACATCTATCCATCCATCCATCCACCCATCTATCCATCCATCCATCCACCCATCTATCCATCCATCCACCCATCTATCCATCCATCCATCCACCCATCTATCCATCCATTCATCCATCCATCCATTCATCTGTTCATCCATCCACACATCCATCCATCTAATCTCAGAATGCTTAATGATGTCACGCCGTGCACATGGGTCTCCTGGAACATCAGCTCTAAAGGGGGAAGGATTACTTCTAGGTTTGTTCCCTGTGGTAACCTAGTGCCTAGAAGTTGGCAGAAAGTCAGTGTTGAATACATATTTGTTGAATGTCAAATGACTGAATGAATGAATAGATTCTTCACCTGGAGAAGGGGAGTAGAGCTCACCAGCTCTCATCTTCAACTCTGGATGATCCAGTCCAAATCCCAGGCCATCCAGAGGTACAGCCCCAAGTCCAGGAAAGGGCATGACTTGTCCAAAGCCACCTGGCAAGGAAAGAGCAGGGCCGGGTGTCCGGCCTGGGTATTCTTCACCCAAATTAGTGTTTTCCCCCCTAACTACTAAGAGCCTCCTGTGCCGGCAGTCCCTGGGAGCAGCAGCAGAAGCCTAGAGCCCAGGAGCGGAGCCAGTGGCCAGAGTAGAAGCCAAGACTAGGAGCCTCTGAAGAGCAGGAACCTTCCTGAGTGGGGTTTGGATATTCCCAGCAGGAGGAAGAGTGTGTGCTGTGTGGCAAAGCTGTCCCAGCTGCCCAGAGGAGCAGCAAGTGCTCTGTTGGCCTTGCAATCCCTGCCCCATGGCAGGATGAGCAGGCTCTGGCCTGGAATGCACCAACTGGGCAGCCCTCCAAGCCCAGCCACCGCCCCTAGGCTTTCATGCCCCTCCACCTCTAGCTCTGGGGGCCCCAGGAGTCAATGCCCACTTCAGCTCCAGCCAACATGGCCTGGGATCTGGTCTGATCTAGGCTCTGACCTCAGCTCTGCCCCTAGCTGGCTGCGTGGCCTTGGAAAGCTCACTTCTCCTCTCTGCCTCAGGCAAGCCCTGCTCCTCAGCCTCACTCAGGACTGCGGAAAAATGCATGTTCTTGGGCCTGTCACTAGAGATTCTGCTTCAGCATGTCTGCAGAGAACTCAGAAATAAGCAGTTTACAAATGCTGCCACTCAAGCATTTAAGGAGACAGGCTGAATGAGGGCAGAGGGCCCCATGGCTGAACCACCCCATGGCATCTGGCTCTGGGCAGGCCACCTGAACACTGCCCAGCCTCGGTCCTCTTACCTGCTCAATGAGGATGACCAGGGAATCCTGTGGGTTTTGGCAGGTCCTGTGGGAGATGGTGTGGTAACAGCACTTGGCCATACCTTACAGGACTCCAAAGGGTAAGGGGCTCAGGTCTATTGGGATCCATTTCGGCTGTGAGTAACAGCAGCTGAATACCATGGAAGTTGATTTCTCTCTCCTATCTGTCTGTGGGAAGCTCAGAGCACTTGCTGGCAAGGGAAGGGGTCTCAGAGGTGGAGGGAGCCCCCACCGCACAGCCCCAGCCTCCCAGGCAGCATAGGGTGGGGACAGGCGCATGCAGAAGTCCTGCTTTCTTCCCTCTGCTTGCACTTTTCAGCCATGTGTGGAGCCTCACGGGGCCTCAGCTGCCTCGTCGGTGAAGTGGGTGTAGTGATAGTGTCCACTCTAGGAGGTGGTCACTTTGAGGATTCGATGAGGTCATCTGTGCAGCACACCTGCTCAGGGCCTGCGCGTGGCACTCCACAGAGCACAAGGCCAGCTCTACTCCTCCAGGCTGCTGCAAAGTGCTGCCAGTGCAGGGGCCTCTCCCTGGGGACTCAGGAAAGGCCAGAATCTATGAGGCTGTTGCTCTGGCCCTGCTGCCTGCATCGCTGATCCATCCTCAGCCTGAACCTCAAGGGCTGCAGCTCAGACACAGCTCTGCTGCTGCTTCCTAGGAACAGAGTGAGGACTCAAAGGGAGGTGCTGGGAGCAACCAAGGACATCAGTGCCTCCTTCTCAACCAGACACCCTGGGCTCTGAGCCCTAATGGTTCTCCCTCCCACTGTGGCCTAAGTGTCTTCACATTCAAGGCTCTGGCAGTCAAGAGGATTACATCTCAACATGAGATTTGGAGGGACCATCCAAACTATATCACACGGTAAGACATGATGTATGTTTATACACTTTATTGGACAATTCGTTTACTGACAGCCAAAAGCACCCTCACAAATACAAAGGCTCAACCCTATCTGGGGAGTCTTTTCAGCCTCATTTTCCACCACTGCTCTTTGATGCCTCTCTGGGTGAACCATGTGTTGCTTTCTCTTTGCTTTGGCTGCTAACTGCAAGGCCCCTCTAGTCTCCTCAAATTGGTGAACTCCTAGTCATCCTTCAAAGCCCAACTCAAATTCCCCTACCTCTACAAAGGCTTCTGAGCTCCCCTAGGCAGAACTCAAAGCCCTGTCTTGCTGCCTTCAAATGTCTTCACTGTGGAATTTCCCACATCATTCTCCAGCCACTTGTCTGCTGGCCACTCTGCTGCACTGTGAGCTCTTGTGTGCTGCAGCCCTTTCTCTGTGATCTGTTATCCCCTAGCATTGCACCTGGTATGCTGCAGGTGCTGGTCAATGCTGCATATTGCATTACTGAAAACACTGCTTCCTCCAGGCCTCCTGTAACCCTTGGCTCTCCTGATGTTCTTGCCCAGCTGGGCAGGAAGGTGGTGCATCTCTCATGTCCCAGGGGAAACAAGCTCTCAGCGAGTGCACAGTATGGGAATAGGCTCCTGCTGCACCACACTGTCCCTGCTCTCTTCAACCCAGGTGGGATCCCTGGCCCAGACAGGAAAAAGGACACCCAAGGTCACCAGCCTGCTTGGAGCAGAGTGGGGCCTCCAGAATTGGGTAGGAAACACTGGGTGTGTTTCAGAGCTGGCATGACAGCTGTCCAAATTGACACAACAGTGCAGGAGGCAGGACCTGTGGGAGTGGAGGGAGCTGTCAGGTGCTGAACAATGCCACCTGCCAGCCACTGAGGAGCAGAGGGGATGGGGGAATGGGGGGAGAGGGAGGGGAGCTTGGCACCGGGAATGGGTCTGGGACGCCTCCCCCAAAAACCCTCCCCCCACAAGCCCATGTCCCTCAGCCTCAGGAACCAGAGGGGCCATGGGTGAGGGGGAAGGAGCAAGAGAGCTGAGTCAGAGCTCACCCTGGGCAAAGGTGTGGACTGCTGGCTCAGGGTCGACCAGGGCTCCTTTGGAAAGCAAAAAACGACCGGGGATTAGAGGACTTTGGAGACTAGGAAGGTGCTTTGTCTGTCTTGGGGGCCGGGAGCGGTGCCAGGAGCATCATGGATTGCTGGGGAGCTGGGCCAGGCTCCTGGGCTCCCACCCTGCTCCTCTGAGAGCGGACAGCAGGATTGAGTAAGCGCTGTGCCCTCTGAACTTTTCTGGAGCCCCATGGAGCTGGGATCCAGGTGCTGAGCTGCCCTGGCCACAGCACACAGATGCTGAGAAGTCAGTGAGGCCTTTTAGGAAGGCAAGCTGCAGGCAGGGGCTTGCCTTCCTAAGACCTGAGCTCCCAGGCAGGGTGTGCAGGGGAAAAAAGGCCACAGGCTGCAGCCAGGAGTTGCTTTGTTTTTCTTTATTATTGCAGTTTAAAGACTTTTTTTAATTGTACAAGAACATCTCTTTTTGTTAGAAAAAAAAACCCTGAAGTATTACAGGCAGTGTTAATATGTCTCTTAACCACCTAACCCTCCCACAAAACAAATATCTGTTTCTAGAGGTAACCACTTCAGCTACTACCGTTTAATAAAAATAATACATGTCACCCTCCAAAAAAATACACTTCAAGCCATACCAAATGTCTAAGATAAAATGTTTCCCTTTCCCTAATAATCATGAACAATTTCTCGGGTACTCCTCTGGATCTTTTAAAATTCATATTCATATTCAGGCACCAGATAGTTGTTGTTTTCTCATAAATAAGAATCGATACTTAATGATAGGAATAATAGGTCCTGCTCTGCATCCTCCCCACCTCCTGGGTTCCTGTGACGCCTCGGCTTCTCCTTGCACACCCAGAGAGACCCAGCCAGGGCCCCGCACTTTCTTCACCCTTTTCCCTGGGGGTGGACGCCCGTGGTCTTTCCTGTTATTTCCCAGGCAGCACAGGAGAAGCACACATACCCTCAGTCCTGGGTGCATGTAGGGTGACTGCCCCCGAGGTCGCCACTCAGCGGGTCCTGGGCAGCTTCCGCAGGGACTTGGCCTCTGCTTCCTCCACTGCAGCTGGGGGGTTGGACTGGATCTAGTCCATTCGAACCTCCCCAAGGATGGGCAGGGGGCACACCCCTCCCACTGTGCCTGTCCTAGCAGATGACCCGGACCCGGAATGTGGGAGCACCAGGGGTTTGCTCTGGGCCAAACACCCCTGGACACCCCTGCTCCTCTGCCCCCACCCCCTCTTTACTTCTTCTTTCCCTCCCAATACCACAAGTCCCCACACCATGGCAGAGACAGGAGCCTGTGTGGCCAGCAAGCCCAGCGAAGGGGGCTCAGGTGTCATCTCCACCCCCAGCAGAGGAGGGAGAACACCCCCAGCCAGCTTTGCAGCTCCCCCATTTCTCCCTCTCCCGCTGCTGCTACTGGTTCAAAAGATAAAATAAAAACCCTCTGCATCAACAAATAAAATAAAATCACAATAAAAAATTTATATTCCTGGGATGTAGGTCTTTCCAAACAGGAGCAGCTGCTGCCAGAGCTGAGTCTGTCAGAAGCAGGGCGGGGCTTTTTTTCTTACTAGGAGTTTCTTTTTTGTTCTTTTTTTCCCAAGGAGGCACATCCAGTTAAAATACATTCCTGGAATGGGAGCTCCATGCGCTTTCCTGGTCATCAAAGCTGCCGTTTGTTAGCATGTTCTTTGCCTGTTATCTTGTTTGTTTGTGAGGATTGCTGGAGTTTCTTTTTTGAGATAGAGTTTTAGGCTGTTGCCCAGGCCAGAGTGCAGTGGCGCGATCTCACCTCACTGCAACCTCCACCTCCAAGGTTCAGGCAATTCTGCTGACTCAGCCTCCCAAGCAGCTGGGATTACAGGCGTCTGCCACCACACCCAGCTAATTTTTTGTTTTTAGTAGAGATGGGGTTGGGTTGCTGGAGTTCCTGAGTGACAGGATGTTGCAGCAGAGGTGGTGAGTGGCGGGGAGGGGGGTATCCATGAAGTCAGGAGAGCTGCCTGGCAACTGGAAGCCAAAGGGGTCAACCCACCAGCCCCTCTGGAGACAGCTGTCTGCAGCTCAGACCTCGTTGAATACGGCAGCCACTCATTCGGCTAAACGTGGGGATGCATTAAAGACATTTGCAGACATCCTTTCTTCTATTGCACCTTTTCTCAGGAAACTTTTAGAAGCATTCCGTCAAAACTACAGACTAGAACATGAGTCACCCCCTGCACGATGCCCAGTCCTGTCACTGGGCAGTTTCCTGAAAGCTGCTACCATCCCCCATCTGAGTTCCAGATGCAGTGCCAAGGCTGGGCTGGGGGCACAGGGAGGAGCTGGCCCAGTGAACGGAGCACAAACCAAGACAGCCCAGTGAGGGGTCCCCAGCGAGAGATAGAGCAAAGGGGTGCATTCAACATTCAAGTTCCCAAGACCCCTACAACACAGGCTGTACCCAGTGTTGGCATGTGGTAAGGGGCCTGTTGTGCAGGTTGGCCACTGCTCAACTGAAAAAAAAGTGGCAGCTGCCAGAGGCTGGCCTTGAACCAGGGAAGCTACCCACTCTTTAGCCATCACTCTGCACTCTATTATGTTGCCATTACGGAATGAGAGTGGAGCCCGGATATTGCCCCAGACCTCGACCCTGTGAGTTCAGTGCCACTGGCTGCCCAGAGCCCCTCTCTGTCTGTCTCTCCTTGGCCTGGAGGAGAGTGTGGCCACAGGTAGTATCCAAAGCCTTTCCTTAGGGCCTTCTCCTGACCTATCCTGCTTCCCGGGCTCAGGGGACATCTCCCGGAGTTCCAACCACACGACTGAAGATCCAGCGAGCCTCATGGAAGGGGTTGTGTGTTGTCTTTCCCACGTCCCTTTCTTCTCTCTGTCCCTCTGCCCCTCTGCCCCTTCCCGTGCCTGGGAGAGCTCCAGAGTCACCTTCCTCCATCACAGAGCAATTGAGCTCCAGGCCTACAACCCTAAGATGGGCAAACCCAGCCCATCTTTGGCTCAGCCAAATCTTCCAGGTCCCAGCCACCCACCCACTTGCAAACACACATACATCTTCACCCCACAGGTGACCTGTGCCATACTCCTAGGGGTGTTCAAACTCAGGGGAAGGGGTGGTGCTCCCTCAGGGAACAGCGCCATGACTCTACGACAGTCAGTACTGGCAGCTGTCAGAGCTGTCATTCCCTGAGTGCAACTCTTAATGAGGGCCTATTAAGTCTCCTCTTATGACTGCATAATTGTTGCCACAAGGAGGCTTTGTTCTCTTTATTTTGGAAATGAAACTGTTTTATATCCCTAAAGCAAGAGAGATGGACACCAGCTTGGGGCGCACTGGAGAACACAGAACGGCAGGGCAGGGGCTCCACTGGGTTGGGGCTCTGGTGTCCCCAGGCTACTGCAGACACAGCCCTGAGCCCAGGGAGCAGCAGCTGTTGTTTCTGCAGCAGAGCGGAGCGGCCAGGTCAGCTCCAGCCCTCCTGTGAGCTGTGGGAAGTTGCCACAGGCCCACCGGCCCTCCTCACTTCTCCTGTAGCTCCCAGCAACTGTCATCATGAACCATCTGCACCCTCACCACCCCTTAGGGGCTGGGCAGTGGTAGGGCTCTTATTCCCATTGACCATGAGAAAACAGAGGACGCTGGTTGGCCTGGCCAGGGTCCCTCAGGTGTAAAGGGAGGATTAACAGGAAGAAGAAGTTGAGCATGTCCTATGTCCGAGGCACATCTGCTCTAAGTCTTCACATACACGACCTCACCTGCTCACTACCACAGGCTGCAGAGGAGGAGCTGAGCTCCCATGTTAAGGTGAGGCTTGGAGGCATTAGGTGAAGTGTCCAGTACAACAGCTTCTATGTGACCAGCTGGGCTTTCAGTCCAGACATTTCTACCTCTCCAGCTTCCCATCCTCAAGAATGTGGCTGGGCCAGACCCAGACTCTGAGGACATTCAGGGACACTGTGCCTCGCCAGCCCTCTGAAGTGCTCAGAACGTATGTCCCGACCCCACTGAATGCCAGGAACCATGCACTGGGAAGTGGGTGGACAGGAGAGACAAGACATGCTCCTTCCCCAAGAGGAGGCTGCAGGCAGCAAGGGAAACCCTTAGGTAAGCTCGGAACAGCCGTCCACCACTGGGACCATGAGCTGCATCCTGCCTTGGGGGGCCGCTTTGGTGGGAGTGTGCTGGGCAGAGAAGAAGGGAAGGACATCCAGGCAGAGGGGGCACCTGGGCAAAGGCTCGAAGGTGCAGAGGTGAGAGGCATTTGGGAGCTGGTGAAGGCATTGGGGGTGGCCTCCAATTGAATAATATGCATTTAAGTTTCCTTCTTGTCTTTTCATGGCTTAAAAGCTCATTTCTTTTTAGTGCTGAATAATATTCCATTGTCTGGATGTACCACAGTTTGTCCACTCACTTACTGAAAGACATCTTGATAGCTTACAAGTTTTGGAAATTCGGAATAAAGCTGCTAAAAACATCCATGTGCAGTTCTTTGTGTGGATGTACATTTTCAACCCATTTGGATAAACAGAATGGACTTGCAGTTGCTGGATTACATGGTAAGAGCATACTTAGTTTTCCAGTTTCTTCTAAAGTGTCTGCACCACTTTGCATTCCCACCAACAGTGAATGAGAGTTCCTGTTGCTCCACATCATCACCAGCATTTGGGGTTGTAAGGGTTTGGATCTGGGCCATTTTGATAGGTGTGTAGTGCTATCTCATTGTTTTAACTTGCAGTTCCCTAATAGCATATGATGTTGAGCATCTTTTCATATGCTTCTTTGCCATTTGTATGTCTTCATTGGTGAGTTGTCTATTCTGGTCTTTTGCCCATTTTTAATTGGGTTATTCATTTGCTTATTGTTGAGTTTAAAGAGTTCTTTATACATTTTAGATAACAGTCCTTAAAAGAATTCATTGTTGGCTGGACATGGTGGCTTACCCCTGTAATTTCAGCACTTTGGGAGGCTGAGGCGGGCAGATCACCTGAGGTCAGGAGTTCGAGAACAGCCTGGCCAACATGGCAAAACCCTGTCTCTACTAAAAATACAAAAAAAATAAAAAATGAGCCGGGTGTGGTGGCACATACCTGTAGTCCCAACTATTCGGGAGGCTGAGGCAGGAGAATCCCTTAAACCTGGGAGGCAGAGGTTGCAGTGAGCTGAGATTGTGCCACTGCACTCCATCCTGGGCTACAGAGAGAGACTCCATCTCAATTTTAAAAAAATGTATTGTTTAGTGCATGTATTTATTTCCTTTTAAAAAGGTTTATTGACATTTAATGTCTTCTTATTTTCTTGGCAGTGTGTTCCACAGAGCAGAAGTCTTTAATTTTAATGAAGTCCAGCTTATCAAATATTTTCATTCACGAATTTCACCGTTGATGATGTATTTTAAAAGTCATCACTGTACCCATGATAATCTAGATTTTCTCCTATGTTATCTTGTAGAACTTTTATAGTTTTGCATTTTGCATTTAGGTTTTTAATCCATTTTGAGTAAATTTCTATGAGGGGTATATGGTGTGTGTCTAGATTCTTCTTCTTCTATTTTTTTTTGCGTTTGTGTGTCTATGTCTATTTGTTCCAGCACCTTTTGTTGAAAAGATTGATTTTGCTCTACAGTTTTGCCTTTGATCCTTTCACAAAGATGAGCTGACTGTATTTTATGGGGATCTATTTCTAGGCTCTCTGTTCCATTTATCTACTTGTCTATTCTTTCACCAATCCACACTGTCATGATTATGATCGTTTTATAGCAAGTCTTGAAGCCAGGTAGCATCAGCCCTCCAACTTTGTTCTTCTCCTTCAATATGGTGTTGACTATTGTGGCTCTTCTGCCTCTTTGAATAAACTTTAAAGTTAGTTTGTCAATATCCAAAAAATACCTTGCTAAGATTTTGATTGGGATTATATTTGATGCATAGATGAAATTGGAAGAACTGACATCTTGACAATATGAGTCTTCCTGTGCATGAACAAGGATTATCTGTCCATTACTGAGTTCCTCTTTGATTTCTTTCACCAGAATTTTGTAGTTTTCCTTATATAGATCTTATACATATTTTGTTAGGTTTATACCTAAATATTTCAATTTAGGGGGTGTTAATGTAAATGGCATTGTGATTTTTTTCTGATATATTCTTATTAAAAGTTTTTCTGGGTACATAATATATATATCATATATGTATCTCATATTTTATATATGTATATATATATATGAGGTACATGAGATGCTTTGATACAGGCATGCAATGAAATAATCACATCATGGAGAATGGGATATCCATCCCCTCAGGCATATCCCTTTGTATTACAAACAATCCAATTACACTCTTTTAGTTATTTTTAAATGTACAAGCAAGTTTTTATTAACTATATTCATCCTGTTGTGTTATCAAATACTAGGTCCTATTCCCTCTTTCTAACTATTTTTTGTACCCATTAACCATCCCCACCTCACCCCCACTATCCTTCCCAGCCTCTGGTAACCATTCCTCTACTCTCTATCATCATGAGTTCAATTGCTTTAATTTGTTTAGCTCACATATATAAGTGAGAACATGCTATGCTTGTCTTTCTATGCCTGGCTTATCTCACTTAACATAATGATCTCCAGTTCCAGCCATGTTGTTGCAAATGATAGAATCTCATTCTATTTTACAGCTGAATAGTACTCCATTGTGTGTATGTACCACATTTTCTTTATCCATTCATCTGTTGGTGGACACTTAGGTTGCTTCCAAATCTTAGCTCTTATGAACAGTGCCACAACAAACATGGTAGTGCATATATCTCTTTGATACACTGATTTCCTCTCTTTTGGGTATACACCTGTGAATGAGATTGCTGGATTATGAGGAGCTGTATTTTTAGTTTTCTGAGGAACCTTCAAACTGTTCTCCATAGTGGCTGTACTAATTTGCATTCCCACCAACAGTGTACAAAGTTTCCCTTTACTCCACACCCTTGCCAGCATTTGTTATTGCCTGTCTTTTGGATATAAGCCACCTTAACTGCAGTGAGAGAATATCTCATTGTAGTTTTAATTCATATTTCTCTGATGATCAATGACATTGAGCACCTTTTTATATGCCTGTTTGCCATTTGTATGTCTTCTTCAGAGAAATGTCCATTCAAATCTTTTGCCCAGTTTTTGATAGGATTATTATATTTTTTTCCTTATAGAGTTGTTTAGCTACTCATATATTCTGGTTATTAATTTCTTGTCAGATGGGTAGTTTGCAAATATTTTCCACCATTTGGTGGGCTGTCTCTTCAGTTTGTTGATTGTTTCCTTTGCTATGTAGAAACTTTTTAACTTGATGTGCTACCATTAGTCCAATTTTGCTTTGGCTGCCTCTGTTTGTGGGGTATTGCTAAATAAATTTTTGGGCCAAGCGTAGTGGCTCACGCCTATAATCCCAGTCCTTTGTGACACTTAGAGGGGTGGATTGCTTGAGGCCAGGAGTTCAAGACTAGTCTGGCCAACATGGTGAAACCTTGCCTCTACTAAAAATACAAAAATTAATGGGGCGTGGTGGCGCACACCTGTTATACCAGCTATTCGGGAGGCTGAGATGCGAGAAAGGCTTGAACCCAGGAGGTGAAGGTTGCAGTGGGCAGACATATGCCACTGCACTCCAGCCTGGGTGATAGGTCAAGACTCTGTCAGAAAGAAAGAAGGAAGGAAGGAAGGAAGGAAGGAAGGAAGGAAGGAAGGAAGGAAGGAATTTTTGCCCAGACTAATGTACTGGAGATTTTCCCCAATGATTCCTTGTAGTAATTTCATAAGTCTTTAAACACTTTTGATTTGATTTTACATATGGCAAGATACAGAAGTCTAGGATTTAGTTTCATTCTTCTGCATATGGAAATCTCGTTTTCTCAGCACCATATATTGAAGAGACTGTCTTTTCCCCAGTGTGTGTTCTTGGCACCTTTGTTGAAAATGAGTTCACTGTAGGTGTGTGGATTTGTTTCTAGGTTCTCTATTCTGTTCCATTGGGTCTATGTGTCCATCATTATGCCAGTACCATGCTGCTTTAGTTACTATAGCTCTGTAGTATAATTTGAAGTCAAGTAATGTGATTCCTCCAGTTTTGTTCTTTTGGCTTAGCATAGCTTTGGCTATACTGGGTCTTTTGGGGTTCCATATAAATTTTAGGATTTTTTTTTTCTATTTATGTGAAAAATGTCATTGGTATTTTGATAGGGATTGCATTGAATCTGTAGGTTGCTTTGAATATTATGGACATTTTAACAATACTGATTCTTCCAATCCATGATCCTGGAATGTCATTCCATTATTGGATGTCCTCTTCAATTTATTTCATCAGTGTTTTATAGTTTTCGTTATTGAAGTCTTTCACTTATTTGGCTAATTCCTGGGTATTTTATGTGTGGCTATTGTAAATGGGATTACTCTTTTAATTCCTTTTTCAAATTGTTCACTGTTGGCATATAGAAATACTACTGATTTTTCTATGTTGATTTTGTATCCTGCAACTTTACTGAATTTGTTTATCATTTCTAATAGTTTTTTTGTGGAATCTAGGTTTTTTTTCAAATGCAAGATCATATCATCTGCAGACAAGGATAATTTGACATCTTCCTTTCCAATTTGGATGCCCTGTATTTATTTCTCTTGTCTGATTACTCTAGCTAGGACTTCCAGTCCTATGTTGAATCAACAGTGGTAAAAGTGGGTGTCTGTGTTGTGTTCCAGATCTTTGAGGGAAGGCTTTCAGTTTCTTCACATTTGGTATGATACTAGCTGAATGGTATTGTGTGTTAATTTCAAGTTCCACTTGTTCTTTGTAGGTATCTAGGAACGTGACTGGCTTTTGTATATTAACCTTGTATCCTGCAACCTTGGTATAATTATTGACTTTCTAATTTTTAAATTTCTTTTTTTTTTTTTTTTTTTTTGAGACAGAGCCTTGCCCTGTAACCTAGGCCAGAGTGCAGTTGTGTGATCTAGGCTCACTGCAAACTCCGCCTCCCAGATTCATGCGATTCTCTCATCTCAGCCTCCCAAGTAGCTGGGATTACAGGCATGCACCACCATGCCCAGCTAATTTTTGTATTTTTGGTAGAGACAGGGTTTTGTCAGGTTGCCCAGGCTGGTCTCTGAACTCCTGGGCTCAAGTGATCCACCCACCTTGGCCTCCCAAAGTGCTAGGATTACAGGTGTGAACCAATATGCCCAGCCTAGAATTTTTTTGCTTATTCTTTTCAGATTTTCTATATAGACAAACATGTCAGCTGCAAACAGAGAGTATATTTTTTCCTCCTTTCCAATCTGTATACCTTTTATTTCCCTTGCTTGTGTTATCACATTAGCTAAGACTCTGGCACAATGTTGAAAAAGAGTGGTGAGAGGAGACATACTTGCTTTGTTCCTGATCTTAGCAGGAAAGCTGTTTCTCACCATTAAGTATAATGTTAGCTATAGGTTTTTTGCAGATGTTCTTTATCAAGTTGAGGAAGTTCCCCTCTAGTACTAGTTTACTGAGAGTTTTTTATCATGGGTGTTGTATTTCGTCAAAATGTGATTTCTGCATCTATTGATATAATCGTGATTTTTCTTCTTTAGCCTGTTGGTGTGATAATTTATATATCTATATAAGTTTTGAATATTAAACCAGCTTTGCATACCTGGGATAAATCCCTCTTTGTCTTGGTGTATAATCCTTTGTTTACATTGTTAGATTCTACTTGCCTTTATTTTGTTGAGGAATTTTGCATCTATGTTCATGAGAGATATTGGTCCCATAGTTTTATTTTCTTATAATGGCTTTGTGTGATTTTGGTATTAGGGTAATACTGGCCTCTTAGGATGAGTTAGGAAGTATTCTCTCTGCTTCTATTTTCTGGAAGAGACTGTAGAATATTGATAGAAATTTAGAATATTGATATATTTGTAGAATATTGATATAATTTCTTCAGACTCTCCCCTCCCCCCACCATCTTTAACTCTGAGTGTCATGAAGTCAAGAATTGTATCTTTCATCTGTGTGTCACACATAAGGAGGGCAAGACTTAAAAAAGAGTAGATGCAGAATAAATTTTAAAATGCTGTATTTAAAATCACAAGCAAAGTCCCAATTGCATTTGTACATCTCACCATCTAGCCTGAGCTATAGGCCTTACTACCACTTAGTGGCAAATGTGACTTACAGTATCTTCTAAATTGGAAGTAAAAAGAATCAGGTCTTTAATTTTGCAAACTTGATGTTAAGAAGCGAAACAAGGGGCATAATATGCAAATACATTTTCTAAATAAATTCAACCCATCAGCCATCTAGAATTCATGAAAAAATGGTGAAAATGCCTAAATCCCCAGAATCTGTAAGAAAATGAAAGTGTGATAGTAAATTTTATGTGTCAGCTTGAATTGGTCTCTGTAAAGTAGGTTTCCCTCCCCAGTAGCTCCTGAATAGAACAAAGGGCAGATGACAGAGGAGTTTGACCCTTTTGTTCCTGCCTCACTTCTTAAGCTAGTACATCTCATCTTCTCTTCTCTTACCCTTGACTTGGGGTTTACACCATTGGCTTCCCTGGTCCCCAGGCCTTCAGACTCAGATTGAATGACACCGCTGGCTTTCCTAAGTGACCAGCTTGCAGATTGCAGATCATGGTATTTTTTGCCTCCACAATTTTGTCAGACAATTCTTCATAATAAAATTGGTCTTTCTGGGTGGGCGGATCACTTGAGGTCAGGAGTTCGAGACCAGCCTGGCCAACATGGCGAAGCCCTGTCTTTACTAAAAATACAAAAATTAGTCAGGCGTGGTGGCAGGTGCCTGTAATTCCAGCTACTTAGGAGGCTGAGGCAGGAGAATCGCTTCAATCTAGGAGGCGGTTGTTGCAGTGAGCCCAGATCACACCACTGCACTGCAGCCTGGGTGACAAGACACCCTATCTGTCTCTCTCTGTCTCCTCTCTGTATTATTCTATCTCTCTCTCTGTCATTCTGTTTCTCTCTCTATTTTGGTGCTACTGTTTCTCTGAAGGATGATGACTAATACACTAAGGAAAAATTACATAAATATATGATAAATTTAACAAAATAAATTTGTTAAAAATCGATATACATTATAAAGTTAACCAAATAATAATAACAGTAAATAGCAATTTTCTTATTTTTTTGTAATTTATTTCAAATGTACACATCAGCATAATTTTCATGATTTTAAATTCTGTAAGCATTAGATTGAAAGTCAGAAGCAAGCCAAGAACATATTACTTTATTATTGCTTAACATTCTCCTGGATATTTTAATCTGATACATTTAGAGGTATAAAATGGTAAATATTTTCATTATTCTCTGAAACTTATTTACCTAGAAAAAACTTATAAATAAAAATTTACTAAGATATCTAGGGACAAAATAAACACATGATAGTCAATGGTTTTCATATAAAAAGTATACATCTACTTCTGTGATGCTTATGTTCATGAGAACAAAATATGAAAATAGCCAGAAATGTTTAAGAGAATAAAGGTATACTGAGAAGGCACTAACCTTAGGTTGATTTTCAAACATATTAGTTAACCAAAAAAAATTAAAACAATGTTATATTGGTGCATGAATTCATAGAGCAGATAGTGAAACAGAATAGTGTATTTATCTATATGTGTCTTTCTGTGCATCTTTCTATCAATCCTGAGTGCTTAAGGTGAGATTCACTTGCACCTGAATCAGCAGAAAATATTTGGAGCTTCAAGAATAAATGCAGATGGCACTTAGAGATGCTGCACCCAATGTCATAAGGGATTCTGTGGAGGAGCTCATTCCGATGAAATAGGTAAGTTTTTATTTTGTATTTTCATTTTTTTTTTTGAAATGAGAAAGAAAAGTCTCAATGAAAGCTAAGAGTCAGACACATATATAGAAATATTGCTGCCTACTCCCAGGCATGCAAGTGACCAACTCCTTACTTCAGGGAGTGGAGGAGCGAGATATCAAGAGTACAATTTTCTTAAGACACCTACCCCACCTTTCATCAAATATCCCCAACCCTAGATTAAGTGCAGGAGTCCTGAAAAACATTTCCACAGGGAAAGTCGGGGTCCCAGGCTCATGGGTGTCTTCTTACTGCCTTTAGCAGAACAAAAATGAGTAAAGCAAAGCTTCTTGCTTCAGAAATATTCAGTCTAATACAGTGTGTACCCTACACCTAATCATCACTTCATTCCAGAAGCTTTAATTGCACAAAATTCACTGGGAAAGGGATGATATTTGTCTGTTTTTTAAGGATAAGGTTGGTATTGGCTCAAATTTATATTTATTCTCCCCAAAGAGTCCCTCCCAGGTTTGTAATCCTGATGTAAGAGGCTGCTGCACCAAGTCGCTTCTTTCCAACCTGTCCTACTTTGTGTAGAGGAGGAGAGCGGGGAAGGAAGAAAAGAGAAAAAAAAAGCAAAGAAGTAAAAAGAGGCAGAAGGACAGTCCCTTTTCCTTGACACGGATGGCATGAATGGGCTTTTGCGGAGAAACTCTGCCTGACCCTGGAGTCTGAGTCAGGCAGAGTCTGAGTCAGGTGGAGTCCCAGTTAGAAGTCCTCTGAGGAAGCTGCACTAGAGTCACTGCCCTCAGACATCAACTTCCATGTCTTCCCCACTGCTGCAGTCTAAAGAGTTACTGCTTTCTTCCTCTTCGCCATCTTTCTTCCTGTTGTCTTCTGGTTCCATAGAGACCTGACAGTTTACCCAAATAGTCTGTGATGCCTCTGTTCCTGCAGCCTGGAGCCCCTGCCCCTCCCCAAACCCTTCTTGCAGACCCTTTGCTGATGAGGACTGCGGATCTGTTTGTTTCAAGCTGGGGGCCGGGCCTCCCATCATCGCCATATTCTTACCCTTAGCATAGGTCGATTCTTTGTATGCAGCATAATCTTCAGGTGACAAAGTCTTGAGCCAGAGATCCAATTCCACTTTGTATTCCTTCTGCAGCAACTCAGCCTGGCTCTTGTAATGATCCTTCTGGCTCTGCGGGATGCGCTGCCAGCGTCTGCCAATCTCTACCATGCGCTCCCTCAGGGACAAATGTTGCAGCTCCTTACTTGACCAGGAATCTTGGTGAAACTTCTGGTATCCATTCATGGGGGGTTTCTGAGGCTCTCCATGAAATTTTACCTTCTTGAAAAATTGATCCGTTTTTGGAAGAGACCTCACTTCTTCAATATTTTTCTGAACCTTCTTTTGCACTTTGGTTTGAACCCTCTTGCAGATATCAGATTTCTTGCCCTTCTGGTCTAAATCAGGGTGTTCTTCCCTGAATCGAGCAAGTTTTTCCTCAAATTCTTGCTTTTCCTTCCGGAAATCCTGAATATGTTTCTGTTTCATCTGCTCTGGGAGCTCCTTGTATTTCTTTGACAGGATTTTGGTCACTTCCTGGCTTCTCATCCCAGGGTACATTTGGGAGTACTGGGGCCAATTCTCCTTGAAGAAGCGGATATAAGCAGTAAGGAGCCTCTTTGGAAAGTCTGGATGGTTCCTGCCTTTTTGGCTTTTGTTTGTATTTTTAACACATTTCTTAGCTTCCAGGACTAATTTTTTCAAAGTGCTGAATTTTCTCAAGCTGCAAGAAATCTCTAACCATTTGAGTCTGCACATTTCACCAGAAAAGTTTTTAAAAGCTACTTTTCCCCAGTCCATGTGTGACTGAGTTGAGCTGAACGTGCCGTTGTCATCATATGGGAGATTATTCTCCATGCATTCCAGTAACCTCAAGATGTCTGCGTTGGACCAATGGCCTTGGCTTCTAGGCAAAGCCACTTTGATGTCTTTGGCTTACTTATAAGATCCCGGTTATGCAGACACCAGAGTAAGAACACAGAGTTCCTTACTTTTAAGAGTCAGTGGATGATTTCTTTCTGGAAGTCCTGCAGTATGTATGATTCTGTATTTCTGAGGAGAAAGAAAAGAAAGTTACTCTGCTTCATTGGGATTAATGAAAAAAATTACACCCTATTTGTCATATGTCCCTTGTATAATTAATTTACTCAATGATATAAATAAAATATAGCCCATTTCTGAATGAAAATCCATATTTGCCTTTCATATGCTACATGCGCAATATTCAATATCTCCGCACCCCACCCCAGCCTTCTTTCTGCCAGATCTCGCATGAACCGATCTTAAATTGAGTTGCATAAGGCAAACACCAGACCACTCATCACTTAAGAAGCTTAATAGAACAGAAATGCCCTGAAGACAGAGTCAAGAGTTAAAGTGGAAGGAGAAATGCCTAAACGGGAAAGACTGTTCATTCTACAGTGCCCTGAGTATGACCATTTTCTAAGCACAGCCCAAATAGCCATAGCTAAAGGTGCAGATGAGAAGTTAAAGATGCAATAGGACAAGCCCAAGAGCTCCTCCAGACATGCATCCAACTGTTGTTACCTTTTTGTGAGGGAATGTGAATCTGTGATAAAAGACTGAATTAAAGATTCTCCAGGAACCATGCATGGGAATGAATGCTTTCTAGTGAACCATACCGCTTCTCCTTTTAAATATCAAGGATTTAATGACAATTATAAAACATTTCAATTTTATTTGGTTAACTGTTCATCATCTTTAAGCCTCAGTGAAAGTTTGACTTCCTCCGGAAAGTGCCTCCAAAATACCTGGCATTTTCCATTATAGAACTTGAAAACATGGCAGATCCGATAACTACTGCTTATTTTTTTTAAATTTTATTTATTTATTTTTTTACCAATTTTGTTTTGCCTAAAGTAATTCCTCTGGGACATGATTTCCCAACTAATTCTCCAAATTCTCATAACTCTTTCACTAGTCTTTTTAGGATAATCTTCTATTCTAAGACAAAGCCTAACTTCAGTAAAATTGTGTACAAACACATACAACATTAAATGAAACCAGATCTTAAACAGAGGGTGCATAAGGAGTGTAACATGGGGACTTCAGGGGAAAATATGCATTAGAAGGGAAAGAGAACAGAGTTAAGATGCCAGTGGAGGTTGAAATTCTGAGAATGAGTTTCAGAATATGTGAGAATATTTTTGAGAACTATTTTTAATTCTCAGTAGAGTATAGAAGGATGTAGCCTTTGAATGACGTTAAAAATTCACTAGAAGTGTGAAGAATGTTATAATATCACATGCCTCAAAACACAAATTCCTTAACATAGAGATTAAAATGTTTTAAAATATTGGATAATAATTCAAGTCCATATTTGAGGTAGAAGATAAAATAAAGAATAGCTCATATATCAAATTTATTATGTGAAAAAGACTTTTGGAAAATTGTTCATAATAAATGAAAATATAAATAAAAATTAAAATTTATAAAAAAGCATTAAAATAAACTGTGAAAAACTTAGAAGAGGGTAAACTTGAAAGTTATTGAATTTTTAACCTCAAAAATCTGAAAAAAGTCAGTTCATTAGTGTCCTAAAAAAATAAAAATAAACGTAATAATGTAACAGGAGAGTAATTAAGAAAAAAGTAACATTCACAAAGGAAAATAAAAAAATTAAAAAATATTTGATTTCATACTTTGTGTTTAAGATCAAAACATACTCTGAAATGGTTCAGGGATAAAAAGATGTCAAACTTCCAAATATATTGTAAGTGATGATTATAAAAAATAAATACATAAATAAATATAAGATGTATTCTAACTCGGAAAAAGGGGAAGTCACATAGACTTGATGTTAGAAAAGAGATGTGGAATACTCAGAATCTGAATTTAGGAAAAGAAGTACTGTCTTCCCAATTGTAAATGTTAGGATGATGCGTATAAAGCAGTGAAAATAAAAATACAGTTGTGTTTTTGTTGTTATGTGGCTCTTTTATGAGCCAGACATTTTTTCAAATTGCCAAAGAGCGTGGCCCCCCAAAATATGTGTCTAAGTCCTAACCCCTGAAACCTGTGAATATGACCTTTTGAAAATAGGATCTTTGCAGATGTAATTACCTTGGTAATCTCCTAATGAGATTAGTCTGGGTTTAGGGTGGGACCTAAGTCCAATGACTCGTATCATTATAGAAGAAATCAAAGGAAGATCTGAGACACATCGACAGCCATGTGGAGACAGAGGCAGAGACAGAGCTCACTGGAGCTATGCTGCCACAAGCCAATGAAAGCTAAATGTTCCCATCAGCCATCAGAAACCAGCAGACAGGGAGGGGCTGGATTTCTACTCAGAATCCCCAATGGGAACCAACTCTGTCAACGTGTTGATTTTAAATTTTAGGTTTTCAGTATGTGAGAGAGCAAATTATTGTTTTATCTGTGATAGTTTATTACAGCAGCCCCAGCAAACTAAAATGTAAATGTTTTACACTTATTATTAATATCTTATTTTTCGCCTTGAATTTCTATGAGGTCATTTTATGCTTGCTGTTCTATTACTTCCATGATGAAACTGCGACCAGGTGTGGAGGCTCATGCCTGTAATCCCAGCACTTTAGGAGCCTAAGATGGGAGGATCACTTGAACTCAGGAGTTCAAGATAAGCCTGGGCAACAAGTGAGAAATCCCCTTAAAAAAAGAAATCTCTTAAAAAAAGAAAGAAAGAAGCTGGGAAATACTAAGAATTTATACAGGGCCAGGCACGGTGGCTCACGCCTGTAATTTCAACACTTTGGGAGGCTGAAGCAAGAAGATTGCTTGAGCTCAGGAGTTTGAGACCAGCCTGGGCAACATAGAGAGACCCCATCTCTAGAAAAACAAAAATTTAGCCAGACCCACACTTGTAGTGCCTGTAGTCCCAGCCACTCTGGAGGCTGAGGTGAGAGGATGGCTTGGGCACAGGAGGGCAAGACTTCAGTGAGCCTTGATTGTATCAGTGCACTTCAGACTAGGCAACAGAGTGAGACCCTGTCTCAAAAAAATTAACCTTGTGAACTGTATGTGATTGCCCCCTTTTCTGTGTTAGAATACATCTTTTATTTGTTTACTTTTTACTTTTTATCATCATCACTTGTAAAATACTTAGAAGTTTAAGACATCCTTTTATCCTTGAACCATTTGAGGGTAAGTTTTGATCTTAAACATAATGTATGGACTCCTGTGACTTTGTGAAGCTGTATGAATTCTTAATTTTTAATTTTTATTAATTTTTTTAATTTTTGTGACATGAAAAGTAAAAAATAAAAATAAATAAATAAAAATGTATAACCTTCACAAAGTCATGTTTTCTATTTTATAGAGTAAAAATATCAAAAAATAACAAGAGACTTTGAAAAGAACATTCAAACAACAAAATAGATTTTGTAAATTAAAAATACCATTACATAAATAAAAACTTCAGTGGAATATTAGGAAAATAAAAAAGTGCCTTTGAGCACTTTGAAAACTTTGCAGACGACCAAGGCTGCATGCAACCTGAAGTTACAGACAACACAGAACTTTTCATATTCTACAATAAATGTTTCCAATTAAATTCTAGATGTCATGCTATAGATAAAACTGTAAAATATCCAGGACTTTCCGTCCAGAAGTTCACAATTTTATAAACAAAAAAAAAATTAAAGGACATACTCACCTGAATATTCTATAACTGGTCTGAACAGTGCTTGCAGGAAAATTCATGCATTTGGCTCAGGAGTTGGGTGTCCCCTGGGCTTTCTGGATAACAGATGTTATTCTCTGAGATTTCCACAGTCTAGCAAATTCCAAATGCCTCTATAAATAATAAGCCTTGCTTTTTGGAGGCCAATGTATTATAGGATCCTTAAATCCCCTCCCTTATTAGGTTTCTGCAGTACAGAGGACCAATGAAAGGATTTACCCTTCCACCATTGTTTACATCAACTCAATTTCTAATCTCTGTAAATAGCCCTCTACAAACACCCTCTAGTTGTGGTTAGTGCTGGTTTATCTTGTCATTTATTTATTTATTTATTTATTTATTTATTTATTTATTTAGAGAGGGAGTCACCCTCTGTCATCCAGGCTGGAGTGCAATGGCATGATCTCGGCTCACCACAACCTCTGCCTCCCAGGTTCAAGGGATTCTCCTGTCTCAGCCTCCCGAGTTGTTCAGATTACAGGCATGTGCCACCAGGCCCGGCTGATTTTGTATTTTTAGTAGAGGCAGAGTTTCACCATGTTGGCCAGGCTGGTCTCAGACTCCTGACCTCCAGTGATCTGCCCGCCTTGGCCTCCCAAAGTGCTGGAATCACAGGTGTGAGCCACCATGCCTGGCTTTTGTCATTGATTATTAAACAACACCCACGTGGCAAATTCATGTTTGATTTTTTGGGGCCCCAAGTCTACTTTCATTTCTGCTCCCACATCTGATAGTATTTTTATATGATATTTGAATACATCATTCCATTCTTTGATAATTTCTGCCCTTTCTTCACTGAAATCTAGGATCTGCTACCATCTCACCTGGCTCATCGACATGTAAATCCCTTCAGTACTGATCAATTTCTACCAGTCTTTAGATTTGAAGACCAAAATGCTAATGACCATGATGGATGGTTTTGGAAAAAGACAAGTAGAGCCTCAATGTCTGGCACCTATGGCTGATTTAATTTTAAACTCAGGGAAATGAAATAGGTACTGTGCATAAAAAATATTCAGGTGATTTTATTTAAAGCATTTTTACTAAATTCAAACTAATCAAAAAAACCTTTATTTAAATGACAACTTATTTCAATAATTTTTAAATTTTCATTTTTAATCAATATATAAAAATTGCACATATGTATGACATACGATATAATATTTTGATACATGTATAAATTGTGCATTGATCAAATTAGGGTTTGACAACCTCAGGCTTCATAATTTATGAAATAGACCTCTGCCATTTAAAAACTTTATATCTAAACTTACCAACTAGTAATTAACTGAACATATCAAATAAGATATTATTTAAAAGAGCCTAAATTAATAAAATGTTTAAATACATTTTGAGCTTTAAAATACAATAAATAAATATGACTTATTTTAGAAAAATTTTTTTAAAAAATAGACAAAGGTGGATATAGACAAAAACATGTACAGAAAAATATCAAAAGGACTAAACCCCTTGGAGATTTTAATGGTAAAAGCTTGCTGATATTATTTTTAAAATTATCAACTTTTAAAAAAACATTTTATGGCCATTTGTTAATGAGCATAAGCTTCTACTGAAAATGAAATATTTGCTTCTATAAGAATATACTCTCAGATATTGTATGAGAATATACTGCAGCATTGTATGAGAGGCAAAAAACTAGAAGCCTTTGGAATATTCATCATGGGAGAATGGCTGGGCACATTAACGTACATTCACAGTAGGGAATATTCTGCAGCCATCACGTAAGTTAAGATCTAGATGTATTGATCTGAAGGGACATCTACAAAATATATATATTTTTTGAGCCGGAGTCTTGCTCTGTCGCCCAGGCTGGAGTGCAATGATGTGATCTTGGCTCACTGCAACCTCTGCCTCCCGGGTGCAAGTGATTCTCCTGCCTCGGTCTCCCACGTAGCTGGGATTACAGGCGCCCACCACCGCTCCCAGCTAATTTTTGTATTTTTAGTAGAGACAGGGTTTCGCCATGTCGGCCAAGCTGGTTTTGAACTCCTGACCTCAGGTGATCTGCCTGCCTCAGCCTCCCAAAGTGCTAGGATTACAGGTGTGAGCCACCGCACCCAGCCTACAAAATATTTTTTAATGAAAGAAGCAACTAACTAAAACTTTGTATAGTAGTTATGTTTTTATATTTTATATTCATATATGCAGTGATGCTCAATGGGAATTTTGCAAATCCAGGGGGCATGTGGCAATGGCTGAAGATATTTTTGGTTATCATGTCAGGGAGGTGCTAATGACATAGGGTTAAATCCTACAATGCACAACCTCCCTCAAAGAATTATCAACCCAAGATGTCAGTTGTGCTGAGCTTGAGAAACTCTGTCATAGGGAAAGGAAAAAAAGGATAAGCACCAAACTGCTAGCTTGTTCCTTATATATCTGTGCTGTTCAACTTATAATGTACATTTATTTTGACAACTGAAAATTATCCTATAAAAATAAGTTTATTGTGCTGGCAAAGACAATGATAGAGCAGAGGTGGCAGACTGTTCCCCAAGCCAACTGTTTCCAAAGGAGACCTGAGGGACTGGGTGTGAGTTGACAGTGGTGGGAGCTGGAAGCAGCAAGGGATGCGGGGACATCTGGGGAGCCTGGACCTGACCTTGGAGCTCACTCACACAATCTAAATAATCCCAGAGTGAGGCTGAGGTTTTCCTGAGTTGGATGAGGGCCTGCGAAAATTTCCTATTATTAGGCAAGCCTACTATGAGAGTGAGAAGCCTAAACTCAATTTCCATTTTATAGCCTGGAGTAAACCACTTCTGGTCAGGCAGCAGGGAATCATAACATATCAGAGCTGAATACCTCACTGGTTTGCTGAGGGGCAAGTTAGTAGGTGTTCCTCAGAAAGGATTTTGTGGTCAATTAAGACAGGGAAACTCTGGCTTAAACTGCAGGTAAATTAAATAAGAGGTCTTTACTGCAAGCCTAATCAGAGCCTTTATTATGCTAGTGTCCATCTCCAAAAGGGTGGTCATCAAATGCAGGCCCTCCCTGTCTTGACCAAGTCCTTTTTCTTGAGATCATGTCTTGAGACTTGGATGCCATGCAATACACTTTGGGAAATACTAACCTAGTTGAACGACAGTTTTACTGATGTAGAAATGGCGGCCCAAAGGATAAAAAGTAGCTGAACTAGCTGGTGGGGCTACTTTCCAGACCAATGCTTTTTTCTCCTGCCTAAGACCTTAACCACAGTTGCAAATTAACTACAGATCCTCAGAATTTTCGCCCAATTCAACTTGGAGGGGTTGCAGTGGAGGTGAGGGAGAAGGGAGTAACAGTGAAGCCATTCAAAGCAAAAACCACCTTTAAAGAAATTTTGGCCTTAGAATACAGGGTTTTTTTTTTTTTTTTTTTAATTGGTGGAGGGGGCACCCAGGAAGACCAGACGTGCTCCTGTGAAGCAACGCTCCACCACGTCCTTTTGAAAATACCGTAGCCTGCATGAGACAGGCGGGAGCACCTAAGCCTTCAACTCTCCCCATGTTGCCTCCAATTGACCTCACTGGGCCAGGAAAAGCCCTATAAACTGGTTTTGTATACTCTATCCAAGTAGTAAATTTACTAAAATTACTGGATCCTACTATATACCAGACCTCTGCAAGGCATTGAAGATTCAATGATGAGCATTAATTCCCACTCTAAGGGGATTTTTCTATCTGGTAGGGAAACTCAGATACCGCATGCAGCTAGCCTGTCACAGGGCTATACTGACTAAAGCTCACCCTAAGAAATTTGCACATCTTAGCCTATGGGCAACGGGAAGCCATGGACGGAATATGTTTTCCGTTTCAAACAAGGAACTCCAGTCACAGCAGGCTCTAACTCCATTTCCTATTATCAACTCCCCTTCCTGCTCCTCCTCCCTTAGTAGCCTCGAAAAAGAGTGGCCACTTCCTTCACATCACCAGGGCCTTGGTCCTGGTAGGGGGTCCCGCCCCCGGCCCTGTCCTCCTCCCCAGGCCGGGACCTCCGCGCCTCCCACACACAGTACAACTCTAACACGAAACTGGGCCAGGACTGCAGGTAGGTCCCGTCCAATGCGACACGCTCGCGACGGCCCACGCACTGCCAGAACCAGCCCTGCCACTAACCAGCCTAGTAAGGAACGCAGTGATCTTTAGGAGCCCACTTCTAAATTCAAATCATTTGGGGTTCAGTAAGTCTCTTCACAGACGGGGACCTAATAGCTTCCATTAGCAGCCTCCACGTTTGCTGAACACGACTACGGGGCCAGACCCACAGGAACTCCAATGTGGTTCAGCCGCTCAACTCCAGGGACCAAAAAGACTTTCCCACCTCCCAGCGTTATTAAAGGCAACCCCGCCCCCAAGCCTCAGCCACTACGCGGTGCAGAAAGAGGCAGAGCTGGGCATGCGCAATTTCCGCCCCCGCCACAGTCTTGGGAGTGGGCGGGCTCGAGGGCTGGGAGGAAGCCGAAAGCTGACCGAGAGGAGAAAGAAGCCCGCCCCCGGAAGTCCCTCCTGTCTCTGCAGCTTGTTCCCGGAAGTTTTGCTGCTAGTCGCGGACGCAATGGCTTCAAGGTTACTTCGCGGAGCTGGAACGCTGGCCGCGCAGGCCCTGAGGGCTCGCGGCCCCAGTGGCGCGGCCGCGATGCGCTCCATGGCATCTGGAGGTACTCGGGTCTCCGGGCGTGCCAGGGACCAGAGTGTTGCCCTCCCAGGGTGGTCCCAGGGCGGCAAAGCGGCGCGGCTCGTGCAGCTTCTCGAGGTCCCAGTGGCCGCTTTACGGTCCCCAGTGCCTCAGGCTCTGCAGGCATCTCCCTGTAATTCTGGACCGCTGCTCCTGCCGCTCCCCGAACTCACTCCGCTGCGAAAGTATCCTAAACGGAGGTGCCGGGTGACCTTGGGAGGGACCGGGGCTGCCACCGGGATGGGGAGGGGTCCGGCCTCCCTTCAAACCTGCGCCCACCTCAAGCAGAGTGGGTTCTACATGCTTTTAGACAAATGTCGACAAATTTGCCTCGGTGGTTGGAGAAAGAAAAGCTCATAGGCCGGGCGCGGTGGCTCACAACTGTAATCCCAGCACTTTGGGAGGCCGAGGCGGACAGATCCCCTGAGGTCAGGAGCTCAAGACCAGCCTGGCCAACATGGTAAAACCCCGTTTCTACTAAAAATACAAAAATTAGCCGGGCGTGGTGGCGCGCGCCTGTAGTCCCAGCTACTCGGGAGGCTGAGGCAGGAGAATCGCTTAAACCCGGGAGGCGGAGGTTCCCGTGAGCCAACATCGCGCCATTGCACTCCAGCCTGGGCAACAAGAGCAAAACTCCGTCTCAAAAAAGAAAAAAAAAGCTCCCCCGAGTGCTGCCGCTTGTGTGGATGGGTACTTGGTGGTTCTTAGGGGACCATGGATATGAGTAGCCTTTAGGAGCTTGTGAGCCCGCTAAAACTTATACAGAAGTTTCGGGGCACCATTTTCCTTGATCATTTCTGTTTGTAGTTTTTCTATCAGTCATTTCAGTCAGCGTCATAATTCACGTTATCTTCCTTTAGGTGGTGTTCCCACTGATGAAGAGCAGGCGACTGGGTTGGAGAGGGAGATCATGCTGGCTGCAAAGAAGGGACTGGTAAGGAGAAACTCCCTTCTGTGTCTTCTGTGTAACTTATGGCCTTGGATGTGTTCATAGTGGTCTCCTCTCTGGGAGTATTTGATACAGGAAACTTGGCTTGTAGGAACAGTCCCCTGAGCTTCTGGAAGGTAGGGCTTATTTGGCCTAATGGTTCAATTCTTGTTTTTTTTGTTTTGTTTTGTTTTTTGTTTTTTCTTCAGGACCCATACAATGTACTGGCCCCAAAGGGAGCTTCAGGCACCAGGGAAGACCCTAATTTAGTCCCCTCCATCTCCAACAAGAGAATAGTAGGCTGCATCTGTAAGTACCTCACCTCTATTTTTTATCCACTTGCTTAATATATCCTACAATAGTGTGTAAGCTGCCTCAAATCTTCAGTGTGTGAGTGCATGTTGGTAAGTTTGTCTAAGGGTCTTGACACTCTCAAGCCTCATTATGCCTGATAGTTCATCCTTACTGGAAAGAAGCGCAGCACAGCGGTAAGACTGGCTCACTGGGAGTGCGGCATGAAGGAGTACCCACCCAGCAAATATTTATTGTTATACTGCTTCTATGCCAGGCATCATTTTAGACACTAGGGATACATACCAGAACGGACCCTGCTTTGCGTTCTACATAGGCAAGGGAATTGTTAGAATTTACAGTGACCTTGATACAAGGTCAGTTTACTCATAGGTGAACTCAGAGCCTCAATTTCTTCATCTGAAGAATGGGAGGAGGGCTTGAACTGATCTCTTAAGATATCAACCATAGTCTTACTTGTGTATCAGAGATGTCTGAGGAAAAGAAATTCATGTTGAAAGTCTCCCTTTCTAGGTTGGATGACCATAAACCACCTTTTTTCCCTTTTAGGTGAAGAGGACAATACCAGCGTCGTCTGGTTTTGGCTGCACAAAGGCGAGGCCCAGCGATGCCCCCGCTGTGGAGCCCATTACAAGCTGGTGCCCCAGCAGCTGGCACACTGAGCACCTGCACTAAATTACTCAAAATGTGCTGTAAAGTTTCTTCTTTCCAGTAAAGACTAGCCATTGCATTGGCTCCTTCTCCCATAGATGGCTGGTCTTATTTCTTACCCGTATTCTTTGGTAGGCATGGAATATGCTTATTTTGGGAAAAGCTGTCTGTTAATGCTAGCTTGCCATCCACTTACTGAAAGTGTATAACCAGTGTATAGTGCTTAGATTAATAATAAGAATAGATCGACAACCCGTAATGCAATGAATGGGACCACCTGGTATGAGAGAAAGGGGCGGGCTGAGGAGTCAGGCTGACAGGACTTAAAATATTGGCTCCATCATTTGGCTCTATCTCTGTGGACATGTTCTCTGGGGGTCAAGTACAACTACAAAAAGGTAAGTACCTTACAAGGTGCTTAATATGTAAAGAGCTGAGTGGATAGTAGGTCCTCACAGTATCCTCATAGAGACAGGGTGGCCTTGTGAAGAGAGTTTTGGGGATTTTGAAGTCTTGAGGGACCCAGGTGCAAAGTAAGAATTCATGGGGATACCAGCAGCAAAATTCAGAATATGGAACAATTTCAGAAATCACTGACCATGTTTCTTCAAATAAATTGCAAGGAGTGGGGGGAAAAGCTAGGGAGAACATGTGGAGAAACAGATAAGGGAGATACCAGTCAGCAGCATGCACACCTTGTTTAGATCTTGATTTGAAAACAATTATAAAGGAAAAAAAATTGAGAAGAATTTGAACTCTGGATATTTGATATGTAGACATTTACCACCCTTTCAGGTATTTATATAGTTTTGTTTTGTTTTTTTTAATGCTTGAGATACGCACAGGAATAAGGGAGGGGAGAAATGCCAAAAAAGCCCACTTTAGCTGCTTCATACCTGTGACACCTTGGGACAAGTTAAAATCTCAAAACCCTCTTACCTACAAAATGGAAATACCTTTTCATTTTGTGTGGAGATTAGCCAGAGGTGGCTTCAGTTACTATCTTCACAAAATTGGTCGAAAGTAGGTATTTCAGTGGGAGCTGATAGAGTCAGAGAAAAGCCCCTTCCCCTCATCTTGCCCATCCTGAAGGTGTAGTCAAAGCTATTGCTTCCATCCTTGTTGTTCATGACCTGTGTCCAGGAAATGTCTAAGCACTGACCTGCCATTTAAGGCCCTTTCCTCTGGGAAGGGGAGCTCTCAGATAACCCCCTGTGAAATCTAACCCCTACACGCCCATGAGATTAGTCTGTGCTGTCACTAAGCCCTCCTGTGTGGCTGGCCTGCCTTTCCCTTTCCACATCTCTTCCAACTCAAACTCGGCTGAGGGAGACTTTTGACTCCCCACATCATTAATCCAGTCTGTTTTCTCCCTCCCTCATCTCCAAGTCTTTGCTTTTCTTTTTTAAAATTTAACCAATTTACTTGTAAAGAAAAATTGGCTGGGCATGGTGGCTCATGCCTGTAACCACAACACTTTGGGAGGCTGAGGTGGAAAGGACCACTTGAACCCAGGAGTTTGAGGCTTCAGTGAGCCATGACCGTGCCACTGCACTCCAGCCTGGGTGACAAAGCAAGACCTTGTCTCAAACCAAAAAAACAAGCGGAAAGAAAAATCTCCAGTACATTTCCAGACAGTGGCAGGCAGAATAATGATCCCCCAAAGATGTCCGCGTCATAAATCCCTAGAATCTGTGAATATGTTAGGTCACATAGCAAGAAGGAATTAAGACTACAGATGGAATTCAGGTTGCTAATCAGCTGACCTTAAAACAGTTATTCCCAGATTATCCAGGTGGATCCAAAAAGCACAAAAGAGGCAAAAGAGAGTCAGAGATGTGACTCAGAATGGTCAGAGAGATGCAATGTTGGTGGCTTTGAAGATGGAGGAAGGGGTCCACGAGCCAAGGAAGGCAAGTAGCTATTCTAAAAGCTGGGAAGGGCAAGGAAATGATACTCTAGTCTTCAGAAAGGAGTGAAGCCCTGCTGATACTTTCACTTCAGCCTAGTGAGACCCACATTAGACTTAGGAACCGTAAGATAATAACTAACTATTTTTTTTTTTTGAGACAGAGTCTTGCTCTGTCGCCCAGCCTGGAGTGCAGTGGCACGATCTTGGCTCACTGCAAGCTCCGCCTTCTGGGTTCACGCCACTCTCCCGCCTCAGCCTCCTGAATAGCTGGGACTACAGGCGCCTGCCACCACGCCCAGCTAATTTTTTTTTTTTTTTTTTAGTAGAGACGGGGTTTCACTGTGTTATCCAGGATGGTCTTGATCTCCTGACCTGTGATCCGCCCGCCTCGGCCTCCCAAAGTGCTGGGATTACAGGTGTGAGCCACCGTGCCCGGCCATAAACTTGTGTTATTTTAAGCCACTAAGTTTGTGAGAATTTTCTGTGGCACTAATAGGAAAAGAATACACAGATCAATAAATCCAATCCCTGAGTCAGTAGGTCTCATATTTAGCTGCACCTTAGAACCACCTGGGGATCTTTTACAACTCCCAGTGCCCAGGCCACACCCAGACATTAAAATAGTATCTTGGGGTAGGACCCAAGCATCAGAAGTTTAAAGTTCCACAGGTGTTTCCAACAGCAAGGCTGAGAACTGCTTCAGGCTAACCATATGGAATAGCTCGCTTCCTTGCCTCATGGTAACTGGGAGCCCTAGTGGTAGGGGGAAAGATATAATGTTCCCCACTAGGAGGACAAAACTTTTGCTTTTGGGTAGAAGTGGGCTCCATCTGAACCTCTGGCCACTTAGCAGCTTAAATTGGATGCCATCTCCACTCACCAAGGAAGAATATAAGCCTCACTCTAACTGTATTAAACTCTTTCCAAGTATACAAGGAAGAACTTTTTCCCAGGGCCATTTGAAAGTAAGGTGATCTGATGCCCCATCACACGCATGTTTATTTCTTACAAAGACATTCTCTTAATACCCACAACATGACCATCAAAATCACAAAACTACGATTTGTATATTTCTACCATCTAATCTTCAGACTCATTTAAGTTTTGCTAGAAGTTCCAATAATGTCTTCTATAGCAAAAGGAGTCAACTCAGAATCACGTGTTGCCCTTAGTTGTTCCATCTGGAACAGTTCCTGTCTTTCCTTGACTATCCCGACCTTGACACTTTTAAGAATTATACCAACAACTTGGGTTTGTCTCTTTCACACTGGATTCAGGTTACGCATGGTGGGCAAGGAATGCTGCCCCCTTCCTGGGAGGCACGTGATGCCCACTTGTCCACTGCTGAGGAGGTTCACTTCTGTCACTTGATGAAGCTAATGTCTGCCAAACTTCACTGTGAAGTTGCTCTTTACTATCTTATGAGGCACTACTTAGAAATGTCAATACCTTGTTCCTCATCAAACTTTCAGCTTACTAATTATCAGTATGGATTCATACTTTATTTTATTCAGTGGATTATAATCCATGGCTATCATTATTTATTTTTTGATGTTTAATTTGTTCCAAATTTGGCCAGCGGGAACCTCTTCTAGCTGGCTCCTGTGGCCTTTTGACATGCCTCTATCATTTGAGATGGAGTCTCACTCTGTTGCCCAGGCTGGAGTGCAGTGGCATGATCTTGGCTCACTGCAAGCTCCACCTCCTGGGTTCATGCCATTCTCCTGCCTCAGCCTCCCAAATAGCTGGGACTACAGGCGCCCGCCACCACGCCCAGCTAATTTTTTGTACTTTTAGTAGAGACAGGTTTTCACCGTGTTAGCCAGGATGGTCTCGATCTCTTGACCTCGTGATCCGCCCGCCTCGGCCTCCCAAAGTGCTGGGATTATAGGTGTGAGCCACTGCGCCCGGCCTCTTTGAGCATTTCTTTTTATTTTCTGGAATAAAATGTTCCAGGCTTGTCTTCCAGGCTGTGAATAAACCCATGAGGAAGCTGCTATTATTACCATCCCCATAATAGAGATGGGGAAGCCTGGGGACAGCTCAGGAATACACAGCTAGCAATTTCTTGTGGCAAGATTGTGAACCCAGACCATAGCTCCAGACCCTGAGCTCTTTTCCCCCACCCCAACTTTTAAGTTATTATTTTTGAAACAGGGTCTTTGTCACCCAGGCTGGAGTGCAGTGGTTTGTTCATAGCTCACTGGAACCTCGAAATCCTGGGCTCAAGCAATCCTGCAGCCTCGGCCTCCCAAAGTGCTGGGATTACAGGCATGTGACACCACACGCAGCGCAATTTTCTATTTTAAAATAATTTTAGACTTACAGAAAAATTGCAAAAAATAATAGAGTTCCTACTTAACCTTCACTCAGTTTTCCTTAATGTTAACACCTGGCAGTACCATAGCATAATTATTGAAACCAGGAAATTAACACTGATGCAGTACTATGGACTAACCAGCAGACCTTATCATGATTTTGCTGGCTTTCCTGGTAAGGTCTTTTTTCCAACCTAGGATCTCACATTGCACTTGGTCTTTCCTTGTCCCCATGACCTGCCACTTTTGAACAAGGCAACTCTATTCATTTGTAGACTGCCCTCAGTTTGGGTTTGCCTACTGCTTGCTCCTGGTTAGACTGAGGTGATGCAAGAATACCAGAGGGAAAATCAGGCCCCTCTTAGTGCATCATCAAGAGACAATGACTTATGGCCAGGCCCAGTGGCTCATGCCTGTAATTCCAGCACTTTTGGAGGCTGGGACAGGCAGATAACTTAATGTCAGGAGTTCGAGACCAGCTTGGCTAACCTGGTGAAATCCCATCTCTACTAAAAATACAAAAATTGGCTGGGTGTGGTGGTGAGCGCCTGTAATCCCAGCTACTCGGGAGGTTGAGGCGGGAGAATCGCTTGAACCCAGGAGGTGGAGGTTGCAGTGAGCTGAGATCTCACCACTGCGCTCCAGCCTGGGCAACATAGAGAGACTCCATCTCAAAAAAGCAAAGAAAAAAAGAGACAATGACTTATGGCTGGGCTTGGTGGCTCATGCCTGTAATCCCAGTGCTTTGGGAGGCTGAGGCAGGAGATGTACTTGAAGCCAGGAGTTTGAGACTCACCAGGGCAATAAAGTGAGACCCCCATCTCTACAAAAAAATAACAACTAGTGGGGTGTGGTGGTGCCCACCTGTAGCCCCAGCACCTTGGAGGCTGAGGCAAGAGGATCCCGTGAGCCCAGGAGATGGAGGCTGCAGTGAGCCGTGATCGTGCCACTGCATTCCACTCTAGCCTCCACAACAGAGTGAGATCCTCTTAAAAAAAAACAGAGACAATGACTTATTACTGGAGATGTATACTCTGATTATTTGGTTAAGGTAGTGTCAATGTCTCTCCACCATAAAGTTACTATTTCTCCTTTTGTAATTAATAAGTATCTTGTAGAGGGATAGAGACAACACAAATGTCTTTACTTTTGCCCACTGATTTTTGTCTCCATTCTTACCTGCAACAATGATCACTATGGTGTTTCCTCAATGGTGACTTTTTTCCCACAATTCCTTTGACATCAATTGGAATTTTACCATAAGTGAGAACTGTCCCTTCTTCCCCATGTATACATTTATTCAGTTATTTATTTGCATGAGTATGACTCACGCATATTTTATGCCATGGCTTATCATCCGTTACAGATTTGAGCATTGGGTGCTCCTTCTAGTTGGTTCTTGTGTCCTTTAGACAAGCCCTTCCCTTTTTCACTTCCTTACTTTATGGTACCACAGAATATTCCAAGCTCATCTATTATTTTCCCTGTTTCAGGGAATTGTCCCAGGGGAAATGTCATGTCCCCTACTAGGAGGACCAAACCTTTGCTCTTGGGTCGAAGTGGCTTCTATCTGAGCTTAGTTTAGAAAATGGAGCCCATCTTCCCTCACCAAGGGAGAACACAGGCCTCACACTAATGGTATTAAACTATTTACAAGTACAGAATAAAGAACTTTTTCCCAGAATGGTATTTAGAAACCAAGATCTGGACACTGTATGTGCTCATTGCTATTGTAGTGTCATTGCTTCCAGACCTTCCCAACAGACAGGGCTAGGAAATGCATGTGTATGTTCTGATGCTGGCTCTCACACACAGATGTGTTTATTTTGGTATCTATCTGTATGTATATTAAAACCATGACTTCATACTACCTCCAACTCCAATCCAACACAGGCTTCATTCCAGCTGTACTACCTTCCTCATCTGTAGCTTTTTCCAACAGTAAGAAGCTGGCAGAGTCTGAGCACTTAAACCTGCCAGAAGAGGGGGTACAGAGGATGGTGCTTTGCCTTAAAGGACAAGATTTTCACAGGCACAAGCGAAGGTCATTCCCATGGAGAGAACAGCATGCCTGAAGGCTAGCAGGCAAAGGATGTGAGGGGTAAACCTAAAACAGGGAAGGAACAGATCTCAAGGGGCCTGAGTCAAACACAACATGTGGCTCACGTAGGTGGTTTTACCAGCATCACATCAATTGTTTCATGTCACGAGGCAGTGGAGAACCACTTGACACTTTGGAGTAGGAGGTGTCAGAACCAATCTTATCTGGGCTTTAGATCCACGAGCAAATAGATTGGGTGGCCAGGGAATGGAGCTGTGGTCATAGCTATGGTGGCAGTGGCTGTGCTGGAAAAGAACGGACCAGTGGGAAAGGTACTACAGAAGAACCACACAACCTGGTGACTGACAGAGTGGGAGAGACAGGGAAGAGGAAAGCGTCGATGGATAAGGCTCTAACCTGGGAGGCAGGGAGCCAGTGGTGCCATGAACAGAGCACTGTGGGAAGAACTGGTCTGGAGGGTGCCCTAATATGGAGTTCTCCGTGCAAATTCTGCTTTCCCTTTGAGGGCCAGTGCAAGCATAACTGCCTTGTGACCACAAAGCCTCACAAAACGCCTTGGCAGACAGGCCTCAGTACTCTCCTCACTCCTACCTCATCTCCTCAGTCCTGGGGCTGCCCTCACCCCCCACAAACCCCAACTGCCTACAACACACTGCTCTGGTCACCATCTTTCTATGGCTGGCCACCCATCTCCCAGGACACAGCTAACAATCCTCCATGTGCCAGCTCAACCCACCTTTTTTGTTCATCTCACACAATGACCACAGACCACTGACCTTTCCCTGCTGACTGGGCATTGGGTCCCTGCCTTCCTCTCCAGACCCACTGGTCCCAGGTGCTTCTTTGGGCTCTCACATCTGCATAGAATGCCTTCCCCATCCCTGGATAACCTCTGGATCCTTGCAAGTCGGCCTGCCCCACCTGTCGGGCCAGATGACTAACGCCTCGGCCCCCACAACTCTGTACTAAAATGGCTCATCTGTCTTTCTCCCTTGACGTGTGTATTTGTTAGGGCAAGGATATAACTTGTTGACCATTGGCCCCAAACACACGGCACCATCCTGGAAACACTGTAGGTTCTCAAACACTTAAGAAAGTAAAGAGCAGACATTCTCCAAACCCTAATTCCTCACTGCTCTTCTGCCTATTCCTCTAGGGCCTGGCTAAGCTCACAGCCTCTCTGCCTCTCCCTGCCTTCCCCATCCTGACTTGTCTGAAGGCGTGAGCTTGCATCATTGCTGGTGTCCACCAGCCTTAGCCCTGGCTGAATGGGGTGAGCAGAGGTGCTCAAATAGGCCTGTCCAGGGTCCGGGGGCAAAGAAGGTAGCCTGGTTCTACTTCCCCTGGTGGACTGCAGCAGGGGAGGTAACAGGCGAGGGAATTATGCTACAGGGTGAGAGCCCAGCCTCCTGAGGCTTTTTGTGCCACGTTGGCGGGCCAACCACTGAAACCTTCATGCCGCTAAGCTAGAGCCAGTGCCTTGCTGCATTCTCTCTGGTCCTTTCTCTGAAAGTCCCCAGGGATGGAAGAACAAACGATAGCACAGAGAGCCACAAGAAAACAGAGCCACACACTGGGCCTTGTCCATAATTATTACTATAATGATTTACAAAAGTTTTTTTCAGGCAACCGTGTTAAATTATTGTACATATCTGAGAGAGGGAGGTGGGGCCCTGGCCACAGCAAAAGTGACGACCTCTTTCTTGGGTGAGGTAAGAAAATGTCCCCCACCCCCTTTTAGGTCTGACTCCTTATTAAGTGGCTTCCCCTCAATAAATGATGAGCATCAACCCTTTCCCACCCAGGGTGCCGAGGGTAGAGGGAGGAGCAAGTGGATGAAGTGCTCTGAAAAGGATAGTGCAGCGGCTCTAGCCACCGTGCATCCTCTGCCCTGGCTCTGAAGGGCCTGACCCTGGGCTGCACCCCCTTGCTGGGGATGGAAGACCATTCAGTACTCAGCCCTACACCAGGGCATCTACCCAGGAAGATAGGAGGACAGAGTGTGAAAGGGGCTGTGTCACCCTGTCAGGTCACGAACAGGAGGTGGCAATGGATGCAGTGACACACCAGTGGGAGCTGCTGGCTGCCCCTTGCAGCCCACTCCCCAAACTGGCTACCCAGGCATCCAGGCATTCTGGCCCTGGAGCTCAGGGAGGCAGCCCTGAGAGTCGGAGCAGGGAACCACAGGCCTAGCTGGCCCTGCCAGGGGGATACCCACAACAGCCTGACATGGCGCTCAATTCCCACACGCCAGCTCAAGGCTCCTGTCCATGCAGCTCAATGTTACTTGTGTGTGCATGTCCTGTGTAGAGGGGAAGGCTGCAGGGGGGCACTGCTGTGCCACCCACCCAGGGGTTCAGGGCATGCAGGGGACCCTAAGCCTAGTATACGAGCCAAGACCAAAAAGGGTTAAAGGCTCTGTCTCCCCTCCCTCCCCCTCTCCCAACATGCCCCGCCCTCCTTGGGCACTAGAAAGTTTTGCGATGAATAGCACGGGAGCCATCCTCTTCATACTCCTTTTTGGACACCCACATCTTCTTAAAAGTGTCCAGCGAGGCCAGGATGGAGCCGCTGTGGGGATGGAGGGATAGTATTGCTGTGGACCTGTCAGGGAGCCAACCACCTTCCTGGGTGCTCAGAGTTGCATTTCCCTAATTTGGGAGGGAAATCCACCCACCTCCACGTGGCCTAGGCCAACAATGGGAGGAGCATCCAGGGTAAAGTGGTCTCCTCCCAGAGCCCTCCCTTGAGCCCCGCCTCACCCAATCCATGTGGAGTACAGCCGTTCCTGCGGGGCTGAGATCTAGAAGGAGGAAGTGGCCACGTTAACTGTGGATCCCCACCCAGAAGCCATCCTCCCAGCCTTGGGGTCACCTTCCCCAGGTCCTGAAGCCTGACAGCAAAGGCATAAGCTGGGGAGTGGCAGCAGCAGCCTTGGGAAGAACAGGACTAGGTGGACGTGAGCTGGTGAGCGGGTCTGGGGGCAGCATTCAACCTTCCTCCCCATGCCAAGGCTGCCAGCGCCCTAGTGCCCCAGGGGGAGTTTCTGTAACCTCACCTTGATTTTGATATCCTTTGGGGCAAGCTTCTTCACTTCACTGAGTAATCGGTCTCCGAAGCCTGTGAACACAAAGCTGGCTGAGCCTGGGGTCTGCACCCGGCCTCCTCGCTGCTAGCTCCCGCACCCAGCCTTCAGGGCCCCCAGCTACTGCTGGTCCTCTATCAGCAGCTCTTCCCAGGATGAAGGGCAAGGCTGAGAAATGATCCAGCCCCATGGCTGCCTGCGGGCCCTGCGTCCTCACAGAGGCAGCGTGAGATGAAGCCGCACATGCTCCTTGCTCGACTCTCACAATACACTTTAGAGCTTGTGTAAACTTCTCCTCTATTCACAGAGTAAACAAAATTTAATTTTAAATTTTGGTCTGTTAAAAAAAATGTTCATTGAGCACCACCAAAAAGCCAACAGAATATGGCTCTGGGTAGGGGTATACTCTCTGAGGGTCCAGCTGCCCTGGGCCTCGTCTCACCACCACCAACTCTCAAGCCACAGTACCTTTGAAAAGCGTTGAGCCACCTGAGAGCACGATGTTGGCGAACAGCGTCCGGCGCAGGTCCATGTCGGACTTGTGTATGGCGAAGGCCACCACCTCATGGAGCCCCTCACTCTCATCCCCGACAAGGTCCGGCTGGAACAGCAGCTCGGGGGCCCGGAATCGTGCAGGCCCCACCTTTAGTGTACAAGATTGAGGCAGACAGGCTTCCTGGAGAAGCGGGCTACCCCTTCCCCCAGGCTGGGCATCGGCTGCCACTCCAGTGCCAGGCCCGGCCACTTACATCAAGCGTGCTGCCGTCTGGCAACGTGTACTGCACCTTCTCCGTCTCCAGAGCCTCATCCTTCTGTGGGTTGATGGACAGGTAGCACGCTCGCTGCGGGGACAGGGACACAGCCCTCAGAAGGCTGCACCTGGGACACCTGTGCCTTGGTGCCACCCTTTCCTCACCCCAGGTCGTGTCCACACCCTCTCGCCCCTTGTCACCTCTTTGATTGTCCGGACAACCTCAAACTCAGCCGAGGTATGGAAGTCAACCCCTTCCTTGCGCAGCAGGAGTCGGAGGTAGCGGGAGACGTCGCGGCCGGCAATGTCCACCCGCATGATGGAGTGAGGCATGGCAAAGCCCTCATAGATGGGCACAGCATGAGTGACCCCGTCCCCTGAGTCTAGAACCACTCCTGTCGTGCGTCCTGTTGCGTACCTGTCACCAGGTCAGCATCCCCTCACCTCAGCCACTGAGGCACGGGGACCTCCTCACCCAGGGGAGGAACCCTGGCACATCTGCATTATCTAGTCTGAAGAGAGGACACGAGGGACTCCCTAGAGGAACAGTCATCAAGGGGCTGTTTTTCCAGGGAAGTCAGACCCTGGTCATGGCAAGCAGGACGGCACAGGGAGGACAGGACTCAGGGAGGCCAGGCTTAGGGAGCACTCACAGACTGAGCACAGCCTGCATGGAGATGAACAGGGCCGGCACGTTGAAGGTCTCAAAGAACACCTCTGCCGCCTTCTCCCGGTTCTTACTCGGGTTGAGCGGGGCCTCCGTGAGGAGCACAGGATGCTGCGAGGGACGGGACAGTTGTAGGCATCAGAGGAGGCAACTTGCAAGGCCCTAAAAGGCTCTTTCCAGAGAACCACACCCGCTGGCGCACAGGCAGCTCAGCCTCCTACCCCTCCTGAGGGCCCCATCCCTTTATCTGCTGGCAGTTACTCTTCCGGAGATCCGGCTCTCTTTGGAAGATTCTGCCTAGCAGCCACTGGGTACGTATGCGCACCCAGACACACACGGAAAGGCAGCAGGCCCTCTAGAAATGTAGAAGGGAAATGTGGGAGCCCGGCGAGGAGGGACGCAGAGGAGAGGGGCATGGCCAGGAGAATGCAGAGCATGCAGGAGGGGCAGCCGCCACACCTCCTCCGAGAAGGTCTGCAGCTGATCCTTGGAGTAGACGTACTGCCAGATGCGTTCCATGTCGTTCCAGTCTCGCACCACGCCGTGCTCCATGGGGTAGCGGATGGTCAGCAGCCCCCGGTGCTCCTGGTGGGGTGGGAAGGGAGGTGTGGCACCCGGCCCTTGCTCAGCGGCTGCTTTCCGCCCTCCTGGAAGCTGACCCTCACCTGCCCTGACCAGAACCTCACCTGCCCTGACCAGAACCACCCCTGCTCACTGGGTGTCCCAGGGTCTGTGGCGGGTCCTGAACTCAGCATGGGCTCACCTGCCCACCAGCTTCTTAGGCTCTTAGAGCCCAGCTAGCTTCAGCTGGGGGGATCAGAGAGGGTGGCAGTGTGCCCCGCAATCTGCAGGCTCTCTTCTTCCCCATTCTCACTGCCGGCACATCCCCCACATTCTCCTCACACTCTGCCAGCTCCCCTCTGGCCAGCGCCGGCACCTTGCAGCCGCCCAACACGGCCCCTCCTGGGCCACCTGTGCCCCCTGACCTACGCCTCTCCCCCCAGCCCTTTGGCCGGTCCTCACCAGTCCCCTGTTTGCACTGACATGCTGCCTCCACCTGCCCTTCGATGTCCCCCCAGCCATGCCCCTTCTCACCTAGCACCACTTAGCTCCTCTCACCACCTCGGCTCCTACGGACCCCATCTGCGAGACCCCCACCCTCTGCACCTCCAGCTCAGGCCTCCCCTTTCTGGGCCCAGAACCACGCATGCCCCACGCCCCGGCACCCGACACAATGCTCCTCAGGCGCCTAAACTGCCCTTGGCCAAGCTCAGCTTGCTGCTCTCCCCACACCCACACATGCTCTCCTGAGGGTCTGATCAGGCCATGCAGCCCCTTGGTGGGACACTCCGGCTTCACTGTGAGAGGCGGCCCCATGGCCCTCATTAGAGCAGACGTGAAGTGTGTGTGATTCTGACTCTTATATCACTTTTTGATCAGTTCTTGGTTCTGTAGCTTCCAAATAGCTTCTAAAAGACAGGACACGATGAGCTCTACCCATGCTCCCTAGAAGAGGAACTGCTGCCCCATCTCAGGGGGAGGTGCCCCTGCACAGCACTTCCCAGCTGGAGCCTGGAGGAGGTACCCGGGAGGTCACCAGCAGAGGCCCAAGAACACATGCCATGTTCCTGCAACTGAGGACCCCACCCCCAGGGAAAGGCAGGCTCCTCGGTGTTACCTCTGCTTTTGGTCCGATGAAGAGGTCCCCCTCCAGGGCTCCAGCCATCACCCGCATGTGCTTCGGCCGCCCGACACTGTTAGGACGGATAACGTCAGCAAGGTGGGCAGGGAGCATGGCAGAGCTTGTGTCCAGAAAAACCGAAATCCAACCATAGTCGCCCAGAGGGTACCTGGCCTCCAAACACCAGGATGTGGCTGGGGGGCACAGGTTGGAACTGGGGCCTATGGGGTTCGGGGCTAGAGAGGGGGCCTAGGCAGGACGAGAAGCTCAGGGTCAGAAGGCACGGTCAGCAGAGACAGCTGCATGTCTGAGCGCCAGAACCCAGCCCTCCATGGCCCAGCCCTTGCAGAGGGTCGGCTTCCTGCAGCCACAGTGACTCAGCCCACGCTCCTGACTTCGGTGGGGCAGGGCTGCCGTCACCATCCACAGACTGAGGGAGGACAACCCCAGGAAGCTGGGTCGGGGCTCCCTTGTGCACCCTGCTCTCACTCAGTCAAGCGCCCTACCCCACTGCCAGCGCTTCTGGATCAGAGATTCAGTTCTTGGAAACTATAGGATCTGATGAGCTACCACTAAAGGCAAAGGAACCTCTAATTATACCCATGCAGTCAGAAAGGAATGCTGAAGCTCGACAGGGCGCACCATGCTAGCTCTGTCCCAGACCAGGCCGGGCTCGGGCTAGCCTGCCACTCGGGGCCTAGGATCCCCTGCTGCCCGCTGCCTTTAGGCCACTCATTCCAAAGCCTCCAGGATTTGTGAAGAGGTGCCCCTAAGGGCAACTTTCCCAATGGGCTCGTGGTGGGTGCAAGGGGCACCCCAGGCTCTCTGGGTTTGCAATTCTTATTCCCGCCCCCACCAGTACCATACAGGGCAAAGGATCCCCTCTTAACTGAAACAAGACATTTTCTAGAGTCTGAAAACAAGCCCGGCAGAAAACACTTCCAGGGAGGAAAGGGTGGCTGTGCATCTAATTCCTCACTCTTCCTGCTCCGAGTTTAGGGCTCCCCTCGGAGATGTCTCCCTTTATTCTTGCTGCTGCTACCACACCCCATCCCCAGGGAAATGCTGGTTGCTTTTCCTCCTTGCTGGCTCAACAAGACCAAAACGAGAGACTCCCAAGACAAAGGGGAACCCTAGAACGCTTGTCTTGTTCTTTCAGTGCTCTCTCAAGAGTGTCAACCTCACAAATTTGGTGTTTTCCATACAGGTCAGGGCACAAATTGTCTTCAAAGAGCCCTGTGACAGAAGGCCAATGTTCTTACAGAAGGTAAACAAAAGGACTAAGGCTGCTGCCTGAGCCACACTTACTAGTTTGGGAAACAGTATTTGGGAATCTGGTCTCCTGCAAAGCCAGCTTTAATCACCCCCGAACCCTGCAAGGAAAAACAAAGTTGAGCTGCCCACATGCACCACCAGATGAAGCCAGTCCCCCGCAATGGAGAGAGCTGGCTGCCCCGTCAAGGCAGGCCAAGGAGGAAGCCAGGGACCCTGCCAGGATCATTTACAAGTACACCTATGGTTCAAGATTGGGGGCAATTTTGTATCCCCCTGCTCTGGCAACATTTGGCAATGTCTGGCAGCTGGGGAGAGGGGACATGCAGTGGGGGATGCTATTGGCATCTAGTGGGCAGAGGCCAAGGATGCTGCTCAACATCCTACGATGCACAGGCGAGCCTGCACTACCAACAAGGAGCTAGCCCAGAATGTCAATAATATAGAGATAGAGAAACCACGAAGGGCACCTTCCTCTGCACAACTAATGGTTGGCTCCAGCAGGATTCCATAGCACATGCTACTCCCAAAAGCTAGAAGAAACCCCTCTGTGTGGGTCTTTTTTTTTTTTTTTCAACAGCTTCCTTCTCCCCCAAGAACCCAGAAGGCATGGAACATGGACGACCTACAGGGCCTGCTGGAGAAGACCAATGGGTGCATGGGATGACCGGCAGCTTCCCTCAAGTGGCTTCCCAGAGACTACTAGGAGAACTTGGTCCTATCGCTGCCCCCACCTGGAAGCTGGACTTAAGGATCCCCCAAAGAACGGGGCAATTAGAAACCTCCCACCCAGCGAAGGGATAAGCTTCTCAACTCAGTCCCACCACTCTTCATCGCAACCCTCTGAGTCTGCAGCAGAAACAAACATCTCCAAGTTACAGAGGAGGGGATGGAATCCCCAAGGGGCCGAGCGGTAGCCCTTTTAACTTATAAGCCTGTTGATTAGCCTATACGAGTTATTTGCACGTCAAGAAAGGAAGTAGCCTGCTCCTTCCTGCAGCGTCCTGCTGGTGTGACAGCACGTCCCCAAGCTCAGTGCTAACCTCCTTATTAAACATCCCCTGCTGTGACTCAGGGAACCCACATGGGTACTCTAAAACAGTCATTCAGGGACCCCACGGGGTCATGTGGGAGGGAGACAGATCCCAGAAAGAGCACAAGTGAGTCATTACCAAAAACTCCAAGGCCCGCACACCGGACGCACATACCCAGCTAGGGGCAGACTCAAAGATCCCAGCCCTTATCTTCTCCCCATATCAGAGCTCGGAAGCCAGAAATCTTCCTAAGGCAGGTGAAAGCAAGCCGAGCCCCACTGCTGAAGGACAAAGCCACAGGAAGCCTGATGACATCTTTCCTCTGAGGCTTCCAAACGATCACCCCAAATTGCTTGCTGATACTGGGAAGAGTGGCCATGAACTCTCCATTGCTCTGCTGGCTGTGGAATGTTTGCTCAGCACAGGAAGCATTTAAGGAGAAAGTCAAAGTAGCCAAAAGGCAAACCAGATGGTGGTGGACATGTGGGTGACAGAGCATCCTGCATTTGTTGCCTCGGGGTGCAGCCCCAAAGATAAAGCCAGCAGTGTGCAAATGACAAATGCTACCCCACCTCCGCCAGGCAGCCAGAGCCAGGGCCGAAGGACGCGGAAAGGAACTGGTGTGGAAACCTGCCCAGGAACCGCACTCTCAACTGAGAAGAGTCCGGGGCGCGTCCCCGCCCGGCCGCCCGGCTGTCACTCAAGCTCTCCTGAACTTCCCCGCCCGACTCGGGGAGGGGTCGGGGAAGAGGCTCTGCGACGCGGGCGAGGGGGCTCGCCCCATGGCCGGCCTTACAAGGCCAAGAGGGCGCGCGCCCCCGGGGCGAAGCCAGCGGCCCGGCGGGGGCGACGGCCACGCAGTGAGCGGAGGACGCGCCGAGGCGGGCGGGGGTCTCTCCCTGCGCCGCCGCGTGCGCCCCCGGGGGCGGGGCGCCCGCCCTCCCCCTGGCTGCCGGGCCTCACGTTGTCGATGACCACAGGCTGGTTGGCGATGATGTCGTAGGACTCCATGGCCGGGCCGCGCCGGCCCTGCCCAGCAGGCGGGCTGCAGGAGGCACCGGATGGGCGGGCGGGCGGGAGGACCGGGACGGCGGCGGCTCCCGACGCGGCGCCGCTGCCCTCCCTCCCCGAGCCTGCAGCCTACGCGAGCCCCGCGGGGCTTTCTGGAGGGCGGGCCCGGCGGCCAATCATCGCTCCCACCTGGCCCGATTGACAGCAGGTGCCCGGGGCTGGCTGCGCGAAGGGGGCGGGGCCTCCGGAGGCTGGCCAGCCAATTGAGGTCGTCCGGAAAAAAGTGGTCGCGGCGTTGCCAAGGTAGGCTGCGCAGTGTCTGGGATGATGTCATGGCTCCGTCTTAAAGGGGACGCGGGCGGCAGAAAGTGGAGCTGGGCTGGTGTGCGCGCGGCCGGAGTCTGTGGAGCTGGAAATTCACCGGTCCAGGAAGACGTCTTTCCCGCGTCCCAGCACCGGTCCAGAAAGACGTCTTTCCCGCGTCCCAGCACCTCGGGCCACGCTCCTTCGTGAGAGCGCCCTCTCCAAGGAGGCCGGCCCTGGATATTTCACCCAAAATATTTATTTTTTCTTTTTTTCTAGGTAAGGTGTCTTGCTCTGTCGCTCAGGCTGGAAATCTTGGGCTCAAGCGATCCTCCCGCGCCAGCCAGTAGGGGGGACTACAGGCGCGCACCATATTTATTTATTTTTACTGAAATAGTCTCCGTAGAGACTGTTAAAAATTGCCGATGTCGACTATATTGCAAGTCGTCACGGTGGGGTATTGCGAAAAGTTTTCAATTAGCAATAATCGCGCTTCGGATAAACCTCATTGGCCACCATACGGCCACCGCGCAACGCTAGCTAATTAAAAAAAATTTTTTTTGTAGAGAAGGGATCTCGCTATGTTCCCCGGGCTAGCCTCGAACTCCTGAGCTTAAGCGATCCTCCCGCTTAGTCTTTCCAAAGCGTTGGGATTACAGGCGTCAGCTATTGCGCACGGCCCCATAATATTTCCTCGTTGAGCACTGAAGAAAAGATCCTTTTCCTTATAAAAATTACAGTTTCGTGGTATTTTGGTCCTGGCATTTATTGAGCACCTGCTCTGTGCCTGCGGAGCACTTCTGCCCACTTTACATAAGTTATATTAAATCCTTGCAACAATATCAGGTAGTTGTATTATTACTCCCATTTTTCAGTCAGGGTCTTCACACTTTGGTAACCTGCCCAAGATTATTGGGTGTGGAATTGGCATGCAGGTAGCCCCCTGCGGCACTGGAGTCAGCTGCTTCAAGAGTGCAGGATAGTTGAGTTCTACATTTGTTTACCAAACGGATCCATAGTTATTTCCCTGTATATATACCTCTCCCAATGGGTTGTGAGCATAAAATTTGTAAAATTGAAGCGGGTGTGCAGAAATCACAAGTGTACATGTACATTTCAATGAATGATTAAAATGTGGACACACTTGCATAACCACCGAGTTCAAGAAACAATATTGTTGCTGGAAAAGGGGTCCCGATCCAGACCCCAAGGGAGGGTTATTGGATCTTGCCCAGAAGAAATTCAAGGCAAGTTGCAGAGTGCAGTGAGAAGCGATTGTTTATTGAAAGCTACTCAGTTACAGAGTAGGCCATCCTCAGAAAGCAAGAGGGGGAACACACCCTCTTTATATTAAACTCTTCTTATAGAGGGGTCTTATCTATGTAAAAACTAAGCTATGTCTACATGAGGGTGGGCTGACAGCATAACAAAATTTAGTGCTTTTTGATTTAAAGAAAGTTATCCTTGGCATTTTAATGCATAAATACATCAAAGCATGACTCTCTCTCTCTCTCTCTCTCTCTCTCTCTCTCTCTCTCTCTCTCTATATATATATATATATATATATATATATATATATATTTTGTTTTGTTTTGTTTTTTTGAGACAGGGTCTCACCTTGTTGCCCAAGCTGGAGTGCAGTTGCCTGATATCAGCTCACTGCAACCTCCACCTCCCAGGCTCAAGCTATCCTCCTGCCTCAGCCTTCCAAGTAGCTGGGACCACAGGTGTGCACCATCACGCCCAGGTAATTTTTTTGTATTTTTAGTAGAGACCGGGTTTTGCTATGTTGCCCAGGCTGGTCTCGAACTCCTGAGCTCAAGCAGTCCACCCACTTTGGACTCCCAAAGTGCTGGGATTACAGGTGTGAGCCATCGAGTCCTGTAACTATAACTATCTTAAATCATATATTGTTAGGCAATATTGGAGCATCTGGACATTTTGTTGTTGTAGGATTTTGTCCTTGCAGGCATTACTAAACTGCTCTTTTAGCCATAGCATCTTATGACCATGGGTTGGGACTAGCAAGGAATGTGCCTTGCTAGTTTTAAGATGGAGTTGGGGCCGGGCGCGGTGGCTTATGCCTGTAATCCCAGCACTTTGGAAGGCCGAGGCGGGCAGATCACGAGGTCAGGAGATTGAGACCATCCTGGCTAACACGGTGAAACCCTGTCTTTACTAAAAATACAAAAAAGTAGCTGGGCGTGGTGGCATGCGTCTGTTGTCCCAGCTACTCAGGAGGCTGGGGTAGGAGAATCGCTTGAACCCAGGAGGCGGAGGTTGCAGTGAGCCGAGATCGCGCCACCAGCCTGGGCGACAGAGTGAGACTCCGTCTCAAAAAAAAAAAAAAAAAAAAAGATGGGGTTGAGATGGGCACGGTAGCTCATGCGTGTAATCCCAGTACTTGTGGAGGCTGAAGTGGGTGGATTGCTTGAGCCCAGGAATTTGAGACCAGCCTGGACAACATGGCAAAACCCTGTCTCTACAAAAAATACAAAAATTAGCCGGGCATGATGTTGTGCGCCTGTAGTGCCAGCTACTCCAGAGGCTGAGGTGGGAGGTTGGCTTGAGCCCGGGAGATGGAGGTTGCGGTGAGCCCAGATCGCACCATTGCACTCCAGCCTGGGTGACAGAGCCAGACTCTGTCTCAAAAAAAAAAAAAAAAAAAAAAGCAGTTGATTTTAAAATGGTGTCACCCTGTCTCTCCTAGGCTCCTGTTTTCCTAATAGCATGAACAGCCCCCCCGTCAGCTCCTACCCCTTGGTCTCTGACCTGTTCCTCCTCCGAGGTGACCTCTATCCTGAATTTTGAAAACATATTAGTATTGCCTGTTTCTGGACTTTGTGCAGATGAAGTCATTGGTATGTATTCATTTGCATCTAGTGTTTATACATTCATAAAATAGATCACTGTGTAGCCATTAAAAATAATGAGAGAGTGCTATATAATTTCATATGAAACATATCAGGACACATTGCTAAGTAAAAGCAAAGAGAAAGCAGACACCGAGTGTAGACTGTTATATGCATGAATGTCTCTGAACAGTATATGAGGCACCTTCAGGTCTCTTTTTTATTTTTTTTTTTTTTGAGACAATCTTTCTCTGTTGCCCAGGCTGGAGTGCAGTGGCGCAATCTGGGCTCACTGCAACCTCCACCTGTCGGGTTCAGGCAATTCTCCTGGCTCAGCCTCCCTAGTAGCTGGGATCACAGGTTCCCGCCACCATGCCCAGCTAAGTTTTTTTTTTTTTTTTTTTTGAGATGGAGTCTCACTCTGTCACCCAGGCTGGAGTGCAGTGGTGCGGTCTCGGCTCACTGCAAGCTCCGCCTCCCGGGTTCATGCCATTCTCCTGCCTCAGCCTCCCGAGTAGCTGGGACTACAGGCGCCCACCACCACGCCTGGCTAATTTTTTGTATTTTTAGTAGAGATGGGGTTTCACCGTGTTAGCCAGGATGATCTCGATCTCCTGACCTTGTGATCTGCCTGCCTCGGCCTCCCAAAATGCTGGGATTACAGGTGTGAGCCACCGTGCCTGGCCCCAAAGATGATTGTCTTATAAAAGCCTATGTAACCCTTTTCATTTTTTCTTTAAAAAATGTCTTCCTTTACCTCCTGGAACACATCCATACTTATTCCCATTGTAATGCCCGTTCCTGAATAAACATCATTGTTTTTTTAGAGAGGGAGAGAGAGTCCATTGGTGAGAGAGTCTCACCAATCTCCTGTCCCCAGGGCACTTCCACCCCTGGGTATTTGTACTGATCAACCAGGTTACGCTTTCAGCATTTGCAAACTCAGGATGGAGATTTTAGACCCTCTTCAACCTCCAGGTTTCCTCTTTGCAAAGGCCAGCAGCAGAAGCAAAAGAGATGGAGCCCGGGTTAGCATTTATTTTTCTATTTACCAGTCATTTGGAATTTGGACATTTTCTGTCCTGTGGTTGTGGTGAGGGTGTGGGTTTTGTGTTGTTTTATATATTCTTTGTTATTTTTTATTCTAGTTTTTGTTTTTGTTTTGGAAGGTATTTTAGAGAAATAAGATTTCTGTGGTTACCATGACCTGCTGTTACAGATTACATGGTACCCTCTCTTCATATGTTGAAGTCCTAGCCACCCCGCCGAACCTCAGAATGTGACTGTATTTGGAGATAGGGTCTTTACAGAGGAAATCAAGTTAAAATGAAGTCATTAGGGCAGGCCCTAATCCGATATGATCCTGTGTTCTTAGAAGAGGAAATGTGGACTCAGGTGTGTATGGAGGGAAGATGTCTTGCAAGCCCAAGGAGAAGATGGCCATCTGAGCCCACGTCCTGGAACAGAGACTTCCCTCACAGCCTCAGAAAGAACCAGCCCTGCTGACGTCTTGATCTCAGACCTCCAGCCTCCAGAACTGGGAGACGATTCAGTCAGCATCTACACAACACAGGGTTGAACTGTGCGGGTCCACTTCTATGCAGATTATTTTCTTTTTTCTTTTTTGAGACAGAGTCTCGCCCGGTTGCTCAGGCTGAAGTGTAGTGGTGTGATCTTGGCTTACTGCAGCTTCCACCTCCCAGGTGCAAGTGATTCTCCTGCCTCAGCTTCCCAAGTAGCTGGGACTATGGGTACTCGCCACCACACCTGGCTAATTTTTGTATTTTTAGTAGAGATGGGGTTTCACCATGTTGGTCAGGCTGGTCTTGAACTCCTGACCCCAAGTGATCTGCCTGCCTTGGCCTCCCAGATTGCTGGGATTACAGGTGTGAGCCACCGTGCCCGGCCCTATATAACTCTTTGTGCAAGTTTTTACCCCTAAAAGATATCTGCCATCTCAGCCATGGAACAGACACTGTAAGAACATGAAGGCTCAAGGGCAGGGCTGGCTACATAATTTGTGGGACCCATTACAAAATGAACATGGAGAAAAAACTAGAAAAAAGTGTAGTACAAGGTACTATAATAGATTTTTCCTTTGAAAACAGTTTAATACTTATAAAATGTAATAGAGGGAAATAGTGACACGTGAGTAACAAAATGGGCGTATCAATTGGTCTATGCTATTTTTGGTGTTATAATTTTACCTAATATAATAAGCAGCAACACTTTGTTAGTGAGACGGGCTTTCACCATGTTGGCCAGGCTGGTCTGGAACTCCTGACCTCAGGTGATCCGCCTGCCTCAGCCTTCCAAAGTGCTGGGATTACAGGTGTGAGCCTCTGCGCCCGGCTGTGATGTCTTGATTGATCATAGGATTTTTCTGGCTATTCTAGCTACTTCCAATTCGCTTCAGCCAATTTAGTTGAAGTTTTATCACTTGTGACTTCAGAGTCCTGGTTAATATCCTGTTGCCCTCAGGACATGCAGGATGGAGGAAGGCACCAGGGAGCCGAGGGAAGTGAGCAGAGAGGCAGTCACTTCAGGGCCACCAGCATAGCCCCCGTCACTGTCCACAGACACAGGCCCTTCCCCTTCTCATGGTTGAGCAGGCTCCACCTCACTTCCGTGTATGACTTCATAGACCGTTAGGTTCCGTGGTACCCTGGAGTCCACAGCTGCTGAATCTGAAGGGCCATCAGAAGACTGGCTTCTCCATGATGGTTTATGGACTAAGGCAAAGATGAGCAGAGCCATGGCCCTCTTCTTTGTTCTCTGCTGGATCCAAGGTATATTGCTGTGGCAGCTGGAGAGAAACATGGGCCTCACTTCAAGCCTAAGTGGGGCAGAGGAGGGCGTTCCCTCCCACAGTGTGGGGAACACAGATGCTTTACCTACTCTACCTTCTATACCTCCCCAAATCTGCCATTCAGGGTTTATTACTTGGGGGAAGGGAGTAACTGAAAACATTTTCCTAACTTTGAAGCTTTCTCAAAATTCAGAGCTCTATAGGAGGGTGGCATACATGCGTATTTTAACTTTTCACTGTAAGCATTTCCAAACATATGCAAAAGTAGAAAGATTAGTATAAAGAACCACCATATGCTAACTAACCCTCCTGATTTTATCTATATATATGCACTATTTAAAAAATAACAGGGTTAGGCCGGGTACAGTGGCTCACTCTTGTAACTCCAGCACTTTAGGAGGCCAAGGCAGGAGGATTCCTTGAGCTCAGGAGTTTGTGACAGGCCTAGGCAACATCATGAGAGCCTGTCTGTATAAAAAATTTTAAAATTAGCCATGCATGGTGATGCGTGCGTGTGGTCCCAGCTACTAGGGAGGCTGAGGTGGGATGATCACTTGAGCCCAAAAAGTCGAGGCTGCAGTAAGCCGTGATCACACCACTGCACTCAAGCTTGGGCAACAGAGTGGGATCCTGTCTCAAAAAAAAAAAATTAGTAATAACTTTATAGGATATAATATATAATAAAATTCACCCTTTATTTTATTTTTCTATTTATTGTTATTATTTTTGAGATAGGTTCTCCCTCTGTCACCCAGAGCTGGAGTGCGGTGGCATAATCACAGCTAATTGCAGCCTCAACATTCCAGGCCCAAGGATCCTCCCTTCAGCCTTCCAGGTAGCTGGGACCACAGGCATGTACCACCACACCCAGCTAATTTTTTAAATTTCTGTAGAAATAGGGATCTCACTATGTTGCCCAGGCTGGTCTCAAACTCCTGGGCTCAAGTGATCCTCCTACCTTGGCCTCCCAAAGTGCTGGAATTACAGGCATGAACCACTATGTCTGGCCAAATTTACCCTTTACAAAGTATATAATTCAGTGGTTTTTAGTATACTCATAGAGTTGTGAAGCATCACTATCTAATTTTATTTAATTTTTAATTTTTTAATTTTTTGAGATGGAGTGTCGCTCTCTCACCCAGGCTGGAGTGCAGTGGCGCTATCTTGGCTCACTGCAACATCTGCTTCCCAGGTTCAAGTGATTATCCTGCCTCAGCCTCCCAAGTTGCTGGGATTACAGGCGTGTGCCACCACGCCTGGCTAATTTACTAAACTAATAAATTACTAAATTAGTAAGTTACTAGTAAATTAGTAATTACTAAAATATAATTTTTAGTAGAGATGGGATTTCATCATGTTGGCCAGGCTGGTCATGAACTCCTGACCTCAATGGATCCTCCTGCCTCAGCTTCCTGAGTAGCTGGGACCACAGGTGCACACCACCACGCCCAGGTAATTAATTTTTATTTTTTGTAGAGTCGGGGGTCTCCCTATGTTTCCCAGGCTGGCCTCGAACTCCTGACCTCAAGTGATCCTCCCACCTCAGCCTCCCCGAGTGCTGGGATTAAAGACGTGAGCCACGGCACCTGGCCTGAATTTTCCTCAAATTCAAAAAATCCTGATGAAGGTTTGGCTAAAATCTTTGGTGAGTTACCCCACTCCCTGTGGAACCTCAGGCTGGATTTGAAGAGTTGCGTGCATGGTCCTCATTGTCTCCCAGGTAACCTGTTCCCGCTGCTGTGAAGGGAAGGCAGGTGCTCTTCCTTGAGGCTAGAATCTGTCTACGTGTCACAGTCTCAGGAAATTAAGCAAAACAGATGATAAACACCTCAAAAGGACCCTACTGAGCATCAGTGGAGCAGAGCAGGGCCATGTGGGACTGCGGCGTCAGATGCCACCTCACACTAGCTGTGACACACCTGCCTCGCCAGTTTCTGCTCTGAGGCCCCAAAGCCGAGCTGAACCTCCTCCAGGGGTTCTCAGCCCTAACTGAGCATGAAAACCCCTGGGGCAATCCTCTTTTTAACAATTGAGACATTCCACACACACCCCACATCAGATTTTGGGGTGTGGGGATAGACCTTCACATTTGTAGTTTTCTAACCCTCCAGGGGACACTAGGCTGAGACTCATTGGTCTCCACTCTGAACCTTCCACTGAACATGTGAGAAAAACTAAGGCCCAGGGAAGTCTTTAGCAGAGAGCTGAGACGGAGAAAAGGGTTCTGAACCACAGCTGTCTGCTGAAGGAAGCTGTCCAAAGGCCAGTGAAGTCTCTCCTGAGGGTGCCTGGGCTGTGCATCAGGAGTGAAGGTTGAGGGTCACCTTAGGTGTGAGAAGGAGCAACTGGGAGAGTGGCGCTGATGCTTCCCCCCGGGTTAGGAGGCATTTGGATCACAGAGCGATGCCTGTTCATTCCTGCTTGCAAGGGAGCAGATCTCTCGACACCCGATGGGCCTCTATTCCGTTCCGGCAGCTGTCCGTGTCAGGAGCGCTGGGCTTGCTCCTCCCCACGGGAGCCATCACAGAGGCCTCGGGCAGTCTGCATAGACAACTGCCTGGCAGGTGACCAGGAGGGGATGCATGAGCAGATGCAGGTAGCACTCGCAGTCCCCCTAGCTGTGCCCTCAGCACCTGCTGTCTAGGAGGCAGAAGCCTTGTTCTCGGCCTTGCAGGTGACCCCAGTGTCTCTGAATTCGGCCCCATATGTGTAGGAGGGGAGTGATTGCATCTGAAGATGGGAGTCTGGTTGGGGGTTTGGGAAGCTCCCATCACCCCTCAAGAGTCCACTGACCAGCCCAGCTCACACCAGGTGGGCCTTGGCACTGGAGGCCACGGCTCAACTCTGCAGTTCCCTCTGGGCAGCATTTCCAGGGACTCGTAGGTCAGCATGGTCATCAAGGACAGGTGGTGAGAGCAGCTCCTCATTGTCCTGGTGACCCCGATGGTTCATTTTCTGGTGTCTCTGTGGTGAGCTCCTGTTACATCAAGCGAGTGGAAACCACCGAGGACCAACAGCCCTGGAAATGCACTGAGAATGCAGGATGAGTGGGCTTTGTGAGGACTGTTTTCTGTGACTTAGCAAGGAAAGCCTGGAAGGGAAAGTAAAACTGCTTCTTCCCAGGGAAGCCAGAAACCTGAGAACTTAAAAGGGAAGGAGAACTTAATATATTTCAAAAATGTAACCCTTGTGAATTAGCAACAGCTTTATAAACAAAGAGATTTCCGAGCTTATAGAATCTATTCTGCTTTGTTTCTGCCCCCATGGCTCCTACCCCTGTTTTTGTGGGTACAATTTTCATATAGAACATTTTTACACAAGCTTCAAAACTCTCTGAGGACAGCTTTCCCCTTTGTGTCTGTCGGGTCCCAGGCAGTCACATCCCAGGAAGTGCTGGGGTTGGGCTCCTTGCTCCACATCCTTCTTCAGTGGCACGAAGCGTGGGGTGGAGTGTGTGAGTCATGTGTGATCTTGGTGTGGGCTATGGCTGGTCTGCAGCACCCCTTCAATGACTGCTTCAAGGGCTTTTCATGATGCTTGTAGCTCATGAGCTAGTGTTTCCTAGATGCTGTTTCCAGGTGTCTTGCATGTCACACACTGGCCTACCAGGGCTGGAGTGAGATCATGAGCGCCAGATTGTTGGTGAAGGAAGTTGACAGAGACATCGAATGTCGGTGAACAGGAGTGACCTTGGGTCTCAATAAATACTGTGGTCAACTGAATCCAGAACCCACCCTTACCAGCAGGGCCCACTTCTTCCCCAGCAGGCCGAGCTCTTCCCCTCCTGTCTTCCCTGGCCCTTGCTTTGTAGCTCTGTGTGGCTGTGTCATGTCTGGTTGTATCTGTATATACTTCTGCCTCTCCCGCTATCTAGATGGCTCGGGGAGGCACACCACACACCAGGTCACCTTCCTCTCTGAACCCCCAGCACCTCATACTGTTTCTGTGCAGAGATAAGGCTGGGTGAAAGCTTGTGTGAATGATCTGAAGTCTTCTACTCTAGGCCAGTCTCCAGGAGCATTATGATCTTTAGGAGGGTGGGCTTGGTTCCTCTGTACAATAATGGGTCATAAAACTGAGTGGTCAAGATCATCCCGGTGAGGGCAGTCCGTGTGTTGCCATAGTTGCTGTACCGGTTAAGAATGCACCTGGCTGCAATTTCCTGAAAACCTGACGTATAGTGGCTTAAACAAAGAGTGGTTTATTTTCCTTCTGTCATAGCAATCTGGGGGAGGCCACTGTGGCTTTGGCGCAGGAGGTCGGGAAAGGCCCGCTTCTCTGATATCATTGGGGGCCTCCCCAGTGCTTGTGTGGCAGAATGACAAGAGGAAGAAGAAGGAGAATTATGGCACTGAGTATCATGAGATTTGGGGTCATATATCTTTAGTGGGCGGTGTTTGCTGCCCCAAATGTCTCATGCCATTAAAATGTTCTGGAAATGATTTAGGTAGTTGGAGTTTCCTTCCCAAAGACAAGGCATTTACAGCATGATGTCCAATATCCATTGAGTTTGTGTCATGCATTCATTGTATTCATAGTCTGCTTTAGGTACTTAGCAAAATATTGCTGATATTAACATGCCTTTGTTTGCTTCACTGGAGATGAAATTGTGCTCCAAGTGTTTTCCAAGGTTCCGTATGACCCATCATTTGATGAAACAAGAACAGCAGTCAGATCCATTACAAAGAGAGACACACAAAAAAGCAAGTATATGTCGTTAACCTGACATGTGTACATACCTCTACAGACCTCTGTGTTATCTCAAATATGCGATGCTAGCATTTTAGCATTCCTTAAATTAACTACTGTGGTGGAGGGGGTGCAAAGCCAAACTGAGATGTGAAGAACTCTCTGAAATCCCCTCTACAGTCTTCCTCCCAATATGGGAGTCTATAGGCTTCAGTGTGAATATCCCTGTATTTTGGGGTGATCCCTGACGTGCAGTGTCAGGCATGTTCTGCCACTCTGGAGGCTGTGCAGAGGACAGAAACCCGGTTTGCAAGTGGGGTTCACTGTTCCTTGTAACAGGAGCTATGAGAAGTGTAATCACTTTCTGTTCACCAGCGCTTTATAGGTCACTGCCCAGGAGTGCCCAAGTCACCGGCTTGGGAGAGTAATGTCTTCCTGCGTCCCTCCCTGTCACCTCTGCCATCATTCCACCTCATCCTCTGTAAAATATTTGCCCAGAGAAGCAGAGCTGATTTCTCTTCCAGCACTGATGCTCCAGTGCCAATGCTGAGAGGAAGCAGCTGGCCACATATGCAAAAATAATGCATATTAACCCCAAATCACATGAAGAAAAGAGAAACCTTGTAAGGTGGACATCATGTGAATTAGGAAGAAAAGTAACAATGAGTAATTAGTTATCAGAATAAGCCAGCTATGTGTGCCAGGAATTATAAGACTCTCAGTAAAGCAATTTAGTAACTAATCACTCTGCCAATGCATTCCATAAGCCATTGAGAAAACATATGAATATTTCACTGCATAATCTCAATAGCTTGCCCTGCACCATGTTTTATGATGCTCCCTTGGCAGATACATTTTGAGGAACACATTTTTAGCAAAGTGCTTGCATGATTAAGTATGTCTATTCTTAATGATTTATCAGTGTCTTATTAACAGAGAACTGTGCATTGTCATTTATTGGATCAAAGTGGTTGTACTTGAAATCATTTGCCATACACCATGTAGGCCTTTCTACCCGTTTTCCTGTAGCATTAAACCTGCCATGTGCACAAATCTCTCAATGCTTATGCATATTGTCTGTCAACAGACTATGTGAAAATGAGCTTAGCCCCTGGTGTTGTGTTGGAACTTCAGATGCTTGCAGACACTTCATGAATGCTCTGTGACACTCAGAATAGGTGGGTTCAGGCCAAGTGCATGATGCTCACCTCAAAATCCCGTGCAGAAGAGTATCAATCTGAAGGGAACAGCTGCAGACCCAATGAAAGACTTAATCACAGCCATGGTTTATTTTCCCTTAGGCTATTCCCAACAGAAGAGCTTGAACAATGCTGCATTTGCATCAGGTTCAAATGAGCGAGAGGAACATTTGGCTAAAATATTTGGTAAGTAGCCTCCTGCTATGAAGCCTTTAGCCTGTGTTTGAAGAGTTGCATGCTTGTCCCTGGTTGTCTCTCAAGTAGCCTGTTCCTGCTGCTTTGAGGGGAAAGCAAGTGCTTTGCCTTGAGGCTAGAATCTGTTTCTCTATGAGTCAAAACCTCGATAAATTAAGCTAAACGTGGAAAATAAACACCTGGAAAGGATCCTGCTCCTCAAAGAGTGATCTATGGAGCAGGAGCAGGGCTACCATCTGGTAGTGTGAGAATACCCTGGGGAGACTGTTTAAAAGAGACACCCCAGGCCCTCGAGATGAGCCTGGCCAACATGGTGAAACCCTATCTCTACTCAAAAAATACAAAAATTAGCTGGGCATGGTGGTGTGCACCTGTAATCCCAGCTACTCGGGAGGTTGAGGCAGGATAATTGCTTGAACCCGGGAGGCGGAGCTTGCAGTGAGCCGAGATCATGCCACTGCACTCCAGCCTGGGCGACAGAGCAAGACTCCATCTCAAAAAAAAAAAAAAAGAAAAAAAAAAAAAAAAAGACACCCCTTGGCCGGGTGCGGTGCCTCATACCTATGATCCCAGTGCTTTGGGAGGCCAAGGTGGGAGGATTGCTGGAGGACAGAAGTTCAGGACCAGCCTCAGCAACATATCAAAAAACACTAAAAAAACGCCCCCCTCCCCGACACACGACAAATTAGCCAAGTGTGGTGGCATGTGCCTGTGGTCCCAGCTACTCGGGAGGCTGAGGTGGGAGGATCTTTTGAGCCCAGGAGTTTGAGGCTGCCATGAGCTATGATTGTGCCACTGTACTCCAGCCTGGGCATCAGAGCTGTACTGTCTATTAAAAAAAAAGAGAGAGACATCTTGTTTCACTTTCAGTGATCAGATTCTGTGAGATGGGGTGAGACCTTTGCATCACTAGGTTTTAAAGCCCTTCAGGTGATTCTAGGCTGTGACTCATTCATCTACCCCAAGCCTCTAATTTACTATTTGAGAAAAACTAAGGCCCAGATGGAAGATGGTGGGGTGGGGAGCTCCAGGAATCTGTCCCTTTACCAAAACAACAACTGAGCTGGCAAGAACTATGTTAAGTAGCTATGGAATATTGGTGTCTAGTAGAACACTTGCAGTGTCCAAGAGTGAGCTTGATGAAGAGGCTGCCGAATTTCAACATTTTGGGTAGTGGCTGCCATCCTCCATTCCCAAGCCCTGTGACGGGCAGCAGTGTGGATAGCAGTCCACATTCCTAGTGAGGATTGCTGGTGCCAGGGTGGGCAATAGAGACCTGTCTTCTAAAACTCAGGGCGCGTATTTTGATTGCTGATTGCTACTTTAGAGCTCCAAGGGGCTAGCACTAAAACTGACAGTTGTTTTAACTGGCATTATTAAATGCCAGTTAAAAAACTCTATGGGCTGAAGAGGCTTCCAAGCAGCCCTGTTGAGGGGATTTAAGGAAATAATGTTTTTTGTTTTTCTCTTTTTGGAGATAGACACTTAAGGAAACTTTTATCAGGTCATTGACTAACTTCAGAGATAAGAAAACAGAAAATTCAGCACTTTCACACAACAAGAAGTACGCACTTTGCAAAACTAGTTTGGAAAAGTTACAAAAAGATGGCTTCAGCCTTCAATAAGCAAAAATCAACAATCACTGAAAGAGAGGATTAGATTTCCAGAGTTATCAAAATGTAATACACAGAATGTCCATCTCTCAACGTAAAATTATAAAACATACAAAGAAACAGGAAAGGATGGCTCATTCACAGGAAAAAGGAATTTGGCAGAACTTGTTCCTGAGGAAACCTGGGAATTAAAATTATTACACAAGATGTTAAATCAACCATCTTCAAAATGTTCACTGAACTAAAGGAGACCATGAACAAATAACTTAAGGAAATCAGGAAAACAATGTATAAATAAAATAATATCAATAAAGAGATAGAAATTATTGAAAAGAGCCAAAGAAAAGTTCTAGAGCTGAAAAGTGTAATAAATGAATACTTGGCACATGCCTGTAATCCCAGAACTTTGGGAGGCCGAGGCAGATGGGTCATGAGGTCAGGAGATGAAGACCATCCTGGCTAACACGGTGAAATCCCGTCTCTACTAAAAATACAAAAAATTAGCAGGGCGTGGTGGTGGGTGCCTGTAGTCCCACCTACTCGGGAGGCTGAGGCAGGAGAATGGCATGAACCCAGGAGGCAGAGCTTGCAGTGAGCCGAGATCGCGCCATTGCACTCCAGCCTGGGCAACAGAGCAAGACTCTGCCTCAAAAAAATAAAAAAAAAAAGAAAGGATCAGCACACTTGAAGATAAGACATTGAAAGTATCCAGCCTGAGAAGCAGAAAGAAAAAAAAAAAAGAAAATGAATTGAACATGTGGGACTTGTGGGGCACCATCAAGCATACTAAAATATACATTATGGGAGTCTCAGAAGGGAAAGACAGAGAGATATGAAGACAATGTTTGAATGAAGAATAGCCCCAAACTTCCTGAATATGTTGAAAGACATGAATGTGCACATTCAAGTTACTCAATGAACTCCAAGCAGAATACTCAGAGATTCACAGTGAAACACATTATTAGCAAATTGTCAAAATCCAGACACAAAGAGAATCTTGAAAGCAGTAACAGATAAGTGACTCAGCATAAAAGGAACCCTCAATAAAATTCACCACTCATTTCTCCGCAACAACCACAGAGGGTAGGAGGCAGTAGGATGGCACATTCAAAGTTCTGAAAGAAAAATAATGTAATCAGCAGGGCATGGTGGCTCATTCCTGTAATCCCAGCACTTTGGGAGGCTGACGTGGGCAGATCACTTGAGCCCAGGAATTCGAGACCAGCCTGGGCAATACGGCAAAACCCTGTTTCTACTAAAAAAAAAAAAAAAAAAAAATTAGTTGGGTGTGATGGTGCACACCTGTAGTCCCAGCTATTCAGCACACTGAGGTGGGAGGATCACCTGAGCCTGGGAAGTCCAGGCTGCAGTGAGCTGAGATTGCCCCACTGCATTCCAGCCTGGGTGATGGGAGTGAGATCCTTTCTTGGAAAAAAAAAAAAAAAGTAAAAAGGAAAATACTGTCAAGCAAGAATTCTCTATCTGACAAAATTATCTTTCCAGAATAAAAGAGAAACAGAACATTTTCAGGTAAACAAAAGCTGAGAGACCCGCCTTATGAGAAATGGCAAAGAGAGCCCTTCAGGCTGAGATGAAGGGACATTTAACAGTCACTTGACATAAGAAAAAAAAAAATGCTGGTAAAGGTAACTACTAGCTCTAAAAGTCTTATTGTACTTTAGGTTTCATCTATAACTTCTGCCTTTTAAAAATATGATTTAAAAGGTGAATGCATGAAATAATAATTACACATCTGTTAATGGTCATACAGTGTATAAAGATAGACTCTGTAATAACAACAATATAAAGGGAAGGGAATAGAGATATATGTGTGCAGAGTGTTTGTATACTATTGAAACTAAGTTGATACTATTCAAGCTAAGTTGTTAAAAATTTAAGATACTAGGTGTTTAAGTTTAAACAAATTTTAACTAGTTTAGGTGTTTCCAAGGTAACCAGTAAATAATAACTAAAAAAATATGGAACAAAAGAGTAAAAGAAAGAGTCGAAGCCAGGCAGGGTGGCTTATGCCTGTAATCCCAGCCATTTGGGAGGCTGAGGTGGGGGGATCACCTGAGGTCAGGAGTTTGAAACCAGCCTGGCCAACATGATGAAACCCTATCTCTACTAAAAATACAAAAATTAGCCGGGCAGCAGGTGCCTGTAATCCCAGCTACTCGGGAGCCTGAGGCAGGAGAATTGCTTGAACCCAGGAGGCGGAGGTTGCCGTGAGCCAAGATCACGCCATTGCACTCCAGCCTGGGCAACAAGAGTGAAACTCTATCTCAAAAAAAAAAAAAAAAGAAAAAAAAGAAAAAGAAATAAAGAGTTGAATGGAACATTATAAAGAACCAACTTTTAAAAAAAGCAGTAATGGGGGAATGACGAGCAAAAGAAAACACACACAAAACACAAACCCCTAAATGACCAAAAACACAACACACATATACACAACAAATAGCAAAATGGCTGAGCCTGGTGGCTCACGCCTGTAAGCCCAGTACTTTGGGAAGCCAAGGTGGGCAGATCACTTAAGCTCAGGAGTTCAAGACCAGCCTGGCCAACATGGTGAAACCCCGTCTTTACTAAAACACAAAAATTAGCTGAGCGTGATGGTGCATGCCTGTAATCCCAGCTATTTGGGAGGCTGAGGCAGGAGAATCACTTGAACATGGGAGGCAGAGGTTGCAGTGAGCCGAGATCATGCCACTGCATTTCAGCCTGGGCGACAGAGTGAGACTCCATCTCAAAAACAAAAACAAAAGAGCAAAATGGCAGATTAAATACTTTTTAATCAGTAATCACATTAAATTTAAATGGATTAAACTCTTAATAAAAGGCAGAGATTTGCAAATTGGATTTAAAAACCTGTCCATGTATCTACTGTCTCCAAGAGATTCACTTAGGGAATACAAGGAGGTTGAAAGTAAAAGAATGGAAAATGTATTTCATGCAAATAATAGCCAAAAGAGAGCTGAGGTGGCTGTATTATTTTCAGACAAAATAGATGTTAAACCACATGGTTTATGAGAGACAAGGATAGTTGGAGACTTCAGTATCCTCCTCTCAATAATGAATAGAACTAGACAGAAGAGGCCAGGGGCGGTGGCTCACGCCTGTAGTCCCAGCACTTTAGGAGGCCGAGGCGGGCGGATCATGAGGTCAGGAGATCGAGACCATCCTGGCTAACACGGTGAAACCCCATCTCTACTAAAAATACAAAAAATTAGCCAGGCGTGGTGGTGGGCACCTGTAGTCCCAGCTACTCAGGAGGCTGAGGCAGGAGAATGGCATGAACCCGGGAGGTGGAGCTTGCAGTGGGCCGAGATTGCGCCACTGCACTCCAGCCTGGGAGACAGAGCGAGACTCCGTCTCAAAAAAAAACAAAAACCAAAAAACCCCAAAAATTAGCTGGGCATGGTGGCATGCGCCTATAGTCCCAGCTACTTGGGAGGTTGAGGCAGGAGAATAACTTGAACCAGGGAGGCAGAGGTTGCAGTGAGCCGAGATGGCGCCACTGCACTCCAGCACAGGAGACAGAGCGAGACTCCATCTCAAAAAAAAAAAAAAAAAAAAAAAAAAAGAATTGTACAGAGGAACAGTAAGTAAAGGAATAGACTTGAACAGCACTCTAAACCAATTAGACCTAGCAGACATATCCAGAACAATCCACCCAGCAACAGAAGAATATGTATTCTTCTCAAGAGCATATGGAATATTTGCCAGGATAGCCCATATGTTAGGACACAAATCTTCATTAATTGAAAAAGACTGAAATAATACAAAGTATCTTTTCAGATCACAATGGAATGAAACTAGAAATCTACAACAGAGGGAAATCTGGAATATTTACACACATGGAGATTAAGCAACACACTCTTAAATAATCAATGGGTCAAAGAAGAAATCACAAGGGAATTTAGAAACTGCCTTGAGATAAGTGCAAATTAAACACAACATGCCAAAACTTGGGATGCAGTGAAAGCAATGCCAAGAGGGAGATTTATAGATATAAATGCATTCATTAAAAAAGAGGATCTTCTCACGCCTGTAATCCCAGCACTTTGGGAGGCCTAGGCGGGCGGATCACGAGGTCAGGAGATCGAGACCATCCTGGCTAACACGGTGAAACCCTGTCTCTACTAAAAGTACAAAAAATTAGCTGGGCGTGGTGGCGGGCGCCTGTAGTCCCAGCTATTTGGGAGGCTGAGGCAGGAGAATGGCATGAACCCAGGAGGCGGAGCTTGCAGTGAGCCGAGATGGTGCCACTGCACTCCAGCCTGGCAACAGTGAAAGACTCTGTCTCAAAAAAAAAAGGGGGGGGATCTTAAATAAATAACCTAATTGTACACCTAAAGGAACTAGAAAAAGAACAGCATATTAAGTTGAAAGCTAGGAGAAAGAAGGAAATAGTAAAGTATACAGAGGAAAGAAGTGAAATAACAGAAAAACAATAGAAGAGAACTGATGAAACCCAAAATTAGTTACTTAAAAAGACCAACAAAATTGACAAACTTCTAGCTAGATAGGTGAAGAAAGAAGAGGATCCATTATGAATTCAGAAATTAGAGTGGGAATATTACTACTAATTTTCTGGAAATAGAAAGCATTTAATGAGAGAAGAATATAAACATTTGTATGCTCACAAATTGGATGACCTAGATGAAATTTTAAAATTCCTGGAAGCACACGAACTACCAAAATTGACTCCAGAAGAAATAAGAAAATCTGAATAGACACATAACAAGTAAGGAGAATGAATCAGTAATCAAAATTTTCCAACGAAGAAAGTCTAGAATTAGATGTGTTCTCTGGCAAAATCTACAAAAGCTATAAATAAGAACTAACACCAGTCCTCAAACCCTTCCAAGAAGCTGAAGAGGAAGAAACACTTCCTGGCTTACTCTAAGAGGCCAGTATGGAGTATGGCCCTGATACCAAAGGCAGACAAAGTCACTACAAGAAGACTAAAAACAAATGTCTCTTGTAAATATAAACAGAAAAATCCTCAACAGAACATTAGCAAACCAAAACCAATAGCCTATTAAAAGGACTATACACCAGACCAAGAAGGATTTATTTCTGGAACAGAAGGATGGTTGAACATAATAAAAATCAATCACTGTAATATACCACATTAATATAATGAAGGAGAAAAAATATCATTTCAATTGATGCAGATATAGCATTTGACAAAATTCAACACCCTTTCATGATTGAAAAAAAAAACCAAAACACTCAACAAACTAGAGATAGAAGGAAACTACCAAAACGTAATAAAAGCCTGTTTGAAAAACCCATGGATGATATCGTGCTCAATGTTGAAAGACTGAAAGCTTTCCTCAAAGATCAGGAACAAGGCAAGGATGCCTGCTCTCACCAATTCTATTCAATACAGTACTGGAAGTCATAGCCAGAGTCATTAGGCAAAAAAAAGAAATGAGGCATCCAAATCAGAAAGGAAGAAATAAAATTATCTCTGGTTGCAGATGACTTGATCTTATATGTTGAAAACCATATAGACTCCACACACACACACACACACACACACACACACACACACAAACATATTAAAACCAGTAAATGCATTTAGCAAAGTTGTGGGGTACAAATTGAACACACAAAAATCAGCTGTGTTTTTATACACTAACGATATATACACTAATAATCCAAACAAGATATGAGAACAATTAATTCCATTTACGATTATATCAAAAAGAATAAAATACTTAGAGATAAACTTAGCCGAGAAAGTGAAAGACTTATACCAGTACTGAAAACTACAAAGCACTGATAAAAGAAAATAGAGAAACAAAGAATCTCATGTTCATGGACTGAAAAACTTAATATTGTTAAGATGTCAAAATTGACCTGGCATGATGGCTCACACCTGTAATCTTAGCACTTGGGAGGCTGAGGCAAGAGGATCACTTGAGCCCAGGTGTTTGAGATCCAGCCTGGGCAACACAATAAGACCTGGTATCTATTAAAAAAAAAAAAAAAAGATGTCAAAATTGCCCAAAGTGATCTGCACATTCAATATAATCCCTATCAAAATCTCAAGGGCTTTTTTCCCAGCAAAAGAAAAATCTACCGTAAGATTCGTATGGAATTTCAAATGCTTCAAACAGCAAAAATAGTCCTGAAAAAAAAGAAAACAATTGGAGGAATTTCACTTTCTCATTTCAAAACTTGCTACAAAGCACAGTTATCAAAACAGTGTGATACTAGTATAAGGCTAATCACATAGACCAGTAGAATAGAATAGAAAGTTCAGAAAGAAATGCATATGTCTATGGTCAGTTTTTCTTTTCTTTTTTTTTTGAGATGGAGTCTCACTCTGTCGCCCAGGCTGGAGTGCAGGAGTGCAGTGGCGCGATCTTGGCTCACTGCAAGCTCCGCCTCCTGGGTTCACGCCATTCTCCTGCCTCAGCCTCCCTAGTAGCTGGGATTACAGGTATGCGCCACCATGCCCAGCTAATTTTTTTTTTTTTTTTTTTTTTGAGACGGAGTCTCACTCTGTCGCCCAGGCTGGAGTGCAGTGGTGTGATCTCAGCTCACTGCAAGCTCTGCCTCCCAGGTTCACACCATTCTCCTGCCTCAGCCTCCCGAGTAGCTGGGACTACAGGCGCCCGCCACCACGCCTGGCTAATTTTTTGTATTTTTAGTAGAGATGGGGTTTCACCATGGTAGCCAGGATGGTTTCGATCCCCTGACCTCGTGATCCGCCCACCTCGGCCTCCCAAAGTGCTGGGATTACAGGCATGAGCCACCGTGCCCGGCCAGTCAATTGATTTTCAACAAGGATGTCAAAGCCAACAGAGTGGAAATGACAGTCTCTTCGACAAATGGTCCTGGGAAAACTGGAAGGTCACAGGCAAAAGAATGAAGCTAGCTCATTACCTTATACCATATACAAAAATTCAAAGTAGGTCAAAGATCTAAATTAATGAGCTTAAACTATTAGTCTCTTAGAAGTAAACATAGGTGAAAATCTTCATGACCTTGAATTAGGCACGTGATGTTTTAAATCTGACACCAAAAGCAGGCAAAAAGAGAAAAAATAGCTACATTGGACATCATCAAAATTAAAAACTGTTGTATATCAAAGGCATTTCTCCCACAGAATGAGAGAAAATGTTTGCAATTCACATATCTGATGAGGGATCAATATCCAGAAGACACAGCAAACTCCTGTAACTTAACAACAAAACAAACAAACAACCCACTCCAAAAATGGGCAAATAACTTGAATAGCTATTTTCCAAAGAAGATATACAAATGGCCAATAAACACATAAAAAGATGCTCAACATCATTAGTCATTAGGGAAATGCAAAATATCACTATTCACGCTTCTTAGAATGGATTTTATTTTTTATTTTTATTTTTATTTTTGAGACAGAGTCTTGTTCTGTCACCCAGGCTGGAGTGTAGTGGCACAATCTTGGCTCACTGCAAGCTTCGCCTCCCGGGTTCACACCATTCTCCTGCCTCAGCCTCCCGAGTAGCTGGGACTACAGGCGCCCGCCACCACGCATGGCTAAGTTTTTGTATTTTTAGTAGAGACAGGGTTTCACTGTGTTAGCCAGGATGGTCTCGATCTCCTGACCTCGTGATCCATCCACCTCGGCCTCCCAAAGTGTTGGGATTACAGGCATGAGCCACCACGCCCGGCCTAGAATGGCTATTTTGGTTTTTTTCTTTCTTTCTTTCTTTCTTTTTTTTTTTTTTGAGACAAAGTCTCGCTCTGTCGCCCAGGCTGGAGTGCAGTGGTGTGATCTCGGCTCACTGCAAACTCTGCCTCCCAGGTTCACGCCATTCTCCTGCCTTAGCCTCCTGAGTAGCTGGGACTACAGGCGCCTGCCACCATGGCCGGCTAATTTTTTGTATTTTTAGTAGAAACGGGGTTTCACTGTGTTAGCCAGGATGGTCTCAATCTCCTGAACTCATGATCTTCCCGCTTTGGCCTCCCAAATTGCTGGGATTACAGGCGTGAGCCACTGTGCTGGCCTTTTTTTTTCTTTTTTTGAGACAAAGTCTTGCTCTGTCACCCAGGCTGGAGGGCAGTGGCGCAATCTCGGATCACTGCAACCTCCACCTCCCAAGTTCAAGCAATTCTCCTGCCTCAGCCTCCCTAGTAGCTGGGATTATAGATGCCTACCACCAAACCTGGCTAATTTTTGCATTTTTAGTAGAGATGGGGTTTTGCCATGTGGGCCGGGCTGGTCACGAACTCCTGACCTCAGGTGATCTGCCCTCCTCGGCCTCCCAAAGTGCTGGGATTACAGGTGTGAGCCACCGTGCCCAGCCAGAATGGCTATTTTTTTAAAAAGAAAAATAACAGATATTGGTGAGGATGAAGGAAATTGAAACCCTCATACATTGCTGGTGGGAAGGTAAGATGGTGCAGCTGCTACATGTCCATTTTGTGCTGTTATAACAGAATACCACAGCCTAGGTAATTTGTAATAAGTTGAAATTTATTGGCTCACAATTCTGAAGGCTGGGAAGTCCAAGACTGAGGGGCCAGCATCTGGCAAGAACCTTCTTGCTGTGTCATCATCCCATGGTGGAAAGCAGAAATGCCATAGAGGTGGAAAGCGGAAATGCCATAGAGGGTGAAAGAGAGAGCAAGGGAGGGCTGAACTTGTCCTTTTACATGGTATGCACTCTTACGATAACTAACCCATTCCTGTGATAACCATATTAACCTCTTAATGAGGGCACAATTTCCATGACCCAAACACCTCCATTAGGCCCTACCTCCTAACATGACGACCACATTGGGAATCAAATTTCCAGCACCTGAAATTTGAGGACACATTTAAATCATAGCAATGGGTGTAGAGTTTCTGTTTCAGTCGATTTTTTTTTTTCTTTTTTCTGAGATGGAGTCTTGCCCTGTCACCCAGGCTGGAGTGCAATGGCGCGATATCAGCTCACTGCAACCCCTGCCTCCCCGGTTCAAGCGATTCTCTTGCCTCAGCCTCCCGCGTAGCTGGGATTACATGCATGAGCTACCATGCCCCGCTAATTTTTTGTATCTTTAATAGAGATGGGGTTTCACCATGTTGGCCAGGCTGGTCTCGAACTCCTGACTCATGATCTGCCCACCTCGGCCTCCCAAAGTGTTGGGATTACAGGCATGAGCCACCGTGCCTGGCCCTGTTTCAGTTGATTTAAAAGTTCTGGAAGCCGAGCGCCTCAGTCCCAGCACTTTGGGAGGCCAAGGCAAGTGAATTGCTTGAGGTCAGAAGTTCAAGACCAGCCTGGCCAACGTGGTGAAACCCTGTCTCTACTAAAAATTAAAAAAAAATTAGCTGGGTGTGGTGGCGTGAACCTGTAGTCCCAGCTAGTTGGGAGACTGAGGTGGGAGGATCATTTGAGCCTGGCAGGCACAGGTTACAGTGAGCTGAGACTGCACCACTGCACTCCAGCCTGGAGTTCTGGAAATAAACAGTGGTGATGTTTACACAACACTGTGAATGTTTTGAATACCCTTAATTGTACACTTAAATAGAGTAAAAATGGGCCAGGCATGGTGGCTCATGCCTGTAATTTCAACACTTTGCAAGGCTGAGGTGGGAGGATCACTTGAGGCCAGGAGTTCCAGACCAGCCTAGGCAACATAGCAAGACCCTGTTTCTATAAAAAATTAAAAAATTAGCCGGATGTGTGGTGACACATGCCTGTAGTCTCAGCTACTCAGGAGGCTGAGGCGGGAGGATTGCTTGAGGCCAAGAGTTTAAGGCTGCAGTGAGCTATGATTACACCACTGCAGTTCAGCTTGGGTGACACAGCGAGACTTTGTCTCTAAATAAATAGCAGAAATGGAAATTTTATGTTAAGTGTATTTTACCACCACCACCACCACCACAACAAAGCAAAGCCAAGGCCCAAGGAAGTCCTCTTTAGCAGAGAGCTGAGATGGAGAAAAGGGTTCTGAACCACAGCTGTCTGCTGAAGGAAGCTGTCCAAAGGCCAGTGAAGTCTCTCCTGAGGGTGCCTGGGCTGTGCATCAGGAGTGAAGGTTGAGGGTCACCTTAGGTGTGAGAAGGAGCAACTGGGAGAGTGGCGCTGATGCTTCCCCCCGGGTTAGGAGGCATTTGGATCACAGAGCGATGCCTGTTCATTCCTGCTTGCAAGGGAGCAGATCTCTCGACACCCGATGGGCCTCTATTCCGTTCCGGCAGCTGTCCGTGTCAGGAGCGCTGGGCTTGCTCCTCCCCACGGGAGCCATCACAGAGGCCTCGGGCAGTCTGCATAGACAACTGCCTGGCAGGTGACCAGGAGGGGATGCATGAGCAGATGCAGGTAGCACTTGCAGTCCCCCTAGCTGTGCCCTCAGCACCTGCTGTCTAGGAGGCAGAAGCCTTGTTCTCGGCCTTGCAGGTGACCCCAGTGTCTCTGAATTCGGCCCCATATGTGTAGGAGGGGAGTGATTGCATCTGAAGATGGGAGTCTGGTTGGGGGTTTGGGAAGCTCCCATCACCCCTCAAGAGTCCACTGACCAGCCCAGCTCACACCAGGTGGGCCTTGGCATTGGAGGCCACGGCTCAACTCTGCAGTTCCCTCTGGGCAGCATTTCCAGGGACTCGTAGGTCAGCATGGTCATCAAGGACAGGTGGTGAGAGCAGCTCCTCATTGTCCTGGTGACCCCAATGGTTCATTTTCTGGTGTCTCTGTGGTGAGCTCCTGTTACATCAAGCGAGTGGAAACCACCGAGGACCAACAGCCCTGGAAATACACGGAGAATAAATATAGGATGAGTGGGCTTTGTGAGGGCTGTTTTCTGTGACTTAGCAAGGAAAGCCTAGAGGGGAAGGTAAAACTGCTTCTTCCCAGGGAAGCCAGAAGCCTGAGAACTTAAAAGGGAAGGAGAACTTAATGTATTTCAAAAATGTAACCCTCATGAATTAGCAACAGTTTTATAAAGAAAGAGCTTTCTGAGCTTTTAGAATCTGTTCTGATTCATCTGTGCCCTCACAAACTTTACCCTATTTTTATGAGTCATCTTGCGAACAGCCTCAAAGGTGCATCAGAATGACAACAGAAACCAGAAGAGTTATTAGGGCACTAAGTATCAGGAGATCTGGGGCCATATATCTTTAGCGGGCAGTGTTTACTGCCCAGGATGTCTCAGACATCACAATTTTCCGGAAATGATTTAGGTAATTGGAGTTTTCCTTCCCAAGACAAGGCATTTTAGGGAATAACGTCCCATATCTGTGGCGTTTGCGTCATGTATTCACTGTATTCATAGACTGCTTTAGGTACTTAGAGAGCAAAATATATCAATCCTGCGTTGCTGTATTAACATGCCTTTGTTTGCTCCACTGGAGATGAAATTCTACTGCAGGTGTTTCCAAAGTTTCCGTATGACCCATCATTTAACGAAGCAACAGCAGTCAGATCCATTACAAAGACAGACATGAGAAAAGGCAAGTGTATGTCATTAACATAATAAGTGCACACATTTCTATAGGCCTATGTGTTGTCTTAAATGTGCTATACTATCATACTAGCAGTCTTTAAACCAACTACTGGTGGGGCAAAGCCAAATTGAGATATGAAGGAAACAACTGTCTGAAATCCTCTCTATAACCTTCCACTCACTATGGAATCTGTGCTCCAAAGTGTGAATATCCCTGTATTTTGGGGTGATCCTTGATGTGCAGTGTTAGGCAGGTTCTGCCACCCTGGAGGCATTCAGAGGACAGAAACCTGATCTGCAAGTGGGGTTCCCCACTCCCGACAACAGGAGCCCCCAGCAGCATCCTAACTTTCAACCCAACACACGAATCCTTCTAAGTGCACAACGTGGTTTGAGAGAATTAGTGCAGTCATTAATACCCCATTCAGTGGATGATAAAACAAGACCAAAAAATGACTTACCTTAAGCACACCCATAGAAATGACACATGTGAAGAACACACTGTTTCCCCAAAGCAGCTTCATATTATGGGAAAAATTTAGCACTTTGGGAATTAAGATAGGTATTTGCTCACAGTAATAAGGATAGAATAGTGTATTGGAAATCTGCCAGCCGTGGGTACAAGTGCCCCAGGCAGGGAGGGGGAATGGGCACTGTGTTGGTATTCTGCAGACAGATGTTTGCACCCCAATTCCTGAGGGTAGTTTCCCTGAGGGTAGCCCAGGACAACTGCCTGGGCACCTCTGCAATCGGCAGTGAGGCGGCACCACTGTCTACATCAAGGCATTCACTTTCAAACACACATTTTGCTCACACAAGTTGAGTTCTATATTAGCATTTCAACTTAAAAATGGAAAACAAGCCAGGCGCGGTGGCTCACACCTGTAATCCCAGCACTTTGGGAGGCCGAGGTGGGCAGATCACTTGAGGTCAGGAGTTCGAGACCAGCCTGACCAACATGGCGAAACCCTGTCTCTACTAAAAATACAAAAAAATTAGCCAGCCATGGTGGCTCATGCCTGTAGTCCCAGCTACTTGGGAGGCTGAGACATGAGCATCACTTGGACCTGGGAGGCGGAGGTTGCCGTGAGCCGAGATCTTGCCACTGCACTCCAGCCTGGGTGACTGCGAGACTCTGTCTCAAAAGACAAAAAAAAACCACAAAAAAACCAAAAAATGGAATACAAAATATGGGCCCAAGGTGCTTGCAAATGTGTACTGATGAATACCCTTTTTCTTATTGTTTTTTATTCATGTGTCTTATCAAAGGAACCAGCATTGCTTGGAATTCTCCTAAACCAGAATATTTCCTTGGCAGTGTGGACAAAATTCCTGATAAAGGTAAATGCAAATGCATAAAATTGGAATTGGGGGTTGGTAAGTCATTGTTCTTTTTCCTCTTTTTTTTTTTTGAGACGGAGTCTCACTCTGTTGCCCAGGCTGGAGTACAGCGGTGCAGTCTCGGCTCACTGCAAACTCTGCCTCCCAGGTTCACGCCATTCTCCTGCCTCAGCCTCCCAAGTAGCTGTGACTATGGGGGCCCGCTACCACGCCTGGCTAATTTTTTGTATTTTTTAGTAGAGACAGGGTTTCACCGTGTTAGCCAGTATGGTCTCGATCTCCTGACCTCGTGATCCACCTGCCTTGGCCTCCCAAAGTGCTGGGATGACAGGTGTGAGCCACCGGGCCTGGCCCCTCCTTTTCCTTTTACCTGACCTGAGTTCAGAGCTGAGGGTCTGGCAGATGGTGCTCAGACTCTCTTGTAGAGAGTACAAGAGAGTACTTGTTTTTTTTTTTTTGTTTTTTTTTTTGAGACAGAGTCTCACTCTGTTGCCCAGGCTGGAGTACAGTGGCACCATCTCAGCTCACTGCAAACTCTGTCTCCTGGGTTCAAGCAGTTCTCTGCCTCAGCCTCCCAAGTAGCTGGGACTACAGACGCACACCACCACACCCAGCTAATTTTTGTATTTTTAGTAGAGACGGGGTTTCACCATGTTGGCCAGGCAGGTCTTGAACTCCTGACCTCGTGATCCGCCTGCCTCGGCCTCCCAAAGTGCTGGGATTACAGGTGTGAGCCACCGCACCTGGCCACAAGAGAGTACTTGTACTTGGCTGTACAACGTGTGTGCTTCACCCTGAATTATGAAGAGTTCCCTAATCAATGGTAAGGTTTAGGATACCCATGGTTTCCCCAAATCCCACCCTGTGCGAGTCTGCTTCTGTGATATGTACAGCATGGAGGAGCAGATCAGAATGTTTATTCTCTGCAGGCAGACGGATGCCAGCCAGGAGGGACAGAGAGCTAGCCGCAGACACCTGGTGCCTCCTCCCAAACTGACCTGGGCAGGTCCTTCCCCCGCTGGGGTGGTGGGGCTGGGCAGTGGCTGAGCACATTCCTGAGGTGCTGCCCCGGAGGAATTCTCCCCTCCTCCTCAGGAGTGTGGGAAAGCGCTGCCTCCAGCTAGGAGCAGAGGCTCATCTGAGCTATCTGATCATGCTGGAGGGAGATTGGCTCCACAGACAGGATGAGCAGCTAGAATCCATGAAGCATTTCTCCCCTAGAAAGACTTAAAAGATTTAAAAGAAAAAAACCAGGCCAAATAGGTCACTGTCCAAGCTGGTAAATATGTGGTCTTTCCTGGGTGCAGGATTATGAACCTGGCCAGGAGTTCCCGGGCCGCACCATGCATCAGCCGGAGGTCAGGGTGGGGAATGGGAAGAGCTTATTAAAAATCCTTATTCCTGGCTGGGTGATGTAGCTCCCCTGTAGTCAGGAGTTCAAGACCAGCTACTCAGGAGGCTGAGGCAGGAGAATCGCTTGAACCCAGGAGGCAGAGGTTGCAGCGAGCTGAGATCGCGCCACTGCACTCCAGCCTGGGCAACAAGAGCGAAACTCCGTGCTGGGATTACAGGCATGAGCCACCGCGCCTGAAAATAGTGTGTTTTAATGTCTTGTCGGACTAGTTCCCCTTTTGCAGTTTTTGTTTTTTCATTGTTTTCCTGGCTATTTTTGCATGTTTGTTTTTCCATGTGAACTTTAACATCAACTTGTCTAACTTCATCAAAAGGCTATGGTATTCTGATTGGCATTGCATCAAATTTATACTACAATATTCACTGTGGGAAAACAGATGTTAGGTCATCCTATGCTAGAAATGGGAATGCCTTTCCAGTTCTTCAAGTTTATTTTCACTGTGTGTTAAAGTTTTCCTTACATAGATTTTTACATGTATCTTCTTAAGTTTATTCCTAAGTCACTTAATTTTCTGTGTTGCTATTGTAAGAGAGGGGGTTTCTCTATCATTATACTCTCTACCTACTTAATGTTTGGGTATAGGAAGGCTTGATTTTTATATATTAATTTTATGTCCTATTGCCTTGTTCAATTCTACGTATACTGTTATAGAGATAGTTTTACTTCTTTTTTTTTTTTTTTTTTTTGAGATGGAGTCTCACACTGTTGCCCAGGCTGGAGTGCAGTGGCATGATCTCAGCTCACTGCAACCTCCTCCTCCCAGGTTCAAGTGATCCTCCTGCCTCAGCCTCCCAAGTAGCTGGGACTACAAGCACATGCCACCATGCCCAGTTAATTTTTGAATTTTTATTAGAGACAGGGTTTCACCATGTTGGCCAGGCTGGCCTCCAACTCCTGACCTCAGGTGATCTGCCCGCCTTGGCCTCCCAAAGTGCTGGGATTACAGGCATGAGCCACCATGCCCAGCCAGTTTTACATCTTTACCTATTGTTATGCCTCTACCTGATTTATTTATCATGTTTAATTGCATTGCTAATACCTCTAGGATAATCTTGAATGGTTGCTGGAGATACAGTGGGCATCCTGCTTTGTTCTTGCTCTTGGAGAAATGCCTCTTGAGTTTCCTGATTAAGAGTCTGGTTATAGGACTAATATGAATGAGAGATTATCTGTATATCTAGCCTTCCATCTACACACATACATGTAAATATGTATGCATACATATATTTATACTGAGAATGAGAATATATCTGTCCAAAAGATACTTTTTGGGTATTTTTTTCTGTTTCTGTGAGTTGTGTTACTTTAGATATCTCATGTAAGTTGAATCATACAGTATTTGTCTTTTTGTGGTTGGTTTAGTTCATGTAGTATAATGTTCTCAAGGTTAATGCATGTTGTAGCATATGACAGAATTTCCTTTCTTTTTAAGGCTGAATAATATTCTATTGTATATATATACCATCTTTTCTTTATCCATTTATCTGTTGTTGGACACTTGGGTTGCTCTCACATCTTGGCTATTGTAAATAATGCTGCAATGAATATAGGTATGCAAATATCTCCAAGATCCTGTTTTCAATTCTTTAGGATATGTATCCAGAAGTGGGATTGTGGGGTCATATGGTAAATCTATCTTTAATTTTTTGAGGAACCTCCATATTGTTTCCATAGCAGCTACACTGTTTTACAATCCCACCAATATGTGCAAGAGTTCCCATTTCTTCACATCCTTGTTAACATTTGTTATTACATATTTAAAAAATCAAGAATGGGTGCTGAATTTTTGGAACTAATCATATGATTCTTTTCCTTAAGTCTATTAAGATTATATATATGATAATAATGAATTTCCTAATATCAAACCAACCTTACATTCCTAGAATAAATTCTACTTGGTCATAGTGAGGCTTGGAGAGTCCAGTCACTGCTCAGGAATCTTGGGCCTGGGCCCAGCTTTTTCTCTGCTTCAGCACATCTGTGCTGTCACTCAGAGTGGCAGGGGATTGGAAGGAGCCTTGGGGTTCCTTTAGCCACCAAGAAAGCAGCAGGTCTTTGTATAGATATGTAGACTGAGCCATGATTTATAACTTTTAATTATTGATACATATGATAGGTGTTTCTCCATTTGTATTCTTTTTCAATTTTTAAAAATTATTATACAATACACATAATATGAAGTTTACCATCTTAACCATTTTTAAGGGCACAGTTCAGTGGTATTAAATACATTCATAATGTTGTGCAACCATCACCAGCATTCATCTCCAGAACTCTTTTCATCTTATAAAACCAAAACTCTATACTCATTAAATAATAACCATCCATTCCTCCATCTCAGCATCCCCTGGCAACCACCGTTCTACTTTCTGTATGATTTTGACTATAAATATCTCACGTAAGTGCAATCATACAGTATTTTGTTACTGACATTTCATTTTGCATAATGTCCTCAAGGTTCATCCATGTTGTGGCATATTTCAAAATGTCCTTTCTTTCTTTCTTTCTTTTTTTTTTTTTTGAGACAGAGCCTCACTCTATCGCCCAGGCTGCAGTGGCGCGATCTTGGCTCACTGCAACCTCCTCCTCCTGGGTTCATGCCATTCTCCTGTCTCAGTCTCCCCAGTAGCTGGGACTACAGGGACTACAGGCACCCGCCACCACGCCCGGCTAATTTTTTTTTTTTTTTTTTGTATTTTTAATAGAGATGGGGTTTCACTGTGTTAGCCAGGATGGTCTCGATCTCCTGACCTCATGATCCGCCCGCCTCGGCCTCCCAAAGTGCTGGGATTACAGGCGTGAACCACCATGCCCGGCCCAGAATGTCCTTTCTTTTCGAAGCGGAGTAATATTCCATTGTATGTATCTACCATGTTTTGTTTACTTACTTATCCCTTGATGGATATTTGGGTTGTTTCCACATTTTAGCCTTGTGAATAATCCTGTTATGAACGTGGATGTACAAATAATTCTTTGAGACCCTGCTTTCAGGTATTTTGGGTATATACTCAGAAGTGAGATTGCTGGATGATATGATTTTGGTTTTAATTTTCTGAGGAAACGCCATGCTGTTTCCCATCATGGCGGTACCATTTGCATTCCTACCAACAGCACACAAGGGTTCCAGTTTCTCCACATCCTCGCCAATTCCCTAATGATTAGTGATGTTGAGCATCTTTTCAAGTACTATTGGCCATTTGTATATCTTCTTTGGAAAAATATCTATTCAAGTTCTTTGCCCATTTTTGAATCAGTTGTTTGTATTTTTGTATATTGTTGGGTGTCAGGAGTTCTCTCTATAGTCTGAGTATCATTCCCTTATCAGATAAACAATTTGCAAATGTTTTTTCCCATCCTGGGTGGGGTACCTTTTTATTCTGTTGACACTGTCTTTTGATGCGCAAAATTTTAAAATTTGCATACAGTCCAATTTGTCTGTTTTTTCTTTGGTGGCCTGTGCCTTTGGTATCAAACCCAAGAAATAATTTCCAAATCCAATGTCATGAAGTTTCTGCTCTATGTTTTTCTCTAAACGTTTTTATAGTTTTAGGTATTACATTTAGGTCTTTGGTCCATTGTGAGTTAATTTTTGTTTATGGTGTTGGATAAGGCTCTAACTTTATTCTTTCGCATATGATATCCTGTTTTCCTAGTACCATTTGTTAACCTATTAAAATTCTTGTGCTGGTTTTTTGCAAATGTTAGGTGTGGTCTGCCCAGGAATGTATATTACAGTGCCAAGATACCTCAGCCCCTGAATAATGTATCTTCACCCTTGAATAAAAAATGCCCCTGAATAATTTACCTTCACCCCTGAATAATCATTGTTTAAGTAAAATTAAATGATATGCTTGAGGAATAGAAAGCCTACTATCTAGCTTGATCTTTTGATTTCTAAAACTGTTTCTTCAGTCAATTGCTTTAACATAATTTTACTTTCAAATCTTTATTTTTCCTTCAGGAGAAGCCAGGACAACATTTTTTCTTTTATTTTCTTTCTTTTCTTTTCTTTTCTTTTCTTTTTCTTTGAGATGGAATCTCACTCTGTCATCCAGGCTGGAGTGCGGTGGCGCAATCTTGGCTCATTGCAACCTCCACCTCCCAAATTCAAGCAATTCTCCTGTCTCAGCCTCCTGAGTAGCTGGGACTACAGGCACGCACCACCATGCCCGGCAGTCTTGCCTAGCAAGACAGGTTTAGCAGGGTAGTTCTGGCTCAGAGTCCCCCATGAGGTTGCAGTCAAGATTCTTCCAGATTCATTCTCTCACTCAAGACCTAACTACTGATCTGTCCTACCCAGTGGGAAGCACTGTGCTGGAAGCTAGAGAGCTCAGTGAGGCATTCTTGTCCTCCAAGAGCTCACAGCTCTTAGGAGAGTCAATCTAATCGGTAAATAACTATTAGATATAAACATGCTAACATTGAAGGTCTTTAAAAAGTGCTTACGTTGTAATCGCACGGAGTTCTGGGAGAACAAGAGGCTGATCTCCTTGATAGGGTTTTTCCAAGTAGGAAGAGTGAGGGAAGAAGAGGGCTGAGAAGAACTGTAGGCAGTGACAAAGCTCACGTCTGCCAGCTGAGGGGGCTGATCAGATCCATCTTCAGAGGGTGGGAGCTGCTCTCAGGCTACTCTGCAGGGACAGTAAATTCCAGACCACACTGTCTGCACCTCCTCCTTGGCAGTAGTGACCATTCAAAAAAAAAAGAAAAAAAGGCTGGGTGTGGTGGCTCACGCCTGTAATCCCAGCACTTGGGAGGCCGAGGCAGGTGGATCACCTGAGGTCAGGAGTTCGAGATTAGCCTGGCCAACATGGTGAAACCTCATCTCTACTAAAAATACAAATATTAGCTGGGTGTGCTGGCGTATCCCTGTAATCCCAGCTACTTGGGAGGCTGAGGCAGGAAAATTGCTTGAACCCAGGAGGTGGAGGTTGCGGTGAGCCGAGATGGGGCCACTACACTCCAGCCTGGGGGACAGAGACTCCGTCTCAAAAACAAAAAACAAAAAACAAAAAAACCAATGGTCGAAAACATCTCGATAGGAGGAGGAGTGGGGAAATGACCATTCTGGGAAGTGAAGTGTCTTTTAAAAGGTGTGCCCAGGTCTGTGGACAGCAGCTGTAGCTACTGATGATCATAGGTCCACTGAATGGAACATAGCATCAGTCCTAGCAATAACATGCTATTAACATGTAATCAAAGGCTCACGTCAATGTTAGAGTCTCCAAAACATAGAGAATCATGAAGATGAAAGACTTCAACTTTTTCTTGAGCACAAAGTCAGAGTTTCTTGGTTCTGCACTCCTTTAAGAAGGTTTTTACCAAGCCCAGCACATGCTTGATTGGCAGCTTGGGTTGAGCCTACACCATGGAAGGACGGGAGAATTGCTCTTGTAATGGGTGGCTGCTCCTGTCATAGTTAGTAGTTCTAAAGTTGGAAAGAAATCTGGAAATGAAACTGTGTTGGTCAAAAATTTGATAATTGTGCTTATTTTTTCCCACAAAAAAATAATCCAAGAAATGATCAAACACAAACCATCAAACATAAAAGACGCCTTCAGATTCTTCAAAGAACCTTAGGTAAATGAAAACTTACGTCCATACTGACGATAAGAATAGGCAGTGGCTCTTGCCTCTGGTAGAGAAAGAGAGTGAAAATGTGTTCCCGTGTCAGGTCTACCATTGCTGCAGCTCTGTGGAAGACCAAGCCAAGCGCGCCCCCTGGTGGATAACTCCATGCTCGCCAGGGCTTTCTGTCTGTGGCTATTAATCTGAGTCGGATTTGACATGTTGCATTTCAAAAGTCAAGTTAATTATCAGTCTTATTAAATTGGGAGTTTTCTCTCTTTTCTAAGCCAAGTTGAATAAGGAACAAATTTCTCTCTTTTTTCCAGGAATACCTAGAACTTCATGAGACTGTTATCAGACACCCACATGATGGTCTTAATCATATTGTGATAATTTTCTGTTATTTTATTTTATTGTTTAATTTTATTATTCTTTTGAGACAGGGTCTCGCTCTGTTACCTGGGCTGGAGTGCAGAGGTGTGATTATAGCTCTCTGCAGCCTTGATCTCCTGAGTTCAAGCCATCTGCCTACCTCAGCCTTTCTAGTAGCTGGGACTATAGGTGTGCGCCACCATGCCTGGCTAATTTTTTTTTTTTTATTTTTAGTAGAGATGAAGTCTTGCTATGTTGCCCAGGCTGGTCGCAAACTCTTATTGTGACAGTTCTCTATCTCTCTGTGAACAAGGCCAAGGAAGATTTACCAAACCCATCCAAAGCTGCCCCGCCCCCACTTCCAGCTCTTGGAGGTCTCCCATCTGGAGCTGGGGGCTCCAGCCTGCTTTGAAGTCTTCCGGGGTGTGAGATTCATTACTTCTCATCCTTTCCCATTCCCTCTTTGATAGCTCACCTTCTAAATGCTAAACAGTCCAAACAGATTTCCCTGGAGCGCCTACCCATTGGTTCTAGTTTGTTCCCCAGAGCTTCTCAAAACATCTCTCAGCCTCTTCCCAGGCCATCCTGCATCTGGCAAAGATAGGCAGGCCATGCTGGCCTCCCGATTTTCTCCAAGCTAAACTCAGGCCCTTTGACAGGTCCCATATGCAAACGAGTCAGGCACCAAAGGGCAGAGCTAGGATGCAAATATTTCTCATTTTCGACTGTCTTCTTTCTATTAAACTATTCTGCAATCCCTCTACTGATACCTGAATATTTCAGTGTGGTTAATTTTCCTATCTTGTCCTCGCAACTCAAGAAAATTTTTATAGTACTTCGTGTTTTAAAAATTATTTTCATGAACATTGTACAATCTGTGAAGTAGGTCTCATTATCTCTATTTTATGCAAGTGGAGAAGTAGGCTGGGGCTTAGAGAGGTTCTCTAAGTGTGGTCCTCTACCCACAGAAGCAGCGTCTTTCAGGATCTGTGAGACATACGCATTCCCAGGCCTACCCCAGACCTATGGAATCAGAAACTCTGGGGTGGGGCTTAGGAATCTGTGTTTTCATAAGCCCTCCCAGTGTGATTCAGATGCACGCTCGAGTGTAAGAAATGCTGCCTCAGCTATGGGTGGGTTGCCCAGGAATTTGTTAGATTTTTTAAAAAGTAAACAAAAACAATAAAACACCAAAACACTGAGGTTCTGTAGGACATTTAGACTTTTCCCCCAAGTCCTCCCTAACTCCTCACTTTGAGTCTAGAAGAAGCTACTTTTATCATAAACGCTGAACTAATCACATGCCATGGTTGTTTGTAGATGAACACATTTTATCTTTTGTAGATCACCTTTCAGAGGAGAAGAATTTTAAAGAATCCTGTCTGTTCGACAGGGATTTAAGAGAGCAGTTAACTACTATAGATAAAGAAACACTTCAAGGAGCAGCTAAACCAGGTGGGAATCTATATGGCCTATAAACTAAGTATGATGCTTAAATACGGACAACTTCTGAATGTGTCTTTTGCCTTTCATGGTATTTTAACTGACATCTTTAATTCACCCGCTAAAGTGAATTAAATCTGCAGTGAATACAACCTGCAGTTAAAATTTATGAATTAAACCAACTCCAGAGGCCGGGCACGGTGGCTCACGCCTGTAATCCCAGCACTTTAGGAGGTCAAGGTGGGCGGATCACCTGAGGCCAGGAGTTAGAGACTACCCTGGCCAACATGGTAAAACCCCGTCTCTACTAAAAATACAAAAGAAAAAATTAGCTGGGCATGGTGGCGGGTGCCTGTAATCGCAGCTACTCGGGAGGCTGAGGCAGTTCAAGAATCACTTGAACCCAGTAGGGGGAGGCTGCAGTGAGCTGAGATTGCACCATTGCACTCCAGCCTGGGCAACAAGAGCGAGACTCAATCTAAAAAAATAAATAAATAAATAAAAACCCAACTCCGGGAATTTCACCACTCTTCCAAAAAGATGCTACTTTTATATTGTTTCTATACAGCCAGGGCTTCACCCTCGCTCATCCCTGAGCCCAGACCTGTTTAGAGTGGGCAGAAGCTCACCCATGCTGGTACCAAGTGCAGTACACCCCTCCACACTGCCACTCCCTGTCAAAATTATACCTGGTTGTCACTTCCTAATGCTTAGAAATTAAATGCTGAATTATTCTAGCAGAGCCTTAGAGCTGCTGGATACGCTGCCTCTTGGCATAGCATAGCTGAAGGTAGGAGGCTGGACATGCCCTGTTTTCTCCCCATCACCCAAGAAGACCCTTGCTCAGCACTCTGCTGTCTACATAACCGGCTGCCCTGGGCAGCTCTCCACACGAAACCAGCCGATACCTGGGATCATACCTCCATGCCTGATTTCCCTGATGTCTTTTTCTTTTTTGGTCACATTATAAATGGGGTGACAGAAGCTCTAGGAGACACTAATGTCGGCTGAGATCTCCTTCCTTTGAGATCTAGCTAAGACTGCCGCGTTTTCCCCAGCCTGTGCTCAGTGGTATTCCGTCCACTCTCACAATTTCTGTAAGTCCTCAGAGGGGCTCAGGAGCTCAGGATCATCTGTGGCCTTGTGTTTGCCTCGTGCTGGTGCAGACATGAAATCTCCCAAACCTACACACACGAGGCAGATTGTGTATGCAGTACAACTTTCTGAGGCCAGGGGGCAGAGGAGGGGAAGCAGAGAAGAGGTTATATCACTGCCCTGTGAAAAGCTGCAGAGTGTTCGCCTCCATTGTTCTTAAAATCCTTTGCAGTAGGATTTCTCAACCTCCTCTAGTGCCCCTGCTTCCTCCTACCCATCTGAGCTCTCCTCTGTTCTTCTCTTTACCTCCTACAAATTGTCTGTGGAACTTTCTTTCTGGCTGCTTTGTTGCATGCCAGCCCGTATCCTCAGTGTCTCATCTCCACCCCCCAAAATCATCCCATCTTATCGCCAAATAGCAGATGAATGCATATGAATGCATTTCCCCAAACAGCCAGTTCCTTCCCAAGAGGACTTCTGGAACCAGTGGCTAAGATGCCAAGGTTTTTTGTTTTTTTTTTTGAGATGGAGTCTCACTCTTTTGCCCAGGCTGGAGTGCAGTGGTGCGATCTCAGCTCACGCTCACGGCAACCTCCGCCTCCCGGGTTCACGCCATTCTCCTGCCTCAGCCTCCCAAGTAGCTGGGACTACAGGCGCCCGCCACCACGCCCGGCTAATTTTTTTTGTATTTTTAGTAGAGACGGGGTTTCACCGTCTTAGCCAGGATGGTCTCGATCTCCTGACCTCGTGATCCGCCCGCCTCAGCCTCCCAAAGTGCTGGGATTACAGGCGTGAGCCACCGCGCCCGGCCGAGATGCCAAGGTTTCTATTCTGTTATGAATGGAATGAACAGGTGTCCCTTGCAGGCTTAGTCCTGGTTGTGGGTAGCCCGGTGGGTATCTCTGTTCACTCTGCGCTGTGTCTTCTCATTTAGATGCTCACTTTAGGACTATGCCCTGCGGGCAGCTTCTGCACTTCCTGCAGAGGAACACCATCATCGCCGCCGTCTCAGGGGTGGCCATCCTCATGGCCATCGTGCTGTTGCTGCTTGGGTTGGCCTCATACATCAGGAAGAAACAGCCATCGTGCGTGGTGCTGGCATAACCTTCCTTCCAAGAACCCGCGGGTGTTAGAACTCACGCTGCCCTCAGGGCTTCCTGCTGATCTGGTTTACGAGGAGGGCAGAAGCTGCAAGCCTGGTTGTGCTTCAGCATCCCCTGGCCTGCTCTGTCAAAGCACACAGGACCTGGGCCATGGGTTTTCGGCACAGCCTGGGTGATTCTGATGCACAGCCGGGTTTGGGGATCCCTGGGTGGGCCAGGGTTGCCTCTCAAGGCCACTACGGTTAGGCCAGACCTGTCCCCATATTGAGGGCTCTGGCTGAAAGATTGGTAAATAGGAATATGGATTTACAAAAGAAAGGAAAAATACAAATCTAAGAGGGTGAGGAGGGCTGAAGCCACGAAGGAGAGTGAGAGCAGGGCTGATATTCAGCTCCTTCACATTGGCACAGCTGTCCTGCTTGTTAGAATACTGAAAGCCTTCCCCGAGCTTCCCACTGACCTCCTGATCTTCTCCGTGATCCTGCAAATGAAGGATTAGTGCCTGGCACAGCCGTGGCCCTCCAAGGCTCTGCTTCAGTGGTGGTCATTTTGACTGGTCAGTGCCTGTCTACACCCCCGTCTACACCAGTTGTTAAATATTTTGGTTAGGCCTCTAGATGAGGGGGCTCAGGCACAGAGGCACTCACCATGAGCAGGCGCTAGGAAGCAAATGGTTTGCACGATGACGTGTATGCATAGCTGCATTTTGAAATTACGTGCTTCTTGCTGCGTCCCCAGGGACATGTATTCCTGACCACAGAAGGAAGAGCAGCTCCCCACAGCCCTTCAGTCCTGCCTGACACTGCACTGAATGCTCAGCTTGCCCCTAGAGCAATGGGGTGGAGGTGTGTGTTGAGGGGAAGTGTCCATCCCCACCCCTACCCACCCTCTGACTCCAGAGGTAGCAGTGTTTGAATTTCCCCACAAGAGTGGCATTGCTTTCTCTCCATGCCAAGGCTCCTGGAACTGGTGACTTATTCAGGCCACCTCCCCCAACCCCCACCTCCAGCATCCTCTTCCTACCAAGGCTCATCCATTGGACCTGCCATTTTCCCTCCATGCCCCTTGAGATGCCAGCAGAAGTGGTCAGAACTGTGGCCCCTCCCATAGGGACCAGTCAAAGTTGTGGGTGGCCTGAGTTAGTTAAGAGAAACTGGGGGGAAGAGAGTATCCCAGAGGCTCTGTGCTGCCCAGAGGCAAAAAGAATTTCACAGATGACAAACCTTACTGATGGGAAGCAGAATCCTCACGCTGGGAAGCGTCAGCCTCCACCACTGCCCAGCGAGTAGACAGCAGGACTCCTGTGCGCTGAGCTGAGCACTGTGGTTTTTGTTATTTTGTTTTAGATCTCCTCTGGCAAACACGACATATAATATTTTTATAATGGATGGAAAGACATGGTGGCACAATTCTGAAGAAAAAAATTTCACAAAACTTGCAAAAAAACAGAAACAGTTGAAGAGCAGCTCCTGTGTCTAAGCCAGGTCGTGGGGCCGTCAAACCAGGACTTGAAACCACAATGCGAGGACATTCTCCATCTGCGCACCACAGGGAGGCAATTCCATTTCTGCCCGGGAGGTGTATTCTACAAAAACGTCTGCTTCCCATCCCAATTTGAATGGACCAAGAAAAACTGCTTTACCATAGGACACTTGTGGCAATATGGCACCGATGGCTGGCGTCGGTGAACCCGACAGACTATGGATTTATCATTTAATAAAGCATTGATTCATTTTTTCAGTCATTCATTGAACAGATATTAATAGACCACCTCACATGCTGACAATATCAAAATACAATGAGGAAACTAACAGTGACCCAGGCATGCATTCTTCCCCGAGCAAGATCACAGTCCATGGTGTGAGCACAACCATACTAAATAGCTTTTATGGGAGGTGGGAGTACAGAAAGTATTATATCTGCAAAGAAACTGCTAAGAATTGTGGGAGCGCCCCAGGAGGTGATTTCCTGCTTGCGTGACCAGCACAAAGAAATGGGGTAATTGAGAGTGTCATGAAGTGGGGTTATTTATTTATTGAGTCGGAGTCTTGCTCTGTCACCCATGCTGGAGTGCAGTGGCGTGATCTCAGCTCACTGCAACCTCCGCCTCCCGGGTTCAAGCGATTCTCCTGCCTCAGCCTCCCGAGTAGCTGGGATTATAGGTGCGTGCCACCACACCCAGCTAATTTTTGTATTTTTAGTAGAGATGGAGTTTCACCATGTTGGCCAGGCTGCTCTCAAACTCCTGACCTCAGGTGATCCCCCCGCCTTGGCCTCTCAAAGTGCTGGGATTATAGGCATGAGCCACCATGCCCGGCCCATAGAAGTTTTCAGTTCATTTATGCACAGTTTAAGCTGAGAATGTGAAAGGCTAAACTCATCCCTTTCTTTCCCCACTTTCTCCAGCAACCAGCCAATATCATACTCCTCAGTTTAATTAAAATGTTCTCAGATATCATCAAACACGTGGGCACCCAGAACCTTGCCTTTTATATGTGTTTGATTGAGAGTATCCAATGGTAATATTTTGTATATCTCTATTGCCACATCATGCCATGGAGTACCTAAATGCCCTCTTGGCCACTGGAAATAGATTTAAGATTCTGTTCCTCTCTTCTAGTACCAAAATTTGGATGAGTCAGGGTCCCATGAGAGAAACAGAACTAGTAGGAGGATATATAGAGTAGTAAGAGATTTTTTTAACTTTTAATTTTTGTGGGTACATAGTAGGGGTATGTATTTATGGGGTACACGAGATATTTTGATACAGGCATGCCATGCATAATAATCACGTGAGGGTGAATGGAGTATCCAAAACCTGGTGCATTTATCCTTCATGTTATAAACAATCCAATTATGTTCTTTTAGTTATTTTTAAGGTGCAATTAAATTACTATTGACTGTGGTCCCCCTACTGTGCTATCAAATACTAGGTCTTATTCATTCTTTTATTTTTTGTACCTATTAACCATCCTTACATCTCCCCCACCCCCACTACTCTTCCCAGCCTCTGGTAACCACCCTTCTACTCTCTATCTCCATGAATTCAATTGTTTTAATTCTTAGCTCTCAGAAATGATGAGCGCATGCAAAGTTTGTCTTTCTGTGCCTGGCTTATTTCACTCAACATAATGACTTCCAGTTCCATCTATGTTGGTGCAAATGACCATTTTTTGAATGGCTGAATAGTACTCCATTGTGTAAATGTACCACATTTCCTCATCCATTCATCTGTTGATAGACTGTTGTTAGGTTGTTTCCAGATCTTGGCTATTGTGAATAGTGCTGCAATAAACATGAGAGTGCAGATATCTCTTTTATACACTGATTTCCCTTCTTTTGAGTATATACACAGCAGTGGGATTGCTGGATTGTATGGTAGCTCTATTTTTAGTTTTTTGAGGAACCTCCAAACTGTTCTCCATAGTGGTTGTACTAACGTACATTCCATACATTAGCAATAATGTATGAGAGTTCCCTTTTCTCCACATCCTCGCCAGCACTTGTTATTGCCTATCTACTGGATATAAGGGACAATTCTTCTCTAGAGCCTCTGAGGGGCCTGCAGCCCTGCTAACACCTCGGTTTCAGACTCTGGCCTCCAGAATGTGACAGAATAAATTTTTGCTGTTTTAAGCCACTCGGTTTGTGGTTGTTATGGCAGCCCTGGGAAATGAATACATGGCCACACAATCTTTTTCTGATACTTTGAGTCTTGAGAGTACGTGAGATTGATTGGGCTGGGCCCAGGGCCACTGCAAGGCATGGGAGAGTGTGTTTAGGGAATCAAGGGATGTGGGTTATGGCCCTGGTGCTTGTGGTCAGCAGGTTTGCAGGTTCCTGGGGGCAACTGTTGCGTCTGAAGGGTTCCTGGCTACCTTCTCCATTCATGGATGGGCTCTGGGAGCTGGGCCTCAGGAAAGGCAGGGGAAGGGGTGGTCAGGAGTAGCTCAGAGGCGGTCCAGCTAGGACCTGAGAGCTTTGGACCTATTTGTGTGGGGAGTGAAGACGACGAGGTGGCCCTGGAAGGCTCTGCTCAGTTCTTTGCCAAGATGGAAAAACAGCCCATCCCTAGAAAAACTCTTTCCACCACATTAGGCCATTTAGTTAAAAATTGCCCAGTTAGTGGTCTTGGGACTTTGGTCCTGCTGTAGCCACAGAAGGCCTGATGTACTGGACAGAGCTGGCTCCCAGGCCCACCCCAGCCCACCTCCCAAATCAGGGGCTTGGAGAACCAAGAGTCGCAGTCCAGATGCTTGTCTCATTCTCAAGGATCCCCCGACTGCTTAGGACATTTGGACAGCAGCTCCTCTAATATAATAACGTCATTTTTTTTTTTTTTTTTTTTTTTTTTTGAGACGGAGTCTTGCTCTGTCACCCAGGCTGGAGTGCAGTGGCAGGATCTCGGCTCACTGCAAGCTCCACCTCCCAGGTTCACGCCATTCTCCTGCCTCAGCCTCCCGAGTAGCGGGGACTACAGGTGCCTGCCACCAAGCCCGGCTAATTTTTTGTATTTTTAGTAGAGACGGGGTTTCACCGTGTTAGCCAGGATGGTCTTGATCTCCTGACCTCGTGATCCACTCACCTCGGCCTCCCAAAGTGCTGGAATTACAGGTGTGAGCCACCCTGCCCGGCCTTTTTTTTTTTTTTTTTTTTTTTTTGAGACTAAGTCTCACTCTGTCGCCCAGGCTGGAGTGCAGTGGCGCGATCTCTGCTCACTGCAATCTCCGCCTCCCAGGTTCAAGCGATTTTCCTGCCTCAGCCTCCTGAGTAGCTGGGATTACAGGCGTCCACCACCATGCCCATTTTTTTCAATGTCATTTGGTTGTAATGGTGATGAGAAAAAAAAACCAAACCTGATTCCTGGCTGGGGCCACTGTCTGTGTGGAGCCTGCCCGTTCTCCCCATGTTTGCGGGGATTTTCTCCGGGAAGTCCGTTTCCTTCTACATCCCAAAGCTATCGGTGCATAGGCGTGTCTACAGTGTCCCAGCGTGAGCGAGCGTGGGTGTGTGTGAGTGTGTCCTGAGAGGGGATGGAGTCCTGGCTGGGGCTCGTTCCCACCTTGCGCTGTCCTGAGCTGCCGGGTTGGGCTCCGGCCCCTGCTACCCTGAACTGTGTAAGTGGAGAAATCATGATCTGACTTATTTTTTAGTAATCATTCTTAAAGGTATGTATAGCTCACAATTATTTTAATGTTTAATATTAACGCATTTGGGGTCCTTATGTAGATGGTTGGTGATGTTTTCGTGACCGGGAATATGCCATAGGAACTTACCTCTTGTCTATAGCAGTTAGCCTATGGGAAAATTGGTTTCCTTACTGCACGTCAAGTTGCAGTCTCCAAGAACCTCTCAGTGAGCTAAGTGAGGACTCACTGCACCCGCAATGCACTTCTGCCTTTCTGGCCCTTGGGAGGCTCAGACCCCTTCCTGTCTATCCCAGCAGCCGCTTCCCTCTGCGCAGAGGAGAGGAGGCATCAGTTAGGCGCTTCCCGAGGAGGGTTACCAAAATCCCCAGATGTGCCTGCAGGGCCCCCTCCTGACCTTCCCGGCCTGGTGCTCAGGGTGTGGGGGTGTGGAGGGGGAGCACTGGGGGGCTGGGGGGAGGGCAGCTGCGGGGTGACGGAATGGGGTGGCAGAGACGAAGGGGTAGAGTAAGATGAGGGAGATGAGGGCCGGGATAGGAGAAGGGAGGAGGGCAGGGACAATGGTGTGGGTGGGGAAGAATAAGGTGGAGAGAGTGGGGAGAATAAGCTGAGGGAGTGGAGTGGGGACAAGGAAGGTAGAGGAATGGGGGGAGGGAAGTGGAGAAGCGGGAACTATGTGGTGGGTGGGAGATTTGAATGGAGGAGGGGGTAGGAGGAGGTGTTAGAAGGAGGAGGGTGAGGGGAGGGAGTACTGAAGTACTGATGGGCCAGGAATGAGCCCCAAGAGGTTGGTTCAGCCCACTTGTTCCAAGAGGGTGGGGAAGAAGAACTGGGTGGGGAATGGGTGGCTGCGTGGAGAGCTGGGGGAGGGGAGAGCCCATTCCTTCCCCAGCATCAGCAGCATCAACAACGGGTGTAACTTACCAACTGGTTTCTGCTCAAGTCAGCACTTACTGGGCACCTCCCCATGCCAGGCACAGTGCCCTGGTGGGCAGGTACACCCCACCATGTGGCCCTCCCAGAGCTCTCCACTGGGGGTTGACCTTGGAGCCTGCCCTGGTATCTGTGCTCCAGCCCCTTCGCTATGAGATGAGCACCACCTTTTCCATTTCTCAGATTGAAGCCAGCGGGGAGGTGGGGAGAGTGGGGCCCTGGTCACCCCGGAGGACCTGCCAGCTGTCCAAAGGTCTCTGAGTGCTTCGCCAGGGCAGGTGCCCCAGGAGAGGAATGCCAGCAACTGGGGTGTGGCCTGTGCCACCTGACATTCGCCTGCCCGGCCCTCACAACGCTGGGAGTTTCCCAGGCATGGTGCTGGGGAGCTGGGTCCAGCTGGGCTTCAATACTTGTCCTGCCTGGACCTTCTCAGAGCTTTGGCTTCCTCTTCTTGGCAATGAGGCTGATAATTTACCCTCTTTACAGAGCCATTGGGTGGTCCGTTCAGCAGCAAACATTTATTGGACACCTGCCGGGTGCCAGGCCCTGTGCTGGGCTGGATGTGGGGTGGCTGTAGGGCAGCAGGTGGCTGGGGTCCTCTGCGCTTGGAAGGAGATGCAGCTGCCCCAGCCTGGGCATACAGCAGGCACAGCAAGCATACCAGATTTTCCTTGAATTCTCAACAGGTTGCACATGCACCCTTGTCCCATCCTCATGGCAACTTCTTGGGACCCCAGCCCTGAGAGGCAGCCCACCCCTCTGCTGGCCTCCTACCTCTACCCTGGGCTTGCATTTGAGGAACAAGCCCTATCAGCGCCTATAGCCTCTGCCAACAGTCCCCGCATGGCCTGTGGGCCCCTGGGAGCTGCCCTGAACTAGCATTTCCATTTCCCTTTCTTCATCAAAGAGGTGGCTGCCTTTGCGCTGTCAGTTTGCCTTCACGCTAAGGCCTTGCAGCTTTAGCTCAGGGTTGGTTCAGCCTGCTTGTCCCTAGCTGGATGACGGCAGTCACCCTGATAGCACAGGGGATTTCAGGGTGGAGCCCTGTGGAAGCTCCAAGCTCCCTTTGAGCCAGGAGGTCCCAGGCTCCCCACTTGCTAGCTGTGGAATTTCAAGCCTAAGTTTCCTCTTGGTCTCAGTTTCTAGATCTGTAAAATGAGGCTAATCTACTACTCGCTGGGGCTGTTGTGAGCGTTAAATGTACCTTAGCTGGGGCCAGCACGCAGTCGTGCTTGATAGAAAGAAATAGATGCATTTAAGCTGTTATGAATATTCTGCAAGACTTCAGCGCTTTGCCCACCCAGCATCCCTTCTCCTCCTTCCAGCCACTCCTTCCTTCCAGAGTGTGCTGTGGGTGGGGCATGTGACCTGGTCCTAAGCCACGTCCCCATGCCATCCGCTGGCGTCAGGGATTGGCTGGGGGATGGACAGGTGATCTACTCAGCCAATGAGCTGTGCTGGGGGTTTTTCCGGTAATATCGAGAAATAGATTCTTGCTCCTTGAATAGGATTTGAAGCTGAGTGACTTTCTTGGACCATAGGGAGAAACCTTGTCTGAGAATGAAGCCAACAACCTTGGGGTCATCAGTTGAGCCCAGAGCAAGCTGTTCCTGAAGCGCATATGTGGGATTTTTTCACCCATCCATGCAATATTTATTGAGTACTATTGTGCTAGGTACCACTCCAGTTGCTGGGGTCGCAGCTGGGAACAAGATAGTTCCTACCTCACAGATGACACAGTCCTGCTTAAGACCTTTGCTGGGAATGCTCTTCCCCCAATATCTCCGTATCTCCGTGGCTCTCTCCTACATCTCCTTCAAGTCTTTTTTTTTTTTTTTTTTTTTTTTTTTTTTTTTTTGTGAGACGGAGTCTCACTCTGTCACCCAGGCTGGAGTGCAGTGGCGCAATTTCAGCTCACTGCAGGCTCCGTCTCCTGGGTTCACGCCATTCTCCTGCCTCAGCCTCCCGAGTAGCTGGGACTACAGGCGCCCGCCACCACGCCCGGCTAATTTTTTGTATTTTTAGTAGAGACGGAGTTTCACCGTTAGCCAGGATGGTCTCGATCTCCTGACCTTGTGATCTGCCTGCCTCAGCCTCCCAAAGTGCTGGGATTACAGGCGTGAGCCACCTTCAAGTCTTGATTCACAGGTTATCCCCTCCGAGGCATGCCCTGACTGGCTCAAAATTACATGCTCAAGACCTCGCCTACCCTTTCTGATTTATTTTACTCCTTAGCACCTGTAACCATGTGACATACTCTATGAAATATTTATCTATTTTGTTCATTCTCTGTCTCTCCCACTAGAATGTCAGCTCCATGAGGGAAGAGATTTTCATGTGCTGTTCACTGCGGATCCATAGAACAGAGTACCCGGAAAAGAGTCTGGCATAGAACGGGTGTTCAGTATTGAATAAATAAGTAGCCAGGGGTCTCAGGAGGTGGCAGTGCCATGGCAGTTTGAAGGCTTCCGAAGGAGCCATCCACTTGAGAAGCCCCCAGGGGAGAGCACAGCATGTGGCTGCTGTGGTCAAGCAATTCTTTTCTGACTTAAACCAGCTGGATTAATTTTTTTTATTTCAGGGCAGGGCGGTGGTCACTTTCAGCCTTCAGGGACGCCTGAGTTGTGCTTGGCAGCCTGCAATACTGGAGAGCTGCCCCTGGAGGGCGCAAGGGAATCCCGTTGCTGCACTCGGACGCGCAGTCACTAGACATGAGAGATGACGGTGGTGGTAGCAGTAATGGAGCATTTGCCTTTAGGCCTCTTTTAACTTTCACAACAGCCTACAAGACAGGTACCATTATCCCCGTTTCCTAAGGGAGGAAACCAAGGCGCAGAGAGGCTAAGTAACGTGCTCACGGTCCCTCAGGGTTAAGTGGCAGAACCAGAAAAGAACCAGAAGGAAAGGAGATACAAGTCACCATTTTTGGCCTGGCGCGGTGGCTCACGCCTGTAATCCCAGCACTTTGGGAGGCCGAGACGGGTGGATCACGAGGTCAGGAGATCGAGACCATCCTGGCTAACGGTGAAACTCCGTCTCTACTAAAAATACAAAAAATTAGCCGGGCGCGGTGGCGGGCGCCTGTGGTCCCAGCTGCTTGGGAGGCTGAGGGAGGAGAACGGCGTGAACCCGGGAGGCGGAGCTTGCAGTGAGCCGAGATAGCGCCACTGCAGTCCGGCCTGTGTGAAAGAGCGAGACTCCGTCTCAAAAAAAAAAAAAAAAAAAGTCACCATTTTTCTGTACACCCAGAGGGAATCCAGGAGGGGCCCTGGATGGACCTGTTTCCTTTGGGGCTCATTGCACTGGGGTGTATCTCCTCTCGGGCCTGCTGGAGCCTCCACCCTATCTCCCTGCTGCACGTCTCCCAGCAGTGGCTTGTGTTCTCTTAACTGTGCAGCCAGATTGGACCTGCTCAGCTCCAGGTGAAATGGACAGAAAGCCCATCCCTGCCCGGTCTGAGGATTGGGAAGCCTTCCTGGAGGAAAACACGCTTAATTGGAGACCTGAAAGAGGACTAGGAAATAGGCAGGTGAAGAGGTGTGGGCAAAGACCTGAGGATATGGGGGTGACTGATGAATTTCTTCGAGGCTCTTGGCATGAGTAGAGTGAATGTTTACCCCAACCCGATGAGGCAAAGGCACCGCAACTTTCCTAGCCCACATTTCCATCCGTTTGCCCTTTACTGTAAACATTCAAAAGATGCATCCACCTCCTTCCACTCTGGCAGAACAGAGGACCTTATCTGCATGCCAATCTCGGATTATCTGTAGCCCAATCTCAGAGCTGTCTGAGCACTGGGCTTTGTAGTTTCCAGACCAGCCTCTGGGACAGGAAGTGGGGGGCTCAAGGGTTGTAGGGCCAGTGCCTTGCAGAGGCTGGGAATCCCCTTCTCAGGACCTGAAGACCCTGGAAACTGGAAGCCCCCCACCCACACAGAGGCACCCTGTCCCATAGCTGGCTCAGCTTCCAGCTCCCTGGGGCGCTGGCCTCCTTCGGGGAGATATTTTACAACCAAAGTTTTCTTCTTTTATGTCCAGCAGCACGTGGGTGGGGTCAGGCTGCCTGGGCTGCAATCCCACCTGGCCACTTGGCATCTCTTAACCTCTCTGGGCTTTACTTACCTTATCTGGAAAATAGGTTGAATGGCTTATTAATTGTGATGTGCGTACAGCAATGTCTGGCACATAATCAGTGCGACTCTCATTATTGTAGTATGAATGTGATTTGATGCTGTAATTTCTCCTCTCTTCAGGGTGCCGGTGTCTTTTTCTCTCAATACTCCAAGAAATGAGCGTCCAGCATGGATGTGAAGGGATGCTTGCTGCACCTGGAGTTTCAAGATGCCGCTGGGGAAAAGGGAGGCTGCTAGCAAACACCATTTTGGAGGGGGCTGTATGAAGGAGAAAAGTAGCCTAGAGCCGGAACTCAGATTTTCTAAAGGGGATTCAGGCGGCCAGAGGATAGTAGAGGGCCAGAAAGGAGGTCCCCAAGGAGGCTTCGGGGTAGGGTGTGAGGGGATCCTCAGGCAGACTGGGGAGCTGAGCCTGTTGTAACCGAGCGAGTTACAGAGAAACGCCGCACTTTGAGACGAATTCAGGGGTCCTTTATTAGCTGGCGACTGAGAGACAGCTAGTGCTCAAAATTCTCTCAGCCCCAAAGAAGGGGCTTGATTTTCTTTTATACTTTGGTTTAGAAAGGACAGGTGGGGGTCTAAAACAATCTTACAGAAGTAAAGCAGGCAAAAAGTTAAAAGGATAAATGGTTACGGGAAAGCAAACAGTTCCAGGTGCAGGGGCTTAAAATCTATCACAAGGTGATAGACACGGGGCTTTGGGCGTTATCAACCGGACACAAACGCCGGGGCTCTGGGTGCTATTAACCGGGCGAATTCCTGGGAACTGCGGATATAGCTTGCCACAGTATCTTATCAGTTAATTGCATTCTTGGATGTGCTGGGAGTCAGCTTGCACAAATTAAGTCCTTGAGGAAGCGGGGTGGGTAAGGGGCTGCAAATGAAAGAGCCAAGATGGAGTCTGTCTGGCTCTCTTAGCTAAGGGAGAGTCAATTCAGGTTAAAACAAGGTAGGGTATCACAAGCCCACTTAACAAGGGCAGCAGGACCCCAAGAAGAAAAGCTTTAGGAGTCTCCACAGTGGGCCCAGGGCAGTTCCACACAGGTCTCTGAGGCCCCACAGACAGGAGAGCTGTGACGACTCCCTTAGTGCCCAAGAAAGCAAGGAGGTGGTGGGCAAGGGGCTCCCAGAGGCCTTGGGGCACTAGAGGGGAGATGGAGCCGAGGGAGTGGCTCTGCAGGCCCCTCTCTGAGAGAGTGCATGAGGTGTGGCCCCAGGCCCAAGGGTAGGGGGTGCACAGGGTGAGGGAAGGGAGGAGAGGAAGAGGAGGAGGAGGTGGTGGCCACAGCGGGATGGCACTCAGCCAGGTTCAGCTTCGTGGGAAAGGTCCCAGGTGGGCCGGGCTAGCACTGGGGATGCCCTGGCTCTGTGTCTCGGTTGGGTGGCTGACTCCTCCTGGAACGCATCCCTGACATCCTCCAGGCTGGCTTGGGGATACTCTGGGGACACACAGTGCCCAGGCTTCCGGCCTCCCAGCCCTGGCTCCCTGTGGACTCAGCTGCCCCCAACAAGCCTGCGAGCCACTGGAGAGCAAGGGCAGGCTGTCCTTGCCATCCAGATGCCTGGCACAGAAGGGGTTCTCACCTTCGGGGTATGGGCTGACTCAGTGGGTTTCTCCTCCCTCCAGCTCTAACCTGCCTGTGGAATAAACAAATCACTCCTCTGGGTTGTCTAGCTGGTGCAGGCCCCAGGGCGACGCCCCTTTGAGGGGAAAATGGGGGCATTCCAGTTTCCATGAGCCCTGGGACTCCCCTCCTTCCCACCACTGCTGCCTACCCTCCGGTTCCAGGTATGCAGGCTTCCTCCCTTCTGACGGTTCCTGCTGCTGGAGTCGTCCTTCCTGAAACCCTGCCTTTGCTTAGCCTCATTCCCATCTCTCAGTCCCATCCTGCAGCTGGGCAGGCAGTGCTGGGCCCCGGAAATGCCCTCTGCCTCCCTGGAGCACGTGGCCTGTGATTTTCCTTGAGCACAGCACTTTGTGACTTTGATGTAAACATCAAACACAGCCCCCTTTCCTGTCTTCGCATCCAGGAAATAGGTTAGTTTCAGACAAGCCTGCTTGCCGGAGCTCAGCAGACACCAGGCCTTCCGGGCAGGCCTGGCCCACCGTGGGCCTCAGAGCTGCTGCTGGGGCATTCAGGTAAGCGGCTGTCCTCGGGCCTTCTGCCTGTGTCCTGCCACCAGGGCCACCCCAGGGGGCTCTGGGAGACCTGGCAGAGGATGAACCCCCCCCATCCATGAGTGAGAAACCCTGGCGGGGTGTGACATCCTCCCCCGGGGTGTGTGCGGAGAGTGTGAGCGGCAGGGCCTCCCTCTCAGGCTGGGGGCTTGGGCTGCAGGGAAATCCAAACCGGCTTTGTAAGCCCCGATTCCTCACCCAGAACCGGCTCTCCATTGGCATTGGGACCAGAGACCCCGCAAGTGGCCTGTTTGCCTGGACATCCACCTGTACGTCCCCAGGTAAGTGGTGCCTGGGTGGAGTGGCACCTGGCCACCGTCTCCATGGTGGGCTGTGTCTGGAGGAGGAAGACAGAATATTAACTGGGAGTCAGGAGGTTGCTGGGAGGACCAGGAGAGCTGGAGGACTGGGCTGGGTGGTGACTGGCTGGAGATGGAGGCAGACGGGGCTTGTGGCCACGCTGAGGGAAGCAGCTCCCCCTCCAGAGGCTTGGCCGAGCGGGGCTGTTCAGGGGACACGGTGAGGCCTGCTCAGTCCCTGGGCTCCTGCTGGGCCCTGTTTGGCTGCATCCTTGGCTCTCGGAGGCAGAGAAACCTCCAGAGAAAGCGCATGTGCACTCTGTGAAGATGAGGGGGCTGCTCACCAGGGCCGTGAGCTCCATCAGCAGAATGCTGTGATTCCTGTGAGGAGTCCAGGGCAGGCTTGAGCCACTTGTAGGCGAGCTCAGGTTAGAGGAAGACCTGGAGAGAGAAAGAGCAAAACACCGAGTTCTCCTCAACTGCTGTGTGTTCTCGGCAAGTTGCTTGGCCTCTCTGACCTCAGTTTGTGCATCTGTTAAATGCACATGCAGATATGGGCACCTGGCAGGCGCCTGGTTCCTGACTGTTGGCGAGAGGCTGGGAAATGTGTCCCAGGTAGGAAGCATCCCCGACAGGAAGGAACAGGAGTTCATGAGGTGAGCAGCTCGAGATGATTCATTACTCTCGTCTTGGTTGGAACAGTAGGCAGACAGGAGGTGTTTAATAATGCCTTGCTGAGAGATCAGGGTCAGGGACTCCTAAGGTGCCACCTGTGAAGCTGCCTCCTGCTGAATCCAGAGCTTCCTTTTCCTCTTCACACCTGCCCTCCATCCTCAGCCCCACTGCCCTGGCAGTGTTGCGGGGGTGGTGTTGATGTGCACACTCTGGAGCCTGGGGGCCTGGCTTCACATTCTGGCTCTGCCACTCACCAGCTGTGTGACTGGACCAGTCACCGCATCTCTCTGTGCTTCCCTCCCAGGGCTCTCGGGAGGATAAAGAGAGTGACTGTATCCACACTGCCCGGCACATACAGGTGCTGCAGAAAGGTCTCACTAAAACCCTCATTATCCTCACTAGCTCTGGGTGGCCTCGGGCTCTGGACTCCACAGTTCCTGTATGCTCTCCGGGGCTGCAGCACCCAGACCACCCCGTGCTGACCACTCCCTGCCCCACCCCAAGGTACAGGGTTAAGGCAGCCATTCTCATCAGAGCCAATTTTACCTCCTCCCGTCTCCCTGGGACAGTTGATAGTGCCTGGAGACAGTTTGGGTTGTGACCCAGCGGGTGTTACTGGCATCCAGCATGTCCAGGACAGGAATCCTGTGAACAGCCTACAAGGCCCAGGACAGTCCCACCCTGTTCCATTGTCTCTATCAGCCCCTATCCTCCTGACTCACACCGCCTTTTCCCATCTCCCTTTTACAGTCACAGAGCCTGAGGCCCAGAGAGGGACCGCTGCTTGCTGAGGTCACACAGGCAGTGGAGGCCGGAGTTGGGGGCCTCACTGGAGGGGCGGTGGAAGGGCATTGTTCAATCAACAGACACTTGGAGAGTGTGCTGGGTTGGGGAATCTGACCCTGACCCCGCACCAGCCCAGCTCTCCAGGGTCTCCTAATAGACATTTGCTGGAGTGGTTAGTGCTGGCTGCTGCATTGGACAGACCTGAGTTCAAATCCTGGTGGCCCCTTGCAGGCTGCATGTTCTGAGAGTGACATTGACCTCTCCGAGCCTCAGTTTCTTTAGCTGAGGAGTGGGATAACAGTTCCCACCAAATGTAGTTGTGGTGAGAATTAGAATAAATGGCTAATGCTCGCAAAGGGTAGTGCAGTCCCCAGCACAGAGGCTGTTGTGATTGTCCTTACACACTTGACAAATATTTGTGGGGAGGAAGCAGGAGCTTCCATAGAAAACAAGACAGAGCCGTGGGCCCTGCCTCGGGGAGCTCAGCCTGGTGAGGGACTGAGGAGCAGAGACAGAGGCCATCAGGGCTGTGATGTGGGAGGATGGGGACCCTGGAAGCCTAGGGGAGGTGCCTGACCCAGGCTGGGGAGGGGGCAGGGCTCATGGAATGCTTCTGGGAGGATGGGACAACGGAGGAGGCCTGAAGCCGGAGGCCCAGTAGAAGGATGCAGCGCAGTTCTGGGCTGAGGGAATAGCCTGTGGCCAGGATCCTCAGGATGGGCCCCTCCTCTCCCGCCATCCTCCACCCAAGGAAGCCCCTGTGGCCCCTCACCCCTTCCCAGGTGTCAGGTTCCACCGGTGCTCAGAGGCATCCCCACCCATCCCAGTGGACTGCAGACCTTTGTAGGTACCTGGTATATTGAGCACCTCCTCTGTGCCATGCTGGTATAGGTAGGAGAACAAGACAAAGGCTCCACTCCCGTGGTGCTTACATTCTGGCAGGGACAAAGGTACTATGTCACCAATAGATACAATATCATCTTTTAGGTGGTGAAGAACAACAAAGCTGGGTCAGGGCTAGAGAGAGAAGGAGAGGCTATTTTGGAGAGGGAGGTCAGGGAAGGCCTCCTGGAGGAGGTGACTTAGGCAGAGACCTGAATAAAGTGGAAGGTGTTGGAGGAAGAGTCTCCAGGCAGAGGGAACAGACAGTACAAAGGCCCTGAGGCTGCACCATGCCTGGTTTGTCCGAGGGACCTGAACGAATAACATGAGGAGGCCCGTGTGGCTGGAGGGGAGTGAGTGGCGGGGGGTGGTGATGGGCATCATGAAGGGCCTTGGGGGCCACCCTGAGGACTTGCATTTTCACCCCGAGTGAGGTGGGAGCCTAGAGGGCTTCAAGCAGAGAAGAGGATGTGATGGCATGACGGGGGCCAGCAAGTCTCACCCCAGGGAGTCCCTGCAGCCCCAGTGCTGGACACCTTCACTGGCCCTGCTTTCCGGAGGAGGTCTGGCGAGCTTCACTCGCTGCTGAGGCTGCACTGTGACCATGTGGTGGGTCCACGATTCCATGATTTGAATCCAATCCCTGCAGTCAGGAAAGACATATGAAGGAGGAGCCTGCAGCCATGGCTAACTGCGGCTGTGTGGCTCATGGCGTCACCAAGCTGGCGTGTGCTGACGACCAGTGCCTATGCTGCCTCTGTTGGTGGGCACAGGCGGCCCGAGCACAGCTGGGGGATTAAGGAGCAGGGAACATGGCTTCAGAGGGACTTAGGGTCTCAGGTGAGGACTAGGGGTTCAGAGAGAGAGAGCCAGGAGCTGGAGTGGGAACAGGGTGGTGGGGGGGCAGTAGGAGGAGGTGGGGCGGTGAGGGGCTGGGGCCCTGCTCCTGCAGAGCCTTGGATGGGGACATGTCAAGCCTCTGGCTGGGGGGACATGCGGAGCCTCTGGCTGGGGAGACATGCGGAGCCTCTGGCTGGGGGGACATGCGGAGCCTCTGAGCCTCTGGCTGGGGTGACATGTGGAGCCTCTGGCTGGGGGGACACGAGGAGCCTCTGAGCCTCTGGCTGGGGGGACACGTGGAGCCTCTGGCTGGGGGGACATGTGGAGCTTGTGCTGCTCCTGCCCGCTCCCACCAGGTCCAGTGGCTTTGGTGTGATACCTCTGCTCTGACGATGGGCATGTAATGGGGGCTTCTGATGCCCAGGGAATGTTCTGTGAAACAGTAGACCTTCAAGGCTTTGCTGAATAGGTGTGGGAATTAAGTGACGCTGAAAGAGGTCCTTCCATGTGGTCTTCTCGGAGCCTTTAATGTGCTTTTCACAGCATTTGAAACTGTATTTGACCCCTTGACTCTTTTTTCCTTTGAAGCATGTTTGGGGAATCTGATCTCTCTGGAACAGCTGTAATCTAGCACTGCCTTTACCCAGGGAGGCTGGGTGAATGGTGGGATTCCAGGCAGGTCCTTCTGACCAGGCTCCAAGGCTTCCTCCCATCATCCTCCCAGGGCCTGGGCTGTGAGTGTGGGGCAGGTGCCCCGTGGCTGCTCTGCTGTGATCTCTGTGCTGTGATCCAGGGGCTGTAAGTTCTGGGAAGGCCAAACTAGGATCTCTGAACTGTGAGCTCAAGAGGAAGCTGACTGGGGTCAGCCTAGGGAGAACCATAGGCCAGGCTTGGGGAATGAACAGGCTCACTGGGGACTGAGGGACGCGGCTCCTAACCCAAGTCCTGTCCGTCGGGATGGCCCAGGCAGGTCGAGGGCTGGGGTGGGTCTCATGGTGGGTGTGTCTTCTGGGAGGGCCACGAGTCTGCAGGGACACAGCTGAGAACAGAAACATTTGATCCCCTGCCTGGGGTCTGGGGTCACCCCGGGGAGCTCTAGATCGGTGCAGCTCACTGACAGCAGACACTCCGGCTAGCCGCTGCGTGGCAAATGCTCCCACCTCTTGCCCCCGGACTTTTCATCTCTGCCACCTCTGCCCACCTTCTCTGGCCTCCCCAGCATCTCTGGCCATGGGGTCCCTGGGAACTTGGGCCCCATGTTTTACTAGTGAGGACAGTCCAGAAAGGCCCCAGGGGTGGAAGAGGAGGCGCCCACCACCCGACCTGTGTGTGTGGGGTGGTGCTTGTGATTACCGTTGTCCTTGTGGGCAGTGGGACAGGGAAGCTGGGACGCAGCCGAGATGCACAGGAAGAGAGCCTGCCTCTGGGACTCCTTAGCCTCGGGTCATGGATGGCAGCCCTGGGCTGGGCACTGAGCCTCCCTCATCTCCTCTTCTGCCCTAACCCACTTCTAGCTACCCAGGCTGCACCTGCGGCCACGTGGGGAGGAGCTTCTCAAACTGTGTTGGCGACAGTTTCCTGCCACAGCTTCCTGCCCCAGAGACCAGCTTTGCTACTCTGCACCCATGGTCCTTGGACAAGCCCTCAGTTTTCTGCCTCATCCTGCATCCTCATGCTTTATGGGAGTGGCTCCATGAGTCTTCAAGGATGGGCTGGCTGGGTTGGAGAAGATGGAGGGGAGAGGGAAGGGTGCACTAGGTGGAGGGTGCTGTGTGGATGAAAGTATGAACATCCATTTGAAGGAAGGCAAGTAGCACAGCTCAGCTGGGGCAGAGGGCTGGGGAGATCCAATGCAGTAGCCATTAGGGTCTTGAGCAAGGGAGGCCTTGGGGAAGAATTGCCAAGGAGCAACTTGCAGACTCTGGGGCTCAGCTCTGTGGAAATAGACTGTGAGGTTCAGCCAGCCACAGGCAGCATGAGCATGCCATCTGGATCTTAGGTTGGTTGTATTAATGGAAACAGTTGGTGGAGATCAAAGGAGATGATGCCAGCACCAACCGACCTCAGTCGGGCGAGAGATCTGGGCTCTGGGAGAGGTGGGTGTGGCAGCATGTACAGCTACTGACAGGATGACCCAAGTAAGGGGACGGGGGTGGGGGAAGGAGAGTGAGCAGGATGGTCAGAGGGCAGAGGCAAGCCAGGGAGTTTGTGAAGGACCAGAGAGGTCTGTGGGGCTCAAGCAGGAGGGAGGAGTCATAGGTGTCGGCCATTCAGGGGGCCCAGGATTGAGGAGGTCACAGAGTGCTTGTCTGGTGCCTACAGACTGCCAGGGGTGCTATCAGTGCTGGAGAACAGCCTGGGGGGGGGGCGCAGACCAGGTCTGGCTGAGAGGCTGGGAGTCAAGGACATAGGGACAGGAGTGTAGACAGCCCTTAATCACTTTTCCTATTTTCATTAGCATTTTTAGTGTCCATTGTGTCTGTATCTTCCAGTTCCTTTCCCCCTTAATTAAAAATTTGGGGTATAATTTACATGCAATAAAATTTTTATATCATTTTAGTGAAAAATTCTGAGATTTGACAAATGCATACAGCCCAGAGACTACCACCACATCAATCAAGATACAGACTATTCCCCCAAATTCCGTCCTGCCCTCTGTCGTCACTCCTTCTCCGGCCCCCAGCACCCAGCAACCTCTGGTGCGTTTTCCGTCCCTATAGTTGTGTGTGGAATCACACAATTCGTAGCCCTTGGAACCTGGTTTCTTTCATCCAGCCTGAGGCCTTTGCGATGCGTTTGCGGAACTGCGTGTCTCCGTATGCTGTTCCACTTACCGCGGAGTAGAATTCCACTGTAGGCATGTCCCACAGTGTATCTTATTCATCTGTTGGGAAACATGTAAGTTATTCCTAATTTTTGGCAACTGTGGCTAGTACGGCTATAAATGTTCCTGTGTAGGTTTTTGTGTGAATGTAAATTTCCATTTCTTTAGAGTGAATACCTAGGAGCCTTCATGGGTTTTTTTGTTTTGTTTTGTTTTGTTTTGTTTTGAGATGGAGTTTTGCTCTGTTGCCCAGGCTGGAGTGAAGTGGTGCGATCTCGGCTCACTGCAACTTCCACCTCCTGGGTTCAAGCGATTCTCCTGCCTCAGCCTCCTGAGGAGCTGGGACTACAGGCGCCCACCACCACGCCCGACTAATTTTTTTGTATTTTTAATAGAGACGGGGTTTCACCATGTTCGCCAGGCTAGTCTCAAACTCCTGACTTTAGGTGATCCGCCTGCCTCGGCCTCCCAAAGTGTGGGCCACCGGGCCCAGCCATTAATTTTTGTATCTTAATGGAGACGGGGTTTCACCATGTTGGCCAGGCTGGTCTCAGACTGCTGGCCCCATGTGATCCACCCGCCTTGATCTCCCAAAGTGCTGGGATTACAAGCGTGAGCCACTTCGCCCAGCCGCTTCATGACTTTTTAAAAACACTCTTGTGGAATGGTGACCTTTTTCTCCAGGTGGAGCCACAAATGCAGTCCCTTATGAATCTCTGGAACACCCACCTGTCTGTAACTGTTGGGACATCCAGGACCCCCCTCAAGCTTGGCCCTCCCAACCTCACTGTCACAATCAATCGGGTTACAGTGCAGATCCTGGCCCCTCCTCTAGCTACTCTGACCCAGACTTCACCTGATTCCCATTCCAGTACCTTCCTTTCAGCTCCAGAGCCCATCTCTGGACACCCAGGGCAGAGGGAGCTTTCACAAAAGCATTCATTTTACCCCTTGGTTGCATTTGCATAACTAAGAAGGGCACTCAAAGTCAATTCTCCAATGCAAACTTATGCCTGAGTAGCCTTGCTGGGCCTATGTTAGTAGAGAAACAACTCAGAACCGCTATGGAGAGGTATTTTTTCCCAACATTCTATGAAAACTTACAAATATGCAGAAAATAGAAAGAATTAACTGTACACCAATAACTCACCTGCTAGATTCTCCAGTTTATGATTTGCTATAATTGCTTTATCACATACAGTTGATCAACACTGCGGAGTTCTTATTTGTGAGTTTGCCTACTTGTTAAATTTATCTGAAACCCTAAAACCAACATGGCACTTTTGTGGTCATTCTCAGACATACAGAGTGGCAAAAATATGAATCACTCGATACACATTTTCCCACCGAGGCTGCACAAGGCAAACACTCTCATGCTGCAGATAAGTGTCTTTTTCATGTTCTTTTTTTTTGAGACAGAGTCTCACTCTGTCGCCCAGGCTGGAGTGCAATGGCGTGACCTCAGCTCACTGCAAGCTCTGCCTCCTGGGTTCATGTCATTCTTCTGCCTTGGCCTCCCGAGTAGCTGGGACTACAGGCGCCCGCCACCATGGCTGGCTGATTTTTTTTTTTTTTTTTTTTTTTTTGTATTTTTAGTAGAGACAGGGTTTCACTGTGTTAGCCAGGATGGTCTTGGTCTCCTGACCTTGTGATCCACCCGCCTCGGCCTCCCATAATGCTGGATTAGAGGCGTGAGCCACCGCAGCCGGCCAATCTTTTTCATGTTCTATTTGGTGGTGCCACATATTTTGTTTTTTTATTTTATCTTTTTTTTTTTTGAGATTGCTGTCTCGCACTGTCGCCCCAGCTGGAGTGCAGTGGCAGTGGCGCGATCTCAGCTCACTGCAACCTCCGCCTCCCAGGTTCAAGCAATTCTGCTTCAGCCTCCCGAGTAGCTGGAATTACAGGCACCTGCCACCATGCCCGGCTAATTTTTTGTATTTTTAGTAGAGACGGGGTTTCACTGTGTTGGCCAAGATGGTCTCGAATGCCTGACCTTGTGATCCACCTGCCTTGGCCTCCCAAAGTGCTGGGATTACAGGCGTGAGCCACCACGCTCGGCCTATTTTATCTTTTTAAAGACAGAGTTTCGCGCTTGTTGCCCAGGCTGGAGTGCAGTGGCCTGATCTCGGCTCAATGGAATCTCCGCCTCTTGGGTTCACGAGGTTCTCCTGCCTCAGCCTCCCAAGTAGCTGGGATTACAGGTGCCCGCCACCACCTCTGGCTAATTTTTTGTATTTATGGTGGAGACGGGGTTTCACCATGTTAGCCAGGCTGGTCTCGAACTGCTGGTCTCAAGTGATCCACCCGCCTTGGCCTCCCAAAGTGCTGGATGACAGGCATGAGCCGTTGCACTCGGCCTCACATATTTTGAATGTTTGTGCTTTTTGTTGGTGATTTCAGTGGTTGACATGGCCCCCAACCATAGTGCTGAAATGCTATCTAGCATTCCTAAGGGCAAGAATGCTGTATGTGCCTTATGGAGAAAACATGTCAGATAAGCTTATAGTTATAGTGCTGTTGGCTAAGAGTTCAATGTTAGTGAATCAACCATGTCTATTAAATAAGGTGCCTTTAAACAGAAACTCACAAAAAAACAAGGTTATGTCTTGATCAGTTGATGAAAATGTAAACAGTTTCCTAGGAACCTAACTCTGTATTTCCCCTAGGAGGGATAGTTCTATATTGCTAATTCAGTGTTTTCGTTGACTTTATAGAACTGCAGAGAATGACAGAAATCAACTGTGTCTATCTGGCTGTCTATCCTTTTATCCATCCCTCTCGCTCTGTTCGTCCATCGGTCAGTGTTATTTTTGGGATGCTCTCAAATTAGATTACAGTCCTCAGTTCCCATCACTCCTAAACATTTCTGCAAGCAGATCGTTACCTAGGGTTCAATATTTTATGTTTCTTTTTTAATTGAGGGAGGGCAAATACAATGGAATGAACACATCTTAAGTGTACATTCTCTTAGTTTTCGGAAAATCAGACACTTGCATAACCCAAGCCCTGTGAATATACAGGACGTCACCATCACCCCAGAAAGTTGAGGGCAGGCAATTTTAAGTTATCTGCCTTACCAGATATCCATCTGTCTAAATAGCCTTAATTCCTCCTCCCCTCAATCACACGTTTTGTTTAATAGCTGTATCAGAGTTCACTTTGAGATTAAACCCTAATGCATTTAACCAGTCCCCTAGGGATGGATATTCCAATTAGCGTATGCTCTGTAGAAACTTGCCAAGGAAGGCAGAGGGCAGGGCGAGGGGTGCCTGCTAAGGCCGAGGGGAAAGGGTCAGCGGAAGGGACAAGGGAGGCTGAGGGGTAGGGCCCTTGGGTGAGCAAAGCTGGGTGCGGCCTCAGGGCCTCTGCGCATGCAGTCCTCTCTGCCTGATGCGCTGTCCCGCGCGCTTTTTGAAAAGTTGGCTCCTCCTCCTTCAGCTCTCCCTTCAAATGCTAGCTCCTTGGAGAAGGTGACCATCCTAGCTAGAGCCACCTCTTCTCTCTCTTAATGTCACTCCACTTATTTCCTTTGTAATGCTGACCTCAATCTGTAATTATTATTTTTGTTTCTTTCTCAGTTTATCTCACGGCTCTCCCTCCTTAGAGTGTTGCCTTCGGGAGGACGGGGTGGGACCGCGCCTGCCTCAAGCGTGCATATCCCCAGCACCGGGCCTGAAACACAATAATTCAGCACGTGGTTGGGACATGAAGAGATGGGTACAGGTGTGGGTGCTTGGGGACCAGTTGGCGTGCTTGGGCGTCCACATAATGTCTCTGGAAAGTCAGATGGGGGTTTGGGACTTCTCGATCTGTGCCCAGCAGGCTGCGGCTTCTCTCCAGGTTGACTCTGGCACAGAGCAGGCTCTGCCCCCTTGGCGAGCTCAGTCTGCGGCACTGATGCCCTCCACTTGGCGTCTCTCGCGCCGTCTTTGGGCCCAACGCACCAGGTTCAGGAAGGCCCTGACGTGCCTCCGACCCTCTGTGAACCCGCAGGTTTCGGGAGGCCCAGGGGCGATGCCAGACCCCGCGGCGCACCTGCCCTTCTTCTACGGCAGCATCTCGCGTGCCGAGGCCGAGGAGCACCTGAAGCTGGCGGGCATGGCGGACGGGCTCTTCCTGCTGCGCCAGTGCCTGCGCTCGCTGGGCGGCTATGTGCTGTCGCTCGTGCACGATGTGCGCTTCCACCACTTTCCCATCGAGCGCCAGCTCAACGGCACCTACGCCATTGCCGGCGGCAAAGCGCACTGTGGACCGGCAGAGCTCTGCGAGTTCTACTCGCGCGACCCCGACGGGCTGCCCTGCAACCTGCGCAAGCCGTGCAACCGGCCGTCGGGCCTCGAGCCGCAGCCGGGGGTCTTCGACTGCCTGCGAGACGCCATGGTGCGTGACTACGTGCGCCAGACGTGGAAGCTGGAGGTGAGAGCGCAGCCTGGGGCGCGGGGTCTGGAGGGGCGTGGCCGAAGAGGGGCAGTCGAGGGTTTTGGGGGGATAGGAGGGAGGAAAAGGTCGTCTTCCCCATTCAGTCCCCTTTGGAAGCTGGAGAGGTGGGGCACTGGTTGGGGAAGAACCTGAAAGGAGGCCTCAGAGGCAGGGGCTCCGTGGTGGCGGTCGCCTTCCGCAGGCTGAGCGATGCTATGGTGCTCTACTATGCCAGATGGGAAGGTAGAGGGACGCACTGGGCCGGGCGAAGGCGAGGCTTGGAATGGGGGCGGGGCTGAGAGGAGGGTGCGCGGGGCTAGGGTGAGCCCTTAGGGTAGGGTGGCTGTTGGGGAAGATGGGCAGTAGTCGTCCACAGCCTGAGTGACACCACCATGCACAACTACCTGAATTAGGTCTTCAAGCTGGAGATGCGCTTGGGGCCGCGCTGGAAGGTGGGGGTGGTTCCTCCCTAGCTGGATTGGGGAGGGGACCACGGAGATGGCGCGGAGGTAGTCCTCGAAAACCTGCCTAACACGCGCTAGGGACGCCTGGGTGGGGTGGGGAGTCCTCTGGGACAGGGCTCCCGGAAGGGGGTTCCTGTGGCGAGCACTTGGCCACACCTACAGACCTCCTCGCCTCTCCTTTTCTAGGGCGAGGCCCTGGAGCAGGCCATCATCAGCCAGGCCCCGCAGGTGGAGAAGCTCATTGCTACGACGGCCCACGAGCGGATGCCCTGGTACCACAGCAGCCTGACGCGTGAGGAGGCCGAGCGCAAACTTTACTCTGGGGCGCAGACCGACGGCAAGTTCCTGTATGTGGGGCCCGGGATTTGGGTGCGGTGAGGATTGGGGCTCGTTGGCAGGGATCCTGGGGACTGGGGCAGACGTGAGTGTGCAGTTGGGCCGTAAGGGTGTCCCTGTGCTCACATGTGCAAGTGGGTTGTGTGTTTCTGATGTGCAAAGGGACTTGCACATGGGGAAGTAGAGGTAGTGACTAGGAAAGCCTCCAGACTCGGTCCCTTGGCCTGGCTTGGAATCCCGCTTCCGCCACCTGCTGGCTGTGGCCCTTGGGCAAGTAGCGGACTGTGGTTGCCTGCCTCAGTTTCCCCTCCTTCAATCAACAAATATTTACTGAATACCTACTGTGTACCAGGCACTGAGCACACGGCAGTGAGCCAAAAAGACACAGTGCCTGTCCTCATGGGGCAGGTAGACAAGAAAAGGAATCAATAAAATAGAGACCCTGTCAGATGGTGGTAAGCGCCGTGTGTGCAGGTGGGGAGGCGGTTGCAATTTTAGATTAGGTGGTCAGAAGAGGCCTTCCTGAGAAGGTGACTTCTGAGGAAGGGAAAGAAGCTGAGGAGTGAGCTGTGCAGCTTTCAGGGGGAAGGGTGTTCCTGGAAAATGCAATGGCAAGTGCAAAGATCAGGAGGCAGGAGTCTATTTGGCGTGTTCCAGAAACATTGTGGAGGCCATGTGCCTGGAGCTGAGTAAGTGAGGGGGAGAATGGGAGGAGGTGAGGGCAGGGCGGGGACTTTAGCTTTTCCCCCAAGTGAGGTGGGATCCCCGGGAGAGTGTTGAAGCAGCCCCCTCTAACTGTCCTGTGGTTGACAGCAGTACCTCCCCTCAGGATCCTCTATGAGGATTACATGAATTAATACGTGTGAATCGAGAGTATGGTAACTGACATAGGAAAAATGCGGTAAATGTTAGCTTTTATATGTGGGTGAACGTGCGTGTCTGAGCCACAGCTGAGGCCATGTAGCTATTTGTGAGTTTGTTAATGTGAAAAAAATCTCTGAAAATCTCTTTTTAAAACTCTGCTGAGTGTTTGACAGCCCTGCTGGGGCTGTTGCTCTCTGGTTTGGACACGGGATCTTTTCTGTAACAGATGGTATCCAGGTGCAGCTGAGGTCACTCAGGCCTCAAGACACAGATAAATTGGTGCTGCCTCTTTCCCATGACCTCAGGAAGCCCAGTGTTTTCCCCCAAGAAATCTGTGGGGACAATTCTTGGGCCTTCCTTCTCGTGAGTGCTTCTTGGCCTGAGCCCCTGCCCAGCAGATCCCTTGGGTCATCTGCCTCCCCCAGGGCTGTTTCCTCTCCTGAGGTCAACCCACTTGGAGGAAATGACCACATCCCTTGATTTTCCTCACCCATGTGAAGTTTCTGTAGATTGCCTGCAGGCCTCTTGCAAGATGCAGCTCCCTCTCCAAGATTCTGTTGTGGGCTGATAAAATAACTCTTTTCACCCTACCATACAGATTCAGATTTAGGCTGTAAATTGGAGTGGAGTTTCCAAGGCTTCTGAGGGAGCTCTTAGATACATGTTGCACGTAATACTCAGTTGCCGGCACAACTTCTGAACAGGACAGGGCTGTTTTCTCTAAGAGGAAACCTTTGCATTTGTATCAGTTAGCTTTTGCTACATAACAAGCAGCCCTAAGATTTATTGGCTCAAAATGACAGTTTATTGCTCTTCATGATTCTGTGAGCTAACTAAGCAGTTCTGGTTTGGGTCATCTAGGCTGGGCCTGAATAGGCTGGGATGGCCACACTCACATGACTGGCCATTGGCTCAGTGTCACCTGGGTGATGGGGATGAGCTGGCCCAGTGCAGCCATCATCCAGCAAGCTAGCTGAAGCTTGTTTGTGTGGTGGTGGTGCAGGGTTCCCAAGATCAGTCAGAGAGGACAGGGCAAGTTCAAGCCTTTGTTTGTGTAATGTCACTGATGTCCTAATGGACAAAGCAAGTCATACGACCAAAACCAAAGTCACTGTAGGGAAGGGATTCCTTAAGGGAGAGGAATGCAGGGAGCCATTTTTGCAAACGGTTGGTCGTAGGATTGGATGAAGCAAGTTGTCGTGAAGGTATGGGCATTGTGAACATGGGTGTTGGGGGCTGTCTCTCTTTCCTTTTGGACTGTCAGCCTGAGGGCAGGGCCTGCCCTGCTGCATCTGGAGGGCTCCATCTTGCAGTACATGGTGATGGCTGGTCCAGGTATTACCCACCTTCCTCCAGATGTTGCATCACCCCACCCCAGGTGTGACCCTCGCCAAGATGTTAGTAATGTTTGCTCCCACGTTCTCACATGCTCATATCCCCCTCGTCCATTACATGCTACCCCAGGTGCCTGAGAGTCCAGGGGCTCTCCCCAGGCTGGACACGCGAAGAAGGCTCTAAACCCTTCCTATTGATGTAGCTGATTCTTTCCTTCCGTCTCTGCTTTCTCTTTCATAAAATGTAAATTCATCTGTCTTCTTTGATTTTATAATCTGAGTTTCTTCTCTGTTTTCCCCCTACATCCCCAATGTAGCTTTTCATCCCCACCATCTCTGCCTCTCTTCTGTCTCAGTTTTCCTTTCTTCTTCTCTCTTTCCCTCCCCACCCCCATCTCTCTTCCTCATCTTGCACTCACACACACACATACAGGTCATGATTCTGCCACTCCAATGGCTTAAAAATTTCCCCCAGATTCCCTAAAGCCTCCTGAGAGTGGCAGAGGATTCTAGGGGGTGGGAGAGTGAGAGAAGGGTTGAGCAGGTGGGATTTGGGCCCCTGTTCCAGCTTGAATGACGACAGCCGCTCAGCTTTGATCTGTTTGCTATCTTAGGCTTCCACACACAATGTTGTGTGGCAGAGGTTTCACTGCCCAAAGGAAAAGTTCAAACAGTTTTTGTGTAACACAGCAGAGCTCATGACAGGCTTAGAGTCAACCAGTCTGCTGAGATTAGAGGAGTCTCAGGAGAGCCAGGGCCAACAGCTTTAAGCAGCTGTCTGTGCATTGCATATCAAACTGGCGTGCAGTCTCCCAGGCAAATAGGACAAGCGTTGGCGGTGGGAGGGTGTGGCTAGGAAGGAGAGATGCCCAGCATCTGGGCACAGCATAGAGCGTGTGGCTGGCAGTGAGGTCCACAGCTGGCACAGTGGTATGAGGACAATGACTCATTCTGGGTAAACGTCAAGAGACGAAGCAGCTACAAAGAGCCAGGCTCCTGGAAAATTAGGCAAGGTACGCTTTGGACAGAAACTGTGAGAGCTTCTTCTTGTGGTTCCTGTAGTCTATAACTGCTTTCTCAGGGCTTGGGGTGTGAGAGAAAGACACGTGCTACTCAGGCCTAGAGTGAAGACCAGGACCACGCCTACCATTGATCACAGTTCATGGTTGCCGAAGAACAGATTTAATTGTACCCAGGGCTGTGCACTGCCAATGCTGGCTTGTTTCTGTGTTATTGGCAGCAATTTTATGGAACCGGCTGATTCGACTTTAAAAGAAACTTGTCCTGGAAAGGGCCTTTAAGAGAGTACATTGTCAAGTGTTTCTTTTTTTGAGACAGAGTCTTGCTCTGTCACCCAGGCTGGAGCACAGTGGTGCAATCTTCGCTCACTGCAACCTCTGCCTCCCGGGTTTAGTGATTCTTCTGCCTCAGCCTCCCTGAGTAGCTGGGACTATAGGCGTGCACCACCACGCTTGGCTAATTTTTGTATTTTCAGTAGAGACAGGGTTTTGCCATGTTGGCCAGGCTGGTCTCGAACTCCTGACCTCAGGTGATCCACCCGCCTTGGCCTCCCAAATTGCTGGGATCACAGGCGTGAGCCACCGCGCCTGGCCTGTCAAGTGTTTCTTATCCTCTCCTGGACTGCAGACCTCTTTGGAATCCTACTGACTGCTCCTTTCACAATCCCCCAAAGCATATTCACCTCAAAGACTTTGCAGACAGTTATATGAGATCATGGTTGGTCCTGAACCTCGTCCTTAGAACCCTTTTCAGGTCAAGAAGTTATGATTTAGACCAGTTACCTCATTTTATACATAAGGAAACCGAGGCACAGCGAGGATAAGCAGTTTATTCAGGGTTTCACAGATAATCTGTGACAGAGCTGGGTGTTAGTCCTAGGTAGCAATTAACTGTAGAGTCAGAAATGCATTTGAATCCTGGCTCCCCCTCCTATCTCTTACCAACTCTGCAATTTAGGCAAGATACATAATCTTGTGCCTCAGTTTCCTCATCTGCAAAATGGAGATAACAATAGTGCCTACTTTGTGGGGAGTGCTGTGATTATAGGACAAATATGTGAGGAATTTAGAACCAATATCTTAATAAATAAATTGTAGCCCTTTTGTTTTGTTTTGTTTACAATCGTGAACCAGAGACAGATGTAGCTCTTATAGGTTCTATGTATTATTTTAAGAGCAGAGATACAAGTTGATTTTTTAGCCTGTACTTCTGGCTTAAGTGCAAGTTCCAACTGCAAGAACAAAGAACTGCCACTACCTAGCATTTTTTTTTTTTTTTGTAAATCAAGTAGAACTTATGGTACTGAAATATATGTGGTGATAACACCAATGTCTTAGCTTTTGTGGTTATTATCTGGGAATTTGCAGCTGCTCTTTATGAACTCACACATCTCTTTCCAAAGAGTGTATTGGTTAGCTTTTGCTGTGTAACAATGTGCTGTATTCATACCCTGAAATGTAGTGGCTTAAAACAATGGTCATTTACAGCCAAGTGTGATGGCTCACACCTGTAATCCCAGCACTTTGGGAAGCTGAGGCAGGCGGATCGTCTAATGTCGGGAGTTTGAGACCAGCCTGGCCAACATGGTGAAACCCTGTCTCTACTAAAAATACAAAAATTAGCTGGGCATGATGGTGGGTGCCTGTAATCCCAGCTACTTGGGAGGCTGAGGCAAGAGAATCACTTGAACCCAGGAGGTGGAGGTTGCAGTGAGCCAAGGTTGCACCATTGTACTCCAGCCTGGGCAACAAGAGCAAAACTCTGTCCCAAACAAACAAACAAACACCGATCATTTATTCACTCTTGTTTTGCTTGGCAATTTGGCTGGTTGCTTGGTAATTTGGGCTGAGTTCAGCTGGGTGCCTCTTCTGCTGGGTTTTTGAGCTTACTCATGTGGCCACAGCCAGCTGGAAGATTGGCTGGAGCTGGATGGTCTCTGGGATGGCCTCACTCACATGAATGGCTATTGGCCACTCATGTAGGGTGCCTTGGTTCTCCTCCATGGGCCTTCTCTAGCAGGCTAGCTTGGACTCATTCCCATGGTATTTGGAGAGCTGCCAGGAAAAGCAAGAGAGGGCAGGCCAACCTCAATGTTCAACCATTTTTCAAGCCTCTGCTTGTGTCATGTTTGCTAATGTCCTGTTAGCAAGGCACATGGTCAAGCCCTGATTCAGAAGACAGAGGAGGAGGCCCCACCTATTGATGGGAAGAGCTCCCTAATATTGTGGCTGTTTTCCCCCAGTATTCCACATGGAAGTTTAAATAAACAAATAAGGAGGAAATTATTAGTTCTAGAAGAAAGAATGAAAGAGACAGACAGACTTGGTGGCTCACGCCTGTAATCCCAGCACTTTGGGAGGCCGAGGCAGGTGGATCACGAGGTCAGAAGATTGAGACCATCCTATCTAACACAGTGAAACCCCATCTCTACTAAAAATACAAAAAATTAGCTGGGCGTGGTGGTGTGCACCTGCAGTCCCAGCTACTTGGGAGGCTGAGGCAGGAGAATGGCATGGACCCAGGAGGCAGAGCTTGCAGTGAGCCGAGATCACGCCACTGCACTCCAGCCCGGGCTGTGGAGCGAGACTCGGTCTCAAAAAAAAAAAAAAAAAAAAAGAGACAGAGGAGGGGAGATGGGAGGTTTGCTGTTTGCTGGTGAGTGGCTTGGCATGGAGTCTCTGTTGTCAGTTTAAAACTTCAGGTTGTGACCCTTAGGAGGTGTTTTCACTTCTCACAGTCCCTGGAGACCATCACCTCCAGGCCAGCCTGCCACCTGCCTCTGACTTCCACAGCTCTGAGACCCCCAGGGCCAATAGCCCTCCCTCCTCACTGGAAAGCTGCACTTAACAGGAGCTTGTGCCAGTGACTCAAAATAGAAATGTTTTGTGGGAGATGTTGACTGGTGTCACTGCGGGGTTTCACGTGACGGCGCTGCATCTGCTGTCCCAGCCTACTGTCTCTGTGGGATGTTTGTTTCCTAATTTGTGGTGGGTTCTCTTCCTTGCCCTTTTGTGTGCCCTCATTGCCCCCGCCCTGATTTCCCATCTCTCCATGTTATCTCCAGACTGTTGTGGGCTAGCCTGGGAACTGCCCCACCCTTCACTGCACTGTACTTCGGGGAACGTGCTGTCCAGGAATGGAGAGGATGGTCACAGCTGCACCTCTCTCCCTCACTCAGGGGACATTTCCTAAGGAAGGGCCTTATTGCAAGGTGGGCCCATGGCTGCCTTGCTCACTGCCATATCCCTGCGCTGAGAACAGTGCCTGGCCTGTCAGTAAAGACTTGTCCAGTGAATGAACATCCACAGGCAGGGCCAGGCCTGGTCTGAGAATTTGCACCTTGGAGGGTGCAGCTCGCAGGCCATCACAAGGGCTCTTCTGTAGTGCAGTGCAATCCCTGAGATCAGGAGTCGGCTGCTTCCGGCCTCCACAGCTTCCACGGGGCCAGCTGCCCTCCCTCCTCACTGTAAAGCTACACTTGACCCTGCAATAGAGGCTTGTGCCAGTGACCCCAGACAAAACTGTTGTGTGGGGGATGCTGACTGGTGTCACTGTGGGGCTTCATGCGAGGGTGCCGGTGTCTGACACTAAGTTGGTCTGTGTTGAGGGGGGATGTGTGTACTCAGGGCTGGAGCGGATGGGGGGACAGTTTCTTACCCCACAAATGCACCACCTTTGAGGGGCTCAATTCCCATCATAGACATGGAAGATTTATATATTTATATTGACAAAATTCCAGCAGAAGGCAATCGAGGGTCTCATTCTAGGAAAGGTCCATCTATTATGGAACTGGTCAGTCTCGTGATGAGAAAGTGACTTGTTTTGATTTGCACAGGGGTGCCCTGTAAGCTTGTCATGGAGCTGCGCCTACCTGTGTGGGTCTGTGTGGAAAAGGCTTTCTCTCCCCAGGAGAATGGTGCTAGGTCTACCTGTTGAAGGCTCTGGGTCTGTTGTAGAAGGCCAAGTGCCCCCCATGGTTGGCTGACTGTATGGCCGAGTGTACCCCCAATGAGTGCCTGTGGATGACTATCTCTCTGTGGATGGCAAGTGTCTGGCCGTGGATGGCCAACTGTTCAGCCATGGGGGACCAGGTGTTCCCCAGTGGATGGGTGTCCCCTCCTCCGTGGCTGGGTGTCCACCGTGGGGGGTCAGGTATTCCCCGTGAATGGCCATCTGTTGGCTCTTGGAGAACAGTGCATTTTCCTGGGAACACAGCCATGGCCCCTCCACCGCCCTCTGCCACTTGGCCCATCATCAGCAGATCTGGAGGTGATGGGGGCCTGGCCTGGCTTCCCCAGTCCCTGCAGCTTCTCTGCAAGGCTCTGAGGTGTGGAGCCCATAGGGTGTGTTGCGGGGGAACCGGGGCACAGCAGGAGGCCCCCAGGTGGCTCTAGGGGTTACATCCCCTCCCTTCCCCTGCCAGGCTGAGGCCGCGGAAGGAGCAGGGCACATACGCCCTGTCCCTCATCTATGGGAAGACGGTGTACCACTACCTCATCAGCCAAGACAAGGCGGGCAAGTACTGCATTCCCGAGGGCACCAAGTTTGACACGCTCTGGCAGGTAGGCTGCCCGTGCAACTTGTTCTGGGAGATGCCGTGCTCAGATGGGGTGCCGGGCTCTGGGGAGGAGAGGAGCCTCTCTGCTAGCTGCCTGCTCCCTGCAGCTGGTGGAGTATCTGAAGCTGAAGGCGGACGGGCTCATCTACTGCCTGAAGGAGGCCTGCCCCAACAGCAGTGCCAGCAACGCCTCAGGTGACGGCAGCAGGCGGGCGGGCGGTGGGCGGGGGCGGCAGGAGACCTGGCCCCCAGCCCTCACTGTCCCTTCTGCTCCCCCAGGGGCTGCTGCTCCCACACTCCCAGCCCACCCATCCACGTTGACTCATGTGAGTTGGGGGCACCTGGAGTGTGGCCTTGGGGATGGAGCTGGGGAGTGGCTGTGGGGGAGGCTGGGATGGAGGCTGGGGTGCCTGTGGAGCGGAAGAAGCTCTCTCTCCACTGTCTCTGGGAGTCCTCAGTGGATATAGGTCTCATGAGAGGGGCTGGACGTCCCCAGCTCAGGCCTTGCTGACCCTGTGGCCTTTAGCCTCAGAGACGAATCGACACCCTCAACTCAGATGGATACACCCCTGAGCCAGGTGAGCGGGCAGAGGTGGGGACGCGGGTTGGGGCTCATGCTGAGCCGAGATCAGGGTCGCTGTCAGGGCTGTGGGGTTTCACGGGGGGCGCTGTGGGCCGGGCCAGGCTGTGGCAGTTGGCTTGGTTAACACCTGTGCACACATGTGCCCACACCCATCACACCTGCCTGTGCACATGTACGTCCCAGTGTGTACTGACGTGCAGGGAGCACACTTGGCCTTGCCTGAGGCTCCCCAGACACACGTTTGTTGAGTACCTACTATGTGTCAGTCACGTTCCGAGGTCACTGTGTGTATGAGCCACCGAACCCTCCTGACATGCCTTATGAAGTGGCTATGGTGATTAACCTCACTTTACAGATGAGAGAGGGAGGGGTCTGTCTATGGGGATGTGAGGCAGTGGTAGAGGCGGGATGTGAACCCACGATGGGCCCCAGAGCTCACATTCCTAAAATGGTCTGCTGCGGGTGCTCCTGTTTCTCATGGGTGGGCCCAGACCTGAACATGTGTATGCACAGAGAAGACACATAGTTACATGTGCACCTAGAGGCTCGCTTTTGGAGGCCTCGTAAATGTGGCTGTGTGCTGCATACGCAGACAGGGACGGGCCCGGCCATAGGCGTACACGTACGAATGCACACACATGCACACCCCAGCTGGCACAGTAACGGTGCCACGTGGATACCAATGCACACGCCCCTAGAGTCCACCCTCATGTGGCTTCATGGGGCACCCACAGCTGTGGCCAGGAGTGTATGCCAGTGTGTGCGTGTGGATGTGCAGGAACACGCATGGGCACCCACCTGCTTGTGCATGCTCCAGGGACGGCACCCTTGTCTGGGGCAGGTGCTTGTGGGGGCTGAGGCTGCCTTGCTCCCCACACCCCTGCCCCTGACCTGGGAGTGTACCGCTGTGTGTGCCCAGCACGCATAACGTCCCCAGACAAACCGCGGCCGATGCCCATGGACACGAGCGTGTATGAGAGCCCCTACAGCGACCCAGAGGAGCTCAAGGACAAGAAGCTCTTCCTGAAGCGCGATAACCTCCTCATAGCTGACATTGAACTTGGCTGCGGCAACTTTGGCTCAGTGCGCCAGGGCGTGTACCGCATGCGCAAGTATGGCCGCCCCTGCCGTGGTGGGAGCACCGCCGCCTGGGGCAGAGGGGAGTGGCTTCACCGGGCTGTGGGACGGGAGCCGGGATGTCTGTCTCACAGCAGTTTGCCTGGGAAACAGACTCTGGGGCAGGACGTTGCACGCTGGAGGATTCCCTGAGAGAGCTCGGGACACCTGACGGGGGTGGGATGGGGCCTGGGCAGGGGGAGGCTGTGGAGCTGAAGTTCCCAACCCAGGGGAGCTGCAGTGGGGTCCCCGATCCCTGAGTCCACTGGCCCCTGACAGGCTGCCCCTGGGGAGGGTGTCACTTTGGATTCTTTTTGGCGATGGGCTGTTCCCGGTGAGCGATCCGGCTGTGAGCCGTCCTCAGCAGACGCTCCAGGCTGCAGGGACATTGAGCGCCTTGGTCCCAGCCTGGGTGGCGACTACAGTTGTCTACCACACAACTCAAGGGAGAAGAGAGATGGGTGGGTGGGGGTGTGGGGCCGAGCAGGGCCGGTGCCCCTCGCCCACGTGCCTCCCGTGGCCGGGTCGGGCAGGAAGCAGATCGACGTGGCCATCAAGGTGCTGAAGCAGGGCACGGAGAAGGCAGACACGGAAGAGATGATGCGCGAGGCGCAGATCATGCACCAGCTGGACAACCCCTACATCGTGCGGCTCATTGGCGTCTGCCAGGCCGAGGCCCTCATGCTGGTCATGGAGATGGCTGGGGGCGGGCCGCTGCACAAGTTCCTGGTCGGCAAGAGGTGAGCACCGGGTGGGCCCGGCCATCGGGTGGGTGGGGCCGGGGCCCATCCTGGGCATGGTGGACATGCACCCGCGTGCATGCGTGTGTGGGAAGCCGGGGCACTTCCACACCATCGTGGACACACTCTCAGCCTGCACACCCACACCCATACCCATGCCTGCAAAGCAGAGCTAACCCTCAGTCCACCATTGCACCAGTGCGGTAATAACAGTGTCTACCTCCAGGGCCTTTGCGAGGATCGAATGAGTCGGCACCTATAAAGGGCACTGCTAGGGCCGGGTGCGGTGGCTCATGCCTGTAATTCCAGCACTTTGGGAGGCCAAGGCGGGTGGATCATGAGGTCAAGAGATCCAGACCATCCTGGCCAACATGGTGAAACCCCGTCCTTACTAAAAATACAAAAGATTAGCTGGGCGTGGTGGTGGGCGCCTCCCAGCTACTCAGGAGGCTGAGGCAGGAGAATCGCTTGAACCCACGAGGCGGAGCTTGCAGTGAGCCGAGATTGTGCCACTGCACTCCAGCCTGGGGACAGAGCGAAACTCCATCTCAAAAAAATAAATAAATAAAAATAAATAAAGGGCACTGCTAGTAAGAGCTTTGTACACATCAGCTGCTCCCCAGACTCCCTGGGCCAAATTCATGGCCCCTGGGAAAGTGCCCATTGCCAGTTATCTGGAACCTGCCCTTTGTTTACGTGCTGCGTGGTTTTCTATTTTTAATTTTTTTTTTTTTAAAGAAACAAAAACGAAGATGTGACAGAGATCACTTGTGGCCTGTAAAGGCTAAAATCCTTACTATCCGGCCCTTTACTGAAAAGTTTTGCAGTTTCATTTGTGGTTCCTCATCCCCAAACTCTTACCCTCACAGACACAAGTTCTGCACTCCCCAAGGCACGTTTTTGCTGATCTGTGCCCTCTGGCTGGTGCACACACCTTCCCAGTGTGCCCCTGGCTCCCACATTCAGTCATTTGACAGGTGTTTATTGGACAGTTTCTCAGTGACAGGAACTGTTAGTAGCACTTGGGATTCATTAGCGAATAAACAAGGCAGAGATCCATGCTCTGTATTCTGGTTGGAGAAGAGAGACAGTAAGTAACAATCCTGATGAAATCTAGAGCATGTGGGAAGATAGTGTGGTGGGCACAAGCCTGCCGCAGCTCCAGGGGGTTGGGAGTGTTGGGGTGCGAGGTGCAGTGAGCAGGGAGGTTTGAACAAACTGAGGGAGGCCGCCATGCCCAGACGTGGGGAAGGGCATTCCAGGCAAAGGGCACCGCCTGTGCAGAGGCCCTGAGGTGGTCCCGTGCCTCGTGTGGTGCGGGCAGGGAGGGGATGAGCAGACCGTGCCAGGCCTTGCGGGCTGCCAGGAGGACTTGGAGTTTTACCCTGAGTTGGGTGGGAGCTAGGGGGTGCTGTGAGCAGAGGAGGGGGAGGACCTGACTCAGGGGCAGAGAGGACAAGACAGTGGGAGACAGGAGGGAGCGAGGGCCTGGGCGGAGCTGACTATTCCTGCCTGGGGGTCCAGGTGAGTGATGCTGCGGCTGCTTCCCGGTGGCAGAGGCAGAGATGAGGAGTGCGGTGGATTCTGGAGAGATTCTGACACCAGAACTGCCAGGGTTTGCTGATGGATTGGGTGTGAGAGAAAGAGGAGCTGCTGGAGAGGACAGTGGAGGAGCCATATGTGTGTGCACATGGGGATGGGGACAATCAGGCCACATTATCTTTGAGATGCCTGTGAGACCTCAGCACGTCGAGGGTGCAGGCATAGGTCTAGACTTGGGAGTCGTAGCGTGTGGGTGATCCCTAAAGCCTTGAGACTGGATGAAGGCAGGAGTTTTGCCTGTTTTGTTCACTGCTGTGTCCCCAGCCCCACGCCTGGCACACAGCAGGTGCTCAATAAGCGTTTTTGAACACATGGTCACCTGGCTCATGCCCAGCTGGGTCAGAGAAGCATGCTTTGCCCCTGGGAACTTGGCTAGTCTTCTCCCAGCTGACCCCGCCTTCCCCGCCACCCCAGGGAGGAGATCCCTGTGAGCAATGTGGCCGAGCTGCTGCACCAGGTGTCCATGGGGATGAAGTACCTGGAGGAGAAGAACTTTGTGCACCGTGACCTGGCGGCCCGCAACGTCCTGCTGGTTAACCGGCACTACGCCAAGATCAGCGACTTTGGCCTCTCCAAAGCACTGGGTGCCGACGACAGCTACTACACTGTAAGCCTCTGCCCCTGTGATGCCCGACTGGATGGGCTGGGTGGGTAGAGGGTCCCTGACCCCTGATCCAGCAGCATCTCCCCCTCCCCAGGCCCGCTCAGCAGGGAAGTGGCCGCTCAAGTGGTACGCACCCGAATGCATCAACTTCCGCAAGTTCTCCAGCCGCAGCGATGTCTGGAGCTATGGGGTCACCATGTGGGAGGCCTTGTCCTACGGCCAGAAGCCCTACAAGGCAGGCGCGGGCAGAGGCAGGTGGGCGGTGTGGTGGGGAGGGGGATGAGGAGGAGGACACTGGTCACTCACAGGTGTCTCTGCCCCGGCTTGAGCAGAAGATGAAAGGGCCGGAGGTCATGGCCTTCATCGAGCAGGGCAAGCGGATGGAGTGCCCACCAGAGTGTCCACCCGAACTGTACGCACTCATGAGTGACTGCTGGATCTACAAGTGAGTGCCAGTGGGGAGGGGACCCGGCTGGGCTGACCCCTGGAAAGTCCTGGTGCCCGATGAGTTGATGTCAATATAACTCTACCCAATGTCATCTCACCCAAAGCCCTTCACCCAGTTCATAGCCTTTGCAGCTGCCCCCTACCCCCACACCCAGCTCTCCAACACACCAGGGTTTGCTGTCCTGCTCCAGTGTGCCACACCCTGCCATCCCACCTGTGGGCCTGTGCCTCAGCATCTAAAACCTCAGCCATCACTCAACACATGGACCCTGCAACACGCAAACAGGTCCATACTCTGCTACTCAACCTATGACACTGACACTCAGGGCATGAGATGATTCTCCAGTACCCAACACTCCAGTCCCCACCAGCCAGCACACAGCACCCAACTACCAGACAGGTGAGCACTGAGGTACCAAATACTCATCTATTCCAGCCCCCACCTCTGCCTGGTTGAAGCCCAACCTTCAGACATCTCAACTCCTAACACCATCAGTATCCCAACTTCCCATCAGACAACAGGCAACACACCCCCAGACAAGCGGACGCCCTAGACTGCCCATGCAATGTGTGGACACTGTAACGCATGACCCCCCACCGGCCAGCACTTAGCATGCTGACACCCCAACACCCAAGCAGCCCAACAGATAGACACCCTCTCTGGCTGGCCCACCCTCCTGCGACATGTGTTAATTCCACCTCCATCAGGAAACACCCAGGGCACCACACCCCAGTACCCAAAGAGGCTAGCACCTAGCACCCCAACACAGTCCATGGATACCCCATGCACAGTACCGTTAATACTGCCGCTCCCCGCTGGCCAGACCCACTGCCATGCTCCAGGCTTCTGCTGATCACCAGCCTTGCACTCCCTCTCATCTAAGCCCCAGCACACTGATACCCTGGCCCCAGGTGCATGCACAGAGCATCAGCTTTCTATATCCCAGGTCCCCGTGGTCAATAGTTGCCACTCTGACACCAAGTCCACTCAGTCCCCTGAGTCCTCACTGGTCAACGCTCGGTAGAGGGGTCATCCCAGCACCCTGTGTGTGGGCAGCTCTGCCTCCTTAGGCTGTGTGGCATTGCCCAACGCTCTCACACCCCAGAGTCCTCTCCACCACCCAATGTCCCGCCACCCCAACAGCCCTGCTGACTTTCTGAGCCCCAAAAGTCTACCTCAGCCAAGCACAGTGCATGCCCACCCACTGGTGAAGCTGGGTCCTGGGGGCGTGGTCAGCAGCCTGGATGTACCCCACGCCCCACAGGTGGGAGGATCGCCCCGACTTCCTGACCGTGGAGCAGCGCATGCGAGCCTGTTACTACAGCCTGGCCAGCAAGGTGGAAGGGCCCCCAGGCAGCACACAGAAGGCTGAGGCTGCCTGTGCCTGAGCTCCCGCTGCCCAGGGGAGCCCTCCACGCCGGCTCTTCCCCACCCTCAGCCCCACCCCAGGTCCTGCAGTCTGGCTGAGCCCTGCTTGGTTGTCTCCACACACAGCTGGGCTGTGGTAGGGGGTGTCTCAGGCCACACCGGCCTTGCATTGCCTGCCTGGCCCCCTGTCCTCTCTGGCTGGGGAGCAGGGAGGTCCGGGAGGGTGCGGCTGTGCAGCCTGTCCTGGGCTGGTGGCTCCCGGAGGGCCCTGAGCTGAGGGCATTGCTTACACGGATGCCTTCCCCTGGGCCCTGACATTGGAGCCTGGGCATCCTCAGGTGGTCAGGCGTAGATCACCAGAATAAACCCAGCTTCCCTCTTGTCTGAGCGCCCTCATCTTTTCCGGGGTGAGGGTAGGTGTCAGGGGAGGGGTGGGTTATGAAAAGTGCATGGAGGTGACTGTTCTTGTGTGGACTGAGCCTGGAAGTGACCCCTGGGAAGATGGGGCTGGGTCCCACTCTCCACCCTAGGGACACCTTCATGTGAGTGAGCGGCTGGGGTGGAGTGGGGAACCTGAGGCCAGGCGGGTGTGGGCCCAAGGGCTGCGTGCCTGGCTGAGCCCAGCTCCCCTGTGTGGAGATGAGTGTGCCCCATGCCAGGTGCACGTTAGGATCACCTGGAGCTATTTTAACAAACGCTAACCCCCCCTCCCCCATCCAGCTGGGGTCTTCACCCCCCCAGGGGTGCCTTGCAAATCATGAGATACAATGCTTTTCATTGGTAGATGCACGTATTAGCTCCCGTATGAACCGTATTACTGAATTTGAATCTGAAAAATACCAAAATGCAAACATTGTTTTTAAATTAATTGTTTTAAAAGCTAATGAACGAATTAAGACAAATTGCATCAATTTAGTGGTTTCTTAAATCGTGGTTTGCAGGTAGTTCAGTTTTATTAAAATTCATTTGTGAGTCGCTGAACGACTTACATTATGTAAAATATATCAGACAGTAAATGAATTGTGGCTTTCATTGCCTTTTGGTCATCATTATGTTTCATGTCATCATTATTGATGAAAGTAATCTTATTTTATAAGAAGGAGGCATTAAAAAATGGGTGTCAAGTACATTGGGAACGCTAACAGACCCACCAGAGATGTCCGCTGAGGAACCAACGAAAGAGGGTGCAGTTCCGCAGAGCACTCTCCAGGTGGCGATGTTTCCAGAGGCCGAGGCCAGCTGGGGTCAATCCCGCCCTCACTGCCTGCTTCACCTCTGCACGTCTCCTTTTCCGCTAGCAGCACGACCTCAGGCCCTCACCTCCAGGTCCCCATTCCTGTCCCCTGTTGGGGTGATCAGACCCAACACCAGGTCGTGGGGGTGACAAAGTCCGGCAGAGTCAAAGGATTGAGAAAAAGACAGTTTGAGAGATAAAAGTGGGACACCAGGGGGTCATCGCCATCATGGAGGCTGCGAAGACCCTGAGCTCTGGGAGCCCACGGTATTTATTTGTAATCCAACAAAGAAACAGGTGGTGAGAATGTGGCTGTCAAAAGGACACGTTGCATTAAGCACATGATTTACAGCTGTGATGGTTTAGCTTTTCTACGGAACATGTTCTGCTACTTGAGATAATGGGAATACAATCGATCTAGGAGCCTAGGAAGGCTAGAAGCAAGGAGCCAGCAAGTCTAGACACGTTCCAGAGGCCATTATTTCAGTCATGCAAGCCCCATCTCAGTTTCCCTCCCAACACTCAGCTTTTTCCCAACAGTCCCCTGGAAGGTGCTTGCAGGATCTTTTCTCTTGGCGGCTCTGACCAAGCCCCTTCACCCTCCTCCAGGGTTTCCAGCGCCCACGCGGACTCCCCTCTGGGCCTCTGCATTCACCGCTGCCGCTGCCTGGAAAGCTCTCCCCGTCCCCACCGGTGATGTCCCCTAGGAAAGCTCCCCGTCCCCCGGGGTGATGTCCCCTAGGAAAGCTCCCCGTCCCCTCCCGGGTGATGTCCGCTAGGAAAGCTCCCCGTCCCCCCCAGGTGATGTCCCCGAGGAAAGCTCCCCGTTCCCTCCCGGGTGATGTCCGCTAGGAAAGCTCCCCGCCCAGGCTCCCTGGGTATGGAGGAGAGGGGCTGAGGGACGCAGTTTCTGATCACTGCTTGCACACCTCCTGTGATGGGCAGCTCATCCATTACCTCTCAACGCAGCCTGGGCTGGTAAGTGAGTTACAATTCTTAGAAAGGTTTTCCAGCTGCTGACACCAACCTTGACCCCCATTCCCTTTACCGTTCCAAGACCATACAGAGCACACCTCTTCTCCAAATATCTCACTCCTCCTCTATTGATCATGTGCCTATTCCAGACGTGTGTCATGAGGCACACAGGCTCAGGGTGATAACCACTGGCATGGTGGCAGCCCACTGGGCCCTGGAGGTCCAGAGAAGCTCCTGAGCCAGCTGAGAGGGGCCAATCTGGTGGGCTTCCTGTAGGAGGGAACGCCTTAGCTGAGTTCTGAAGGGTGAGTGACATTTGGTTGGGGACCGTAAAGAAAGTATCCCAGGGAGCAGGAATAGTGTGTAGTGGGAGAGAATGTCCTTCTGGAAACAAAGAGAGGTTTTGGCGGGGCTGGAAGGCTGAGTTTGGAAATGGGAAGAAAACGCAAGGCCTGGTGCGGTGATCAAGATGGGAGGTCAGTAACATCCTCTTTGTTTCATATTTCCTGACTCCTTGGCCAGGAAGCAACTAACATCTCCATCTACCAGGTCCACGGCTTCCTAGCATTGGGTTTTACCATTTTAAAAACATTTTTTAATTTTAGATGGGAAAAATATCTTATTGTGTAAATTAAGACAAATTAGCATTTCTCTTGTAAGTGGCGAAGTTGAGCAGTGTTTTCAGATGTGCGCCAGCTTGACAGATGCCACCTCTTGCTGTGAACGTCTCATGGCCTCATGCCCAGCACAGAGCTCGCACCTTCTCAGGCCCCATCCTCTGCTCTGAGCAAAAGGCCAAGGGCGTAGGCTGCCCTGTGGCCACATGGGTGAGGATATGGTGAATCAGTTTCCTGTTCTGCTTCCATTCACCTTTTGTCCCTTCAGGGTTTCAAATTTCTCTCTTCTCTGTTGGAGGCTGGGGTCCCATGTGCCTGTAGCTTTGTCCTTGTCTGAGGTATCTCTGAGCTCAAATTAGAGGGCTGTGAAGCCCCAGGAAGGTATTTGTGGGAGGCAATTCTGATGTGCTGGGTGCCTCGAACACACAACTTCCTGTTTAATTCTCAAAACATCTGCCTGGGGTGGGGACTCTTGAACCCATTTTACAGTTGAGGAAACCAAGGCTCTGAGGACTTGGTTTACAGACCCAACATGCCCACTATCCCAAGGCCAATATGTAAGAGGCAACTCTATTGGCAGCTTTTCTGGGCTTCATTTAACAAACTCCTCTGTAGACATTAAGGTTCTGTTTAATTCATGTTCTAGAGGACAGAGGTTGTTAGCTCTCCATCTTGAGGCAAAACTCTTTGTCCCACCCTGCCCAATCAAGGCATGGAAGCCCTGTTTCTCATCTAGGAAGGGGCTGTGGTGTTCAGCTCAGCACCAACCTTATACTTCAGGGAGAGAAATGGGAAAGAAAAAAAGGGAGAAGAAAGCACATACATTCATCCTCCTCGGAACCAAACTCCTGAGTTAGGCCTTGGTTCTGGCTCCGTGGCTGCCACTAAAATCCCATGTGGCCTTGTTAAATCCCTCCCACCTCTGGCTCTCCACTTCCGCTTCTGTGGAGTTTTTATTCTAGCAATGAAACTTTTCACATATGAGCTCCTGGTTCTTTCTTATATCTGCCTGCTTTTGTCTCATAGTCTCCTGTTCTTTCTTTTCTTTGAGATAAAGTTTTGCTCTTGTTGCCCAGGCTGGAGTGCAATGGCGCGATCTTGGCTCACTGCAATCTCCACGTTCCGGGTTCAAGCGATTCTCCTGCCTCAGCCTCCTGAGTAGCTGGGACTACAGGCACCCGCCACCATGCCCAGCTAATTTTTGTATTTTTAGTAGAGATAGGGTTTCACCATATTGGTCAGGCTGGTCTTGAACTCCTGATCTCAGGTGATCCACCCGCCTCGGCCTCCCAAAGTGTTGAGATTACAGGCATGAGCCACTGCACCCGGCCTCCTGTTCTTGTTTATGGCTGTTATTCCCTTCTTTATCTCTTTGAGTTTTTAATATATTTATTGCAAAATTCTTTTAAGGTTGCACTATTATTCTCTATTTCCTCAGACGTAAATTCTTCCAGTTGGGGAGTTTGTGGAAATTTCATGAAGTGGTTGTGAATCCATTGTCTCTTCAGAATATTTCTTGCATGTGTATCTTGTAAGGGCTGTATATGAGAGCCTGTGCTCTTGGCTTCATACATTAGGGGGCCCTGCATTGGTACTAGCCTCCTAATGGGTAGGTGGTGGGGGGCTTCAACCCTTGTCTCTGGGCATCTCTGCAGTGGTCTCTTGTATACCTGGTATTTTCCTGTCATTGCTAAGTGTTTGAAGAATGGTTTCTATGTGTACTTGGTCTGCCATCTTGAATGAAAGTCCAATTTCACCATCTGTAAACATTTCACAGATGAGGCACCGGAAGTTCAGGGAGGTGGCCTGACTTGCCCCAGTCCACACAGCTAGGAGGGAGAATTTGAACCCAGCGAAACCCTATCCACTCCCCGCTCCTCGGCAGGCCCTGGCCCGGTGCTCCCCTCAGCTCTGACTCATTGCTAGCTCTGCATTCCCTGGACACCTTCTTCCTCAGAGAGCTGGGAGAATGGCCTCTACCCTGTAGACACGCTAAATAAACTCAAAATTTTGTTCTGGTGGACGAAGTGAAAAAAACCAAAACTGGCAGATTAGCTCGGTATAATATGACAAGGCCCTGGACTCTGCAGTCTGGCTGTGAGACCTCAGGGAGGTTACTTAACCTTGGGGAGCTTCAGTCTTCTCATTTGTCACATGGTGATAATAACTGTGTTTACCTTTCTGAGTAGTGATGTGAAGTGAAACAATGCATTAGTTTAGCACTTAGTAGCTGCTTATTAAATATTACTTCCTTCCATGGAGGAAAGCAAACTGGGGATGGGGCCAGGGGAATGTGATAGCTGATCCATCAAATTCCTGAAAGGTTTCATGGGCCAGAGGGAGGAGAGCTTCTCCATGGTCTGAAAAAGAGAACAGAGAATAACAGGGAAGGATCCAGGGAAGGTGACACAGCTGCAAAGTCTGTTCATTGGGGTAAAGAATAATCCCTTCAACAAATGGTACCAGGACAACTTGATTTCCACAAACAAAACAAACAAAAAGTCAGACCTCTATCTCACACATATAAAAAAACTAACTAAAATGGATCAATGACCTAAATATTAAATATAAGAGCCCAAACTGTAAAACTCTTAAGAAAACAAAGAGGTAAATATTTTTGGATTTCGCAGTGGATTCTCAGGTATAACACTCCAAGCACAAGCAATAAAAGAAAAATAGATAAACTGAACTTGATCAATATAAAAATCTTTTACTTTTTGTTTTTAATTTTTATTTGTTTTATTGTTTTTTTGAGACGGAGTCTCGCTCTGTCCCCCAGGCTGGACTGCAGTGGTGCAATCTCGGCTCACTACAATCTCTGCCTCCCGGGCTCAAGCAATCTTCCAGCCTCAGCCTCCTGAGTAGCTGGGATTGCAGGTGTCCATCACCATGACCAGCTAATTTTTGTCTTCTTAGTAGAGATGGGGTTTCACCATGTTGGCCAGGCTGGTCTCGAACTCCTGACCTCAGGTGATCCACCTGCCTTGGCCTCCCAAAGTGCTGGGATTACAGGCATGAGCCACTGTGCCTGGCCAAAAAACCTTTTAATTTTTAAATTAAAGGACATCATCAAAGGGTAGCCCAGAGAATGAGAAAAATGTTAGCAAATCATTTATCTGATAAGGATTTAGTGTTTAGAATGCATAAAGAATTCCTACAATCCAACAACAAAAAAATATCCAACTCAATTAACTGGGCAAAAGACTCGAACAGACATTTCTCCACAGATGCTATACAAATGGTTAACAAACACATGAAATGTGAACTTCATTAATCATAAGAGAAATGAAAATAAAAACCACAGTGACAAGCCACACCTCACACCTCCTAGGATGGCCGTGTGCACACACCGTAACTACGGCTGCTGAGGGTGTGGCGAAATTGGAACCCTCACACACTGTGGGTGGGGATGTGAGATGGTGCAGCCTCTGTGGAAAGCAGTTTGATGTTTCCCTACAAGGCTAAACATGGGCTGACCATCGACCCGGCAGTTCACTTTTAAGTATACACCCCAGTGAATTGAAAACAAGGTCTCAGATAATAGTAAACCAATGTTCACTGCAGCATCATTCACGATAGCCAAAAGGTTGAAACAACCCAAATGTCCATCAAATGATGAATGGATAAACAAAATGAGGTGTATACATTCCATGGAACATTATCCAGCTGATGGAACATTATCCAGCTGAAACAAGAGGGAAACTCTCTTGCCTGCTACAGCATGGAGGAAACTTGAAAATATGCTAGTGAAAGAAGCCAGACACAAAAGGACAAACATCGTATGGTTCCACTTACAGGAAATATCTAGAACAGGCAAATTCATAGAGACGGGAAGCAGATAGAAGTTACCAGGAGCTGGGGGGAGTAGGCAATGAGGAATCATGGATTCACGTTTACAGAGTTTCTGTTGGGAATGATGGAAAAGTTCGGAAATAGATAGGGGTGATGGTTGCACAACACTGTGAATGTAATTGACACTGAATTGTGCACCTAGAAAGTTAAAATGACAAATATTATTAAATATGTTTTACTACAATTTTAAAAATAGCTTAAAAAAACCCACCACCGCCACAAAATATACAGTTACTCTCTGTAAGTCCAGTGAGGATTAAAATACAATGGAAGGTCTCTTGCTCAAGCACAACCAACGTTGTCTATGCCACAATTTATAGACCTGTGTTTTTAAGTTTTGGCTTCAGCAAGGAGGTGAGCAGAACTTTCAGAGGAGGTTAAGGGCTTGGCAGATTTTGCTGGTGACACACCCGGACAGGAGTGGCCTTGATCTTGGTTTTCCCAGCCTCCAGAGCTGGGAGCAATACATTTCTGTTGTTGATGAATTACCCAGTCTAAGGCATTTTGTTGACAGCAGCACACACAGACTAAGACACAAGAGCACCAGCAACAAAAGAAAACAATGGAGAAGGTGGACTTCATGACATTGAAACTCTTTGTACAAGAAAAGTGTATCAAGAAATTGAAAAGAGAACTCACAGAATGGGCCTAGTACTTGCAAATCATATATTGGGGAAGAATCTAACATCCAACTTATATAAAGACCTTTGTATAAATCAACAATAAAAAGACAGTCTAAGTAAAAAATGGACAAAGGATTTGAACAAACATTTCTTTAAGACATACCATTGACTCATTAATGAGCACATGAAAAGATTCTCAACATTATTAATCATTAGGGAAATGCAAATGAGATAGCACTTCCAAAAGAAAAAAAAAGGTAAAGGAAAAATGGGCAAAAACAACTGTGGGAGTGGATGTGGAGAAGTCAGATCACTCGTGCATTGCTGGTGGGGATGTTACAAAGTGCAGCTGCTTTGTAAAACAGTTTGGCAGTTCTTTAAAAATTTAAACATAGATTAACCATCTGACCCAGGAATTCCACTCCTGGGTAATACTCAAGAGAATGGAAAACGTATGTTCACACAAAAACTGGTACATGAATGCATTGTGTATACAGTGGCATTATTCATAACAGCCAAAAAGTGGAAGTAACTCGAATGTCCATCAACAGATGAGTAGATAAATGTGTGGTATATACATACACGGAAGCCTTATTCAGCCATAAGAAGGAATGAAGTACTGATACATATGCCACAGCAGCCACTGACCTCAAAGACTTTACCGAGGTGACAGGATCCAGACACAAAAAGCCACATATTGTGTGATTCTATTTATATGAAGTGTTAAGCATGGGCAAATCCAGAGAGACAGAAGGTAGATAGTGGTTGCCAGGGGCTAGGGGAAGGACAGTGGGTAGTGACTGCTCATGGGCATGGAAGTTGTTTTTGGAGGTGGGGGAGGTGGCAGTGTTGATGAAATGTTCTGGAATGAGAGAGTGGTGATGGTTGCCCATCACTGTTAATACACTAAAAAGCAGTGAGCTTTATACTCTAAAATGGTTAAAGTGCATTTTGTTTGATGTGAATTTTATCTCAGTGTGAAAAAATCCTGCTGTCAGAAGAGTGTCTATTGGACCTGGCCTGTACTGGCACGAGGTTTTTTTTTTTTTTTTTTTTTTTTTTTTTTTTTGCTATTGGTGACTGGCCGAGCCATCTGTTGTGAAGATGGCTGCTTTGTAGTGTGGAAGGCTGTGGGCAGGACATGTCTGCCAACTCTAATGCAGACACTTCCCAGGAACTAATGACTATTAGTCTTTGTAATGCATCTTGAAGCCAAGTGTCTAGATTTTAAAACCCCAGTGTGGGAAACACTGACGGTGAAATTTCCCAAGTAACGGGTGGCCTGTACCTAATCCACAAGGATAGAGTGATAGGCATGTGGCTTCTCTGCCTGACTCTCCATGTCTGTGTGGTGTAAAATATCTCACCTGAGGCCATGTTTCTTACCTGTTGAAAGTTTATTAGCACAGGGCAATGGCTACATTAGGAATATTTATTCACAATGTTGATGATGGGGCTAAACCCAGAATGGTTGGGGAAAACCAGTTCCTTATAATCGATGTGTTGGTACAGTATTTATAATAAATGATTAAAAACTGTTAATCCACTTGGCAAGTTTAAAGCAGGTTTTCTTTGATCAAGAAGAAGCTCTATTTTGTTTTTTTTAAGAAGTCATGGCTCTTCCTTCTCTCTGTAATTTCGTATTGGTCTGATTTTCATCAGGCGAGGAGGCAACAGGCTGGTGGCTATGAAGAGTCCGTTCTGCTTCCCCGCCTGCCATGGGCTGGGCTAGTGAACTGCAGGGGTGTTCTCCATGGAGCAGAAGAACCAGGGTCTTTCTCACTTATGATGCTGCTAGACTGACCCCTGGTGGCCTCTGTGCTGCGACTGGCTGCGTGAGGCCAGGTGCGGGTTCTGGGCCATCCCCTCACTCCCTGTTCACTGCCATATGCTAGCTGGGCGGGGTTCCCTCCCACTCAGGGTGTTCTCAATGGGGCACCTACCCAGCATGCACTCTCCAAGGTTCCCGCCACCTCTAAAAGACACTGGATTCTAATTTTATAAAACGTACAGCACCGTAGCACTGTAAGGCCAAATTCTAGTTTCCATATATAGCTTCCCATAACATTGCTCCTGAAAGCGGAGCCACAGGCTTTCCCTCCCGTGGGAGGCCATGAGCCCGGGGCTGATTGCGGATCTCATGTGCTCTTCTTAGGTCCGTGACGGTTTAGTCTGGGAGTGCGTTTGTAGAGGGAGTATTGCTTACAGTGGATGTGACACTTCCCTTTTTTTTTTTTTTTTTTTTTTTGAGACGGAGTCTCGCTCTGTCGCCCAGGCTGGAGTGCAGTGGCGCAATCTCGGCTCACTGCAAGCTCCGCCTCCCGGGTTCACGACATTCTCCTGCCTCAGCCTCCCGAGTAGCTGAGACTACAGGCGCCCGCCACCAAGCCCGGCTAATTTTTTGTATTTTTAGTAGAGACGGGGTTTCACCGTGTTAGCCAGGATGGTCTCGATCTCCTGACCTCGGGATCCGCCTGCCTCGGCCTCCCAAAGTGCTAGGATTGCAGGCATGAGGCACCGCGCCCGGCTGACACTTCCTATTTTTACAAAAGGCACAGACTAATAGCACGCATAGTGCGCTGTCTGTGTGGGAAAGGAGGGAGATGGGAGTGCTTTTCCCAAAAGGACGTTTATAGAGCAGGGACAAGGGAATGATGGCAATAGGTCTTTCTAGGCAGCAGCAAGCCCTGCTGGCTTTGGAGTTCCGGGTGGGCAATGACTGTCAGGGGTCAGGTCTGTGAGAGTTGCTAGGAGCATGCATTCTGCAGAAGCGGGAGGGGACTGACGGCAAAGGAATTAAGTTACAGAAGGATCCTGAATGCATGAAAATTTGCAGCCCCACATTGCCTTAACTGGAAAAGGAGGTGGTGCTTTGTGGGCATAGGAATCTGATGCAGCCTCCTCTCCCTGCTGCAAAATATCTGGCTGGGAGGAATGGTCCAAATCCAGTCCCTCTAAGAACCTTGTCCCTGGACATGCTGCCGCAGTTCTGCTGAGAGGCGGGGCTGAGGCAAACGGGAGCCCAGGCTGGCGGTGGACCCAGTGGTGAGGGTGGGAGGGATGAGGGCGTGGGAGGAGGGGCCCCAGGCAGTGGCAAGGAGCTCAGGAGGCTCCAGATTGGTGGCCTCATGCCCCCTGCCAAATGAGTTCCATCCCCATCAGGAAGTTGCCATTTCTAGGGGTTTAACACTGGGAAATGTCTTTGGAATACCACAGTAACAGACAATAGGAAGTGCTACCACTTATTTATTTGGCCTCATGTTTCACACCATCCTCCTGAGGATGTTTGTTTTGCATATAGGGAAACTGAGGCTCTGAGAGGGGCAGAGTGTGCCCAAGGGCCATGATCAGTAAATGGCAGAGCCAGGACTGGAACCCAGGCCACACTCATCCATGCCACTGCACTCATGTGTACACCCAAATGGTCAACGCCCTTCCCCGCAGTGCAGCAGCAACGCACCGCAGTTAAAGCAGCTGGGCTTGTTGCTCCCTGCAGCAAGGGGGACCCAAACAACAGTGAGCTGGGGTGTCTCCTAAGAGGGTGTCAGGAAGTAGCAATTGTAGGATGTGGGCCTTGGTTATTAGCTTATTTGGGGGGTGGGTCTATGGAGTCAGGGGTTTGCTCTGGAGTGGAGGCTGGCTCAAGAGTGTCTAATGAACGCAGTCTATAGTTACACCAGAGTTAACAGTTTTTTCCTGTCTGTTGTAAAGCGAGTTGTTGAATCGCATGATGAAAGAAATGGTGTGCAGTACCATCTAAAACTCTAGACAGGAGATACTAGCCAACCATTTACAGGTAATTACGAGAAACGCAAGGACTGTTAGTCCTCGTAACAGGTCTGCAAGACAAGGGCCTAGAGCGCCTCCAGGTAATGGGCGCATGTTCCAGAAGCCAGCTGGGTTGGCTTTAGAGGTCAAGGCTTTTTCTAATAGTCACAAACTGTCCTGTTCCCCTGTGGTGTTTTTCTAGGTATAAAAAAGGAGTATTTGTTATGGCATGACCTGTCCCTTTGCTGGCTAAGAGGAAAATAAAGCTTATATGACTGTCCTTGATAACTCTAAAGAATGGACTTAGATTAGTCGGTTGGACTTTCAGAGCAGAGTGGTCTCGTTTATGGCTTCAGCTAAAATTACCAACTAGTTTTGAACTCTCTCTCTAGTCGTTTTATTCCTTTGGTGGGAACTGGAGTTTGCAGAGTATGCATGAAGAGCAAATCAAGGATCGCTACTGGAAGGTTTTGGAATCATCTATGATAATTTTACGCTGGATTGCTGGGTATTCTTTCAAAGAATGGATTACTGGAGACGTGGGTGTTGTAAATATCTGAACATATCTAACCACTCTGAATATACATGAGTGTGTGGCAGACCAATATAAGCCTGACATGGGCTAATAAGATGTAGTGTCCCACTGAAGCACAGATCGTATGGGGAGCATATTATTATAATAGCAATAAATTTCGTGTCTTTGTGTGCCTTTTGTACAGAAGCTGTAGATCACGTAGAGGCGGGTGTGTTTTGGATATACTGTATAGTTCATATTTATGTTGAGATAAAGCTGGAAATAAAATGTAATCATGTAGAATCTAAGATGGGATGAAGCTTCAAACTGTATACAGTGGCATGTTATGAATTCATAAGAAGCAACATGGGACCTAGAGGTGGTTGATCGTATAATGCTAATGGTAATTTCTTAAGATGTAGAATTTTGGAGGTTTCTGAGAGGTATGCTATTTTTAAAAAAATTCCATTAGTTCTGTTTTTCTAGAGGACTGGAGAAAACAAGGACAGTGAAATCTCTGGATTAAAGGCACAACTTCAGTGTTTCTTAATAACAGTATGTCTTAGTCCCTTTGTGTTGCTGTAAAGGAACACCTGAGGCTGAGTAATGTGTGAAGAGGTTTATTTGGCTCAGGGTTCTGCAGGCTGTAGAGGCAGCAGCATTGGCTTCTGCTGAGGGCCTTGGGCTGGGTGCACTCCTGGTGGAGGTGAAGGAGAGCCCCGTGCAGACCACACGGTGAGAAAGGGAGGAAGAGGGAGGTGGGGGAAGGTGCCAAGCTCTTTTCAACAACTAGTTCTTGTGGGCACTAAGGGTGAGCACTTAGTCCCATGAGAATGGCACCAAGCCATTCACGAGGGCTCCATCCCCTCCACCAAGCCCCACCTTCCACACTGGGGATCATATTTCAACAAGAGACTCAGCAGGGCCAAACAAACCACAGCATTGGTCTGGAAAAAGGAGTATCTCTGTCATTAGAAGTAAGTGGGGATTTTCCAGGTTGGAAAACAAAATCAAGCACTTTTTGTCACTCTGGCAGGGAAATTTTCAATCCACAGTGAATATAAACAAACAATAACCAGAATGTATTTATAATCCACGGCAGAAGGCATTTGTATGGAGTCTACTTGGAGGGGTCTGAAGGGCCTTCAAGCTCTCCAGTTCCTGCTCACGTCTACATTTAAATGTTTTATCAGGATTTCATTCACAGGGGGATGTTTTGTAACCATTATTGGCAATACCTCTAAAATTACCTGGCTTAATTAATATTGTTGCCAATTTATTTTTACAGCTATCTAATTATGGGTAACATCATGAAGAATTTTTGTTAGATTCCACTATCACCTTTTTTCATGACATCAGCTGGCCCTCCTAAGATGTAAAAGGCATCAGAACTTTCCCCATTTTCTTTTTTCAAACCAGGGGCTTGTTCTGACACTAATAGCAGCCTCTGAATTTCTCAAGACCGGTGAGATCACAGGAGTGTTTCTATAGGCTGATCTTGTTTCTTTAGCACAGTGGTCAGCCCAAACACTGCCATTAGGATCTGAGTCTTTGTATTTGAATGACCTTTTACTATTACTATAGCTAAGATAGCAAAGCATCTAAAATGTCTTTGTTATCCAACTTCTACAGGCATTTGTCAGGGTTAGAAGCCTGTTCCTAAAGCATTCAAATTTTGTGGACTAGCCCCAATCACATTTATTTATACTATCAATATAAACATTTGTTCTTTTATTTTTTCCAACCTGCCCATGTGGGAGCAAATGTTTTAGTCATCTGTGATGACCTAATTTCTGGGATTGGTCTATATTTTAAGGGTGAATTTAACTCTGTGGTAGCATTTTGAAATAGGAACAAGTAAAATTAGGACAAGGCTACTCAAAGGCATCTCTAACAAAATTACTAAAGCGTATTTTTTACATTGAGAGTTAATAATTTGGTGACAAAAAGGAATCTTTCTTCAAATTTAGCATAACTAAATCACTTTACTTGTGTGAAAATAATTCAAAATCAAAGCTGTTGAAATTTTATTTAGAGCCTTAAAGGAATGTGATGATGAGGCCTGAGTCATGCAACAGGCACCTATAACCTGTTTCTCTGATCATAGACTATCCTTTTTCTTTACCTACACTGTTTTGTAAAATGTTATAAAAAACTCATGGGCAGCAGGGAAGACCCCTTTCCTCCTAACTGTTGATCGTCATTATAATTTCCCTCTTTCTTCTCTTACACAAGGACCTCACAACTACTATACTCTCTAAATCACAATGTTAAATATAGTCTTTTCAATTGGAAAGAAAAAACATCAAGCTGTAACTAATCAAATTGCTGTAGCTCATAAGCCAGACTCATATGGAAAATGCCGTGATTCCACTAAATGTGTTTTCTGCCTGTATAAAAGAGACCTTAACCTTTTAGCTCCGGAACACTGACCCCTTTCCTTTGGAGTCTGTGTTTCCCGGATGGCTAAAACAGTCTTTTAAATGAGATTCTGATCCTTTACATTATTTCAGGTTGTCATGAAAAATCCAAATTCTAATTTCACTCCTTTGATACACAGTTTAGGTAAAAAAACATTTAAAAAAGATTATACCTTTGTTTATACGTATTTATATAAACATATAAGATACCTGGGCATAGCAGCTCATGTTTGTAATCCCAGCACTTTGGGAGGCTGACGCAGGAGGATCGCTTGCGCTCAGGAGTTTGAGACCAGAGGGGGCAACGAAGCAAGACCTCATCCCTATAAAAAACAAAAAATAAAAAAATAAAAAAAAATTAGCCAGATGTGGTGGTCCGTGTCTTTTGTCCCAGCTACCTGGGAGACTGAGGTGGGAGAGCTGCTTGGGCCTGGAAGTTCAGGGCTGCAGTGAGCCTATGATTGTGCCACTGCACTTCAGCCTGGGCGACAGAGCAAGACCCAGTCTCAAAATAAATAAAGACATCCACTATCATTTCATGTAAATATAATTATATACAACCTGTAATTTTAAATTCAACCTTGGCCTAGTACAAAGCGACTATCATGCCAACAAGTGTTCACTGTAAACAGACTGAGTTGTGTCAGATCTTCAGATTTGGTGGGTATGTTGCCACTCAAATACCTACCCTTAGAGTAATTATTTGGAAAGCACAAGTAACAGAAGAGACCCTTGTTTGTATCTTCTCCCAAGTACACAGTGTTTCTCTCAAGCCTGCTGGCGAGGCTCATGGGGTGAAATTAGAACTTAAAAAAGGAGTTTGGTCGGGGGGGGTCTCAGGCGATTGTTCTGATGAAGCAAGTTTAGAATCAATTCCTGAGATACTCTTTCTGAGGAAAAGTCTGCCAATACAGTTTTTTTCTTATCTTTTTTTTTGAGATGGAGTCTTGCTCTGTCTGTCTCCAGGCTGGAGTGCAGTGGTATGATCTTGGCTCACTGCAACCTCCACCTCCCAGGTTCAAGTAATTCTCCTGCCTCAGCCTCCTGAGTAGCTGGGATTACAGATGCACAGCACCACCCCCAGCTAATTTTTGTATTTTTAGTAGAGACGGGATTTCACCATGTTGGCCAGGGTAGTCTAGAACACCTGACCTCAGTTGATCCGCCCACCTCGGCCTCCCAAGGTGCTGGGACTACAGGTGTGAGCCCCAGCGCCTGGCCCAGTTTTTCTTTGGTTTAAGTGAGGGTTTATATGAAGCTCACCTGTATGTAGAGCTTTACACGTCATTATCTGCTTTGGTGTAGAAAGAGAATCCCAAGACTTGAATTTGTCCTGATCGTGCAAGTGCACGTAGGAAACCCTGCTGCTAACATTGTACAAGGCCTGATGTCAGCCTACACACCATAGCTCTGGTTGCACAGGAAATCTGGTGTCCCCGAGGGACAAATCACAAGTTGTCAAAACAATGAGACTTGTTCTGTGAGCTTTGGTATAAAGCAGAGAAAAGGTCAGGTTCACAATCACGCCAAATAACATTTTGACTAAATCACTCCCACCTTCATGGGGATAGTTTTGATTTCATGATGTAACTAGCCTCCAACAGAACATTTATGTTACCTAGCAAAGCCTGGCTTTAACACAGACTGGAAACAAGACAATGAGAAAAGCAAGTTGGAACAGGCAAGATTAAACCAACCGATGCGTTGTGGCGTACCGAGACTCGCCTCGTGTCTGTGTGAACTCAACAGGGACCATGGAGGAGCTGAAAGTCTTAAAATTGGAAAAGGGTCAACACACTTCTAGTTAAAAGAAAAAAAATAAAATTTAGATGTGTAGTCTTTACTACTGCACCTTACAGGCTTGGCTAAGTCATTTCCAGTCTGCACCAAGGCTCCGTTTCCAGCAGCCCCAGCTGGTATTTCTACATGGCACCCTGTGTGACTGCCACCTGTGGCTCCATTCCTCAGTAGCACACAGGTTGCTTTCCATCCAGCCTGGCTTTGGGGTATAGCTGTATTAGCAGGTAAACTGCTAAAGCATTTTAATACCAGTGGGTAAATAGCTGTTTCTAGTACCCCCAGCCCCTGTGCCATAGCCCAAGGCATCCCCCCTTGTCTCCAAGCCATCATTTAGAAATGAAAGGGCCAAAGGGGCACTGCATGCTGTGTTGCTGCTGGTAAGCTCCCACAGGTGGCCCCCAGAGCCCTCCCCCAGGCTGCCCGAGTCCCTGCTGTCTTCCCTCTGTGCCCCTGCTGTCTTCCCTCTGTGCCCCGCTTCTCTCCTTTTCTGTCTTCCTCTCACCATACAACTTCCTCAGACTGAAGGCTGGTAAAGGTTGGCCAGTGTTAGAACATGCAGTGGTGAGTTGGACACAGACTGTTCCTGAGAATGGTGACTGTGACCAGAAGGAAGGCAGCACAGTGGGTGCCATGTGAATCTGCGGTCAGCCTGACCTGGGGCCTCTGAGCCAGCACTGCCCAGCCAGGTTCCTCAAGTATAATGGAGTAACCCAACATATCCCAAAGTGTTAGCCAGGTACCTGACAGAGTCAGTATTCAATAAATGGTAGCAATTACTGCTTTTTATGAGGCCTTTTAGGATAGTGGCAGAGGGAAAACGCTTACTGGATGAATCCAAACAGGCTTTCAAGTTGTTTTCGATCAAGGACCCTCCATGATTGCCATGGGAACACACAGAACTCCATTAGACTGCAGGAAGTTCCAGCAATGAGAAGGCAAACCCCGTCTTAACCTGTCAGCTCCACAGAGTAAGGCAAGGATAAGGTGGTTTACTTTGGTGTGAGAAAATCCTAATAAATACACCTTGTGTGTAAAAAAAACCACAAAACAAGGCTTTTGAAAAAAGCATCATTTATTTCAAAGTACAACACAAAGTTGTATTTTTAAGAAATACACATTCAATCTTGTATCTCAAGACTTGGCTATGTGCATTTCAGTTCATCTTTAAAATAAGTTCAGGTATACAAATGTTACATACCTCAAGTACAAACAGCACAGAAAATGCATATGGTCTCAACTGAATGTTTTTACATTCATTCACCGTTCTTAAGTTGACTTACATTTCTGTAATCTGCTTTTAAACCAAGACAGCCTTACTTTAAAAAAATACTCTATTTTCAGCACAAAGTCCTCATACAGTTTTAAAATTAGATCTTGGCGCATAATATTGAGAAATTATTAAAAACCAAACTTGGTAATTTAACAAAATTGTCACATGCCAGGATTTCTGAATCAACTCAAATTATTTCCTTAGCTGTAATGTCAAATCTGTGTTCATACAGATAAATAAAGCATGGGGAAGACAGGTGGTGAAAACGCAGTAACGGGAAAGGTTCTCAGATGTACAGGTCTTATTAGAGTTTGTGGCTGAGTCCAGACTTTTCTCTAAAAGCACAACAGCAAATCTCATGTTATCATAATTGCAAGAAAGATCTGAAAGAAGCGAGTGGTCTGAGCCTGCCCTGCTTGGGTCTGTTTTGCAAAGAAGAGGAGGGTGGGGAGGGGAGCTGCAGTAAGAGCCTTAAAAAGATGTCTCAGAAACTGGCACATCATGATCTAGACGAGGGCCCACTATGTTTGTTTGTTTTTTGCTTAATTTAATTCTCGTGAGGAAAGTGCGAATTAGACCAAGGGTCCGAGCTTCTTCTTCCAATCGTGGGGCTCCATATCCGCCACGGGTTGTAGGTCTGTCCCAAGTCGTCAGCTGGACTGGAGGTGGAGGGAGCGTGAGGAGCAGGGGAGTTTTCTGTGCCCATGAGGCCGATGCTTGCCAGCGTGTTTGCTGGAGTGGTGAAGGGAAGGGCGCTGCTAAGGTTGCTGGACCAAATGGAGCTGCTGAATGGAGTGGTGGACCACAGGCCGCTGGTGTTACCGAGGACCGACTGCGACAAAACAGAAAGCGTCCAGCACTGAGCCCGGCAGGCAGAGGGTCAAGTGGGTAAGGGGGTAAGGCTACAGAAAAGATGAGGCTGGGGCACGCATTCCTCTTACTTTGTTTACTTTAGAACAAATGTTATATATATGTATTTGAGCAGATGTTTCTGATTTTTTTGAGACAGGGTCTTGCTCCATCACTCAGGCTGGAGTGCAGTGGTGTGATCATGCCTCACTGCAGCCTCAAACTCCTGGGCTCAAGTGATCTTCCCACCTCAGCCTCCCAAAGTGCTGGGATTACAGGCACTAGCCATCATGCCGGCTAGTTGTGATATTTTAAAAAAGACAGCTTGTGGACCAAATCCAGCTCTGCCTACTTTTGTAAAGAGAGTTGTATTGGAACACAGCTGCGCCCATCGGCCTGTGCACTGCAATGGCAGTGGTGAAGCATGGCCTTCAGAGCCTCAAATAGTTACTATCTGACTCTTTATAGAAAGTTTGCTGACTCCCACTTTGGGAGGCCGACGTGGGCGGATCACGAGGTCAGGAGATCGAGATCATCCTGGCTAACATGGTGAAACCCCGTCTCTACTAAAAATACAAAAAATTAGCCGGGTGTGGTGGTGGGCGCCTCTAGTCCCAGCTACTCAGGAGGCTGAGGCAGGAGAATGGCATGAACCCAGGAGGCGGAGCTTGCAGTGAGCCGAGATTGTGCCACTGCACTCCAGCCTGGGCTACAGAGCAAGACTCTGTCTCAAAAAAAAAAAAAAAAAGTTTGCTGACTTCTCTTTTAAAGAATGGTTAAGGTGGTTTTAAAACATAAGGCTGAATAATTACACATGAAGACAACCTTTGGAATCTGTAAAGTTGAAATATCTGTTATAAAACCTTGCATGTTTAGTTTCTCTGAGAACAAAGAGGCAAACACAGTGGGGTCATATTTTTCTGTCATAATTTTGTGGAAGCCAAAACCACTAATTATTTTCCTTGGCAAGAATACTCTTTTCAGCATGGTCTTTGCAGAAGACTTTAGCCAAGAAGCAAACAAATGCACTCTTGAAAATCTAACCTAAGAGACAGGTGCTTCTCAGCAACAAAGTAAATGCAGTATCTAGCTTGCTCCTGGGTGGCCAGTGGCTGCATTGCACAGATGCCGAAGGCTTCCCTCAACCATCTGAACCTGCCATAGGCCTATGGTCACCCTTGTGGTCCATTTACAGGTTGGGAAGAGGCAGAAAATGCCCTTGAGCTATTAGGAGGGACTCCAGAGACCAACCCCATAGCTGTTCAGTTGTTCTTCCTAAAACTTCCTGATTGTAATGGCTCTGAAGAACATCGATCAGTCATTTTGACAGAATATGAAGACAAAGCAATGGAGACAATAAAAGTACTAACCCACCCCTCTGATGCTGCTGTTTGTTGTTTATAACTATGTCAGTGCCATCCATGTCACAGCAATGGCAGATGGCGAGTGGGTGGGCCAGGTCCAGGCCCCAGCCCCAGCCCCAAGTACTCACTGTGGCTGTGTGGGTCGGGGAGCCGGAACTGGCTGGCCAGGAAGGACTGGGATCTGTCGCTGGCGACTCCCAAAGGTATGAAGGGCCACTATTAAACTCGTTCCAGCTCCTCTGTGAGGCCTGATTGCACGATCGAGATAATCCGAGTTTGCTGAAAACTTCTGGAAATAAAGCAACAGTCATCAAGTCCATATTTGGTTTTGCCATGATCACTATAGCATATGGGGCTTCACTCAATGGCATACCTCCAACCACTGCTCCTGGAGCCACCACACCCACTTCACCAGCCCACCACAGCCCAGAGGAAGTAGGGGCAGGAGTGTCCTCCAGAACTCAAACGCATAGTGCACGAGCTGATATGCCACCAATGACATCCAAATGCAAACTTTCCCCACTCTCACATGATAGCTAATGGGAAGCTTCCATGGTGACCTCTAGTTCTGGACAGCAAGAAGAGGACCCCTGGCACACTCAGGGGTCCCATTTCAGACCAGAACCCTTCTGTGAAGCCCTTCAATACCCGCCATGGAACTCACACCAACTGGTGTGCGCACACCGTGTCGAGCCTGGTCCACTGCCCCTCTGGGCTGCTGGTGTGGATGAGGGAGGAAGAGGGGAGGGGACCCTTCCCAGGGAGCTTCCTGCGGGGCCTCTTCCACAGTGCTGCTGTGCTGTGTTCTCCAGCACACAAAACCACACCTCCTCTCCCTTCCTCTGTCCACAGGCTTATTAGTTACACATCTAGTGTTAAACACTCACCACCAGTTAGATTAAAAGAGTTTCCAAAGGCGGAGAACGAATTGAGGGGAGTGAAGTCAGGGCTGCTTGGGTTGCTGACGGGACTCCACAAACCCGAGCTAAATGTTACAAGAGGAAAACGCAACACACAAAAATGTATGGTGGTTAGTGCAAACGGATCCATAGTGCACAGCTTCACAAACAGGAGACACTGCTTCAACTGGGGGTACTCAAATATTAAAAACAGACAAAAGGAAGAGCTGAACAATGGCTGCTTACCACAAGGGTTGAGTCGGAGGGAGCCCCAGAGCTCCGGATGCCCTATCACTAGCTCACAGCCAGGTTCAAAGCAAGTGTTTTGCAGAGAAACAGACATTTTTTCCTTCTGTTTGCTTTTTGGTACTGGAAGATTTATTTAAAAACTATTTCAAATCTAGAACTCATTTCCTATTAGTGCAAAGTAGGTAAATTGGGGCTCTATTGTTGCTTATCTGGAAAAGTCAACCAAGGTGACTGCTGCAGGCCACCACACCCCCTGCATGATAAACAAGCCTGCTCAAGAAAGAGGCGTGGCCAGTGATTTACTATAAATTGGCTAGTATTTGCTCCAGATTTCCCCCCTCCCAAGTCACTTTCGCTCTTCTATTTTTAATGATCAGATCACATCTTACCACAGACCAGGAGATGGAGGAGAGTGAGAACAGGTGTAACGTGTGTCTGCCTGGCTGAGACAGGCATGGGTGCCCCCTTTCTCTATCTGGACCCCCTGGGGAAGGCACCGCAGCCGGCTTTCTGCTTCCACCCAGCAGACATGATTTCTTAGAGGCACTTGACCACTTCTGACAAATGCCTCCTTGTAAATTAGGGGAAAAATGCCCTGAAACCCATTTATGGATAAAAAGGTGCTAACCCGACTTGAGAAGCCTTCCGTCTTTCTAGCGGTTAGTGGTGGTCTACCGTACCTGTCTGAGCCATCGCTGTCAACAGGAGCGTGTGAAATGCCAAGGCTGCTGGAGAAACCTGTTTTGTTTGAAGAAACTTTAGCAAAGCCATTCCCACCTGTAACAATGGACGTTCAATCAATGGAAGGCACATTAGGACAGAGGTCATTCCACCAGGCCTGGCGCCTGGCGTGGCAGGTCTCTGAAGCAAAGGCACTGACCTGGGCTCTTGTCGTAGCCAGCCGTGACTGCAGCAAAAGTGGGGTTGCCGTTCTTGCCCGGGAGCGAGGCTGCCTTTGTCAACTTGTGTTTGCTTCCATTTGGCTGTTTTATTTTAGGGTCACTTGAAAAAGAAGCAAAGAGAGAACTCATTCCTCATCAGCAGTGCCCTGTCTCGGGGAGGTGTGGGGCTGGCAGGACTGAGCCCTGAGTGGGCTTCTCTGCAGCGGGGCAGCTCACAGAGCATCGCTCAGCCTCATGTCACATGCTCTGGGGCCTCAGACTGCTTAATCAGACAGAGATAGAGGGCTTTCTGGAGAAAGGTAAGAAAACAAAAGATCACTATGAAAGAGACCAGGGCAGGGATCACAATTTAGGGACTGGCAGAGGCTTCGATCACACTTTTGTGAAGAATGCTAGAGAGCCACTCGGCAGGAAATGCAGAGGGCAGCCACCGACACCGGAAAGGGCGGGGCCTCAGGGAGTCTCCTTCCCTGCCAGGACACGGCGAGGTGCTCCTGTGGCAAGGCCCAGAAGCGGGGTGGCTCCCCCAGCCTCAGTGGTTACTGCCTCTTGGGCAACGGCGGGGAGGACCTGACCCTAGGCTGGCCGGTGACGCGATGCACAGAAACCCACGCCACGGCGAGGCACACGGTGAGAGTGCCATCCGTGACTGTCAGGCTTGCGGTACACTGTGGCAGGCGGACACGAGTGAGGCTCCGTGCCTCGGAGAACAGCATGCTTCCTGCATCCTGTCTGTGTGGTCAGGAGGCTGCCCTCCCGGGTGCACACATCCCCTACTGCAGCACCTCACCCAGCACAACGGTCTTGGACCAGGTCCTGCCCTTCTAAGTCCTAAGCCAAATTGTCCAAAGGCCAAAATTAGTGTCACATAAACCCATACTCCCAACTCACAGGAATCCCCTTTAGGTCTTCATGTAAGGCTTAGTAAATGTTCATTGGCTCACTGAGAATATCACTCTAGTGAGTTAAATGGTGCATTTCTCGGTCCACAGGTGGTAAGAATGAATGGATTAGAATGGGAACCGGGTTACTGTTGGAGCTGGGCACAGCAGCAGGAAGCGGGGGTGGACCCCAGGTAAAAGGGTCCACACAAGCTGGCAGCCATCAGAAGTAACACCAGACAGTGGCCTGTGGCCGCTAAGTGTTTCCATTTAAAGGGTGTGACATCGGGTTTTAGGCACATTTCAAGCTGAGAACCGGAAAGGAAGCAGCAGGCCTACCTGCTGGAGCTGCTGTTGACGATGCTGCTGTAGCTGCCCCGGGCCACAAAGGGGCAGGGGGCAGCTGGGGGAGACGGGGAAGCAGGTGTCGGTGAGGTCTGGCGTTGTTTTAAGAAAATGTCTGCGTTGAGGGTTTGCAGAGAAAGTTTATAAAGACTATCAGTAGCTGGAAATTAAAAACAAACGGGCTCGTTAGTGTGGTGTTTTGATTAGCGCTCTTCCAAATCACTTTGAATGTTCTCTAAGACTATGCATAACTCAAGCCCTTCTACAAAGAAAACAAACGAAAGCTCTTAGATGTGTTCTGTTTAACAGGTTTTAAAGAGAAAGCAGCCACATCTCTCTGCACTCGGGGATTTGAGGGGAGCAAGAGCGTGCCCGGTCCCTGCTGTGTTGTGTGGCGGACAGTCAATGTCTTCACTTCTCCCACCTCAGGTAGGGGAGGAGGGTCTTCCACATCCTCCAGGGGTGGACAGCTGAGGCCGCTGCCTGGGGACCTGGAAAATCCTTGTGCCTACACGCAGGTTTACAGCTGTGGGAGGTGCAGTGTTCCGGGCTGAATCCCCAAGTTCAGTAAAGCCTCTCCATTGGCGTGACTGGGATGTGCAGCTCTGATCCCTATTAAGCTCCTAGTATATTCCTGTGCCCTTTAAAGTAATGTCTATACAGCTGTTTTAAAAATCTAAAACAGGCTGGGCACAGTGGCTCGGACCTGTAACCTCAGCACTTTGGGAGGCTGAGGTGGGAGGCTTGAGCCAGGAGTTTGAGGCTGCAGTGAGCTATAATCACACCATTGCACTCCAGCCTGACCCCATCTCTGAAATTAAAACAAAAAATTTCAGTCATAAAATAACATTCTCTACTCAGTAAACGGAAATATGTATACCTTTTATCAGAAAAATGTATCATTTTGCACATCTATTGTGTGCAACTTGGTGCTGCTGTAGCTACTGCAAGAGGAAGAAGGTGGGGGAGAGCTTGGACCTGTGAATTCCCATCACCACAGGGCACGATCCCCAGCCCAGGCCTGGCCAGCTCGCTACCTGGCTGGCCCCTCCTGCCTTGTGAGATTTCCGCGTACCCTGAGTACCCCCGGCTCCACTTCTCCCGTCCCCTCACTGCCACATTGCAGCCGCTCTGCCTGCTGCCTCTTGCTTCCCTGGTCACACCCTGTAGCACAAGCTGCTTCTCCCCTACCCCCAGGGCTCAGGGCTCAAGGTTTCCCATGTCTTGGCTAGGTCAAGCCTCCAGCATGGCCCTGCCGAGCAAAGCAGCCTTCCCTTGGAAGCCCGTGCTCTCCACTCCGCCATCCTCAGGGCTGCCTGCTACCTTCTCTCTCACCTTCCCCAGTGCTGCTGGTACTGGTGCCAGACTCACGGTCCTGTCTCCCACCCGCCCACTCTCACCCCTTGATGACATGGGCCCCTCCTCGCTGGTTCTGTGGATCTGCTGACCTGATGCCCACACTCAGGACGTGTCTCACACCGCTCTCCCATACGAGCCCTGCTCGAATCTTTGTCCCCATCAAGCTCCTCTGAGGCCTCCCATCTGACACCACGTCTACACTGTCGGCTTGCTATTTGTACAACTGTCCTGACCCTTCCCTAGCCACTTCCTCTGGCCTCGCTCCGCCCCTGCAGTGACTCGTCCCCTCAGGCAGTGCCCACACTTGGAGCAGGCTGTGCTCCGTTTTGTGTGCGCTCGATCCTCCCGAGGTGCCTGTCCTGGGGAAAGGTGCGGGCAGCTCCTGTGGGTGGAATGTGTTTCACAGGGCCCAGAACTACAGATGCTCCCAAGACAGTGATGATGAAATGAAACAGGAAAAGCAAAGGGAAGTTAGCAAAAGCCCCTACTGAACAGTGCTTGAGGTAGGAGTGAAGGGGAGACTCTGAACAGTACACGAGCTGCAATTAGAGAACGTTTTGATTCAAATATTATTAAAATTTTCCTTTGTGGCTTCTGATTTGCTTTTCCTTTTAATAACCCTTTGTATTTTTTGCCTTTTTAAATCATGAAATTATTCAAGGAGCATTTTCTCTGCAACTCATGTGGTACAGATGGTATAGGGCACCATGCTAAGGGGTGCTACTTGGGATGGAGAGATCTTTACACAGAGGCTGCACAACTCCCCCAGCGGCTACTGCCACATGCTGGCTGCACAGTCTTGGGTGGGACCAACGCTTTCACCCCAAGGAACTGCACTAAGCTTGGCACTGCCAACAGCGCTCGCAGAACTTCAGGTCTAAGCAAGACGAAACACCAAGGGAGGCGAAGGGATAAAAGGGGATGAGAAAGCTGGGGCAGAGCAGGAAGGTAAAAGTGATGGAGAGCATGTGGGACCGACTCTTCTGGGTTTCCTCCACCCATATTCTCTATCGAGTGGAGCTCTGCTGGAACATTTTAGTAACGCTGGCAGTGAGGGCAGAGAGGTCACAGGGCTTGGAACCAGTGTAAGGGACTGCTTGGCTAGAAAAACACAAAAGGACTGCACAGACGTGGGCTGAGGAGACAAGCTCTGCATCTCTTCCCCCAGTGCCCACCGTGGAGCTCTGCCCTGAGGCGCCATGCTCAGATGCACCAGCTGGCCTCTGTGGAAGAGCCAGGCAGGAAACTGAGGCATGCGGCACTGGGCCCTTCACAGTTCCTCCTCCAGAGGGCTGGCCTGCCATTTCCCACATTCCTGCCCCGAGGAGTGGCACCAAAATCTCCTGTCTGGGGTTGGGTCCTGTCATCCTTTCCCCTCCACACAGAAGGAGTGATGTCAACATGTGGCTCAGGTGCCACCAGGTGGGGATGCTGCCAGCCAGTTTGTGGCTGTGTCTGGCTGTCACCTGCTCTCCCGGCAGCATGGTTCTGCATGCTTGTGTCATTACGTCACCAACACGGCTCATGTCACCTCACTGGGCCTCAGAACACCCCTGTGAAACTGGCTCCAGGGGCTGTGTTCTGTTGCTGAAAGTGGCATCTGTTTAATGGGGAACTGCCTAAATCGTGGAGTGTTAAGCCAAGAGCCAATGGCCAGCAGAAACCTCAGGGGGCGCTAGGAAGCAGAAGCATCCCACCTGGACACACGGACCACCCACGGTCTTCTTCAAGATTTGCTGAGTGAAGGATTTAGGATTGTATCCCACCCCTGGCAAAAAGTAGTACTAAAAGGTGCCAGAAAGTCTCATGGCAAATAGGGCTACAGGATGTATCTCAGAGAGCATCTCTTTCCAGGATGTATCTACACATTCCGGCGAGAGCGTGGACGCCCTACCCGAGCCTCCAAGGCTCTCTGCCCTCATTCAGCCCAGTGAGCCTGCCCTTCGTCCAACTCCTTTCACCTTCAATGACCCGACTGTTGCTCAAACCTGACTGCATCTCTGGTCTTCCTGACTTGCCCTCTGGTACACTCCAACACAGTGGTGAGTGCGGACCAATCAGTCCTAAAGCCAGGACCTCTCTTGATCTCAAATCCCTGCTGTCAGCTGCTCCCTTTTCTGGTCTCTGTTGCCCCCTATTTCAGGTCAAGTGTCTGTAGGGTGAGGATTTCTATTTTGGTTGACTGTGCCTACTGTCTTGATTTACTGCAGGCCAAACTGGAGAAACAAGGTCAAGGTAGTGAGAAAAATAATGAAACCTTTGTGTAGGTTGCTCATGTAAAAAGATGTGGGTAAAGTTGAGAGGATGGAATTCTTACAAAAACAATTACACTATAAATGAGGAACTCATCAGGTAAAGGATAGCTAAGTCAATACTTGTATAAGGCAAACAATTCTTTAGAAGATTAACCACTCCAAACAGACCATTCCATTTTGCACATTGGGCAGTGGTGTGCTAGTATACCAGCTCCCTGAAAAAAAAAAAGCCCTGATGTGAATTGTTGAATGAGTCCCCTGATGTAAATAATCTTACCAGGACTGATTTCAACCTACGGCAGTTTAGCCACTGATTAGGCTAGTTAACAATGGGCTCTTAGCTGGCAAAGCACTGTCAATGGGTATTTTAAAGCAACATGCCCCTGAAGAGTTCCATGCCCAGAGTGGGGTGGATTGTGGGTAAGTGGAGCCCTGTGGTTTCTAAACTACTATACTTACAGCTGCCAGGTTTGTGAACTGGAACGGAATCCCACTCCGGTGGAGGAGAGTCTTTTTCACCCTCTGAGCTACTGGTGTTGCCTAATTCTTGACTATTCGGGAGGAATTTTGCTAGGGCAGGTGGTCTGTTATCCACTAACTTACTTGTACCTGCACAAAAATCAGAAAAGAACATGGTTAATGGAGAATCATTCCTTTCTTTCAGGTCTATTTCAATGAACCTTCTAATGAGGACAAGAACACAGCCTTAGCCTTGCATGACTAATAACTACTGACTGCTTACTGATAATGCACAACAATTGTTAATACGGTGCACTATGAAAAGATCCGTAAGACATGATCATAGAGAACAAGATGACAATACCTTTTGTTTTCTGGGCATTTCGTGATTTGGATCCACTTGTCATTGCAGTTGGAAGAGGAATCTTGCTTGGGAGATTTCTACGTTGCTTACTTTCCAAAGGGGGAGTATATGGTAGTTCTAATGAACTGAAAGACAATCAGGGATGGAAAATACAAATTTATTCCTCTGTTTTGGAGGACAGAAGTCATTAAGATTGTAATTCTTCTACAATACAACTGCATGCAGGAAGCTAATGTGGCTTCCTGGGGCGTTATCTACCCTTGGTCCTAACTCAGGACTGGCTGCATGCCCAACGCTGTAGCTAAGACTGCCCAGCAGACATTCAGCACTTGCAGACTGAACCTTTGCTATTCCAAGTGCTGACAATGAACTGAGGTCCATTATTTAATAATACGTAACGTGAGGGAGGATCTATCTCAGATAAGGCATAGAAAGAAAGCCCTTAGCTCCAACTTGCTGCTCAGGGCTGGAAGTGCGGTCATTCTGCCTGTGAGTCTCTCCCAGCATCTAGACCACCACCAGTGGGATTCCTGAACATGAAGATTTTGAAAGATCTCACATCTATAACATTAGAGACTCCACTATTCAAAACTGAACAAATTTTTCTCATAGAAATTATGAGGTGACCCAGAGCTAAGTTCCTGGTTACTACAGGGAGTGGGCTAGGATGAATTTTCTTCCTTATTCTTGAACTCAGGGTTAATCTTAAGCAAAAAAATTAAATATATTTTTTATTGATTTATTTAGAGTGACGCTTTCTGAAAGATATTGAGGTAAGCTTAAGATAATAAGCATGTATAAATATATCTTAAGTTTCCAAAGCTCAATAAGTGAGGTAGGAAAACCTGCTGGGAGACAGCAGCTGGAAAGAATGAATCTCTGAGAGAAATGAACTGGGTAGCTGGCCCATGGAAGACAGCATTGTGAGTAGAATACCTATATGGGCTACAAAGGCATTCTTTATGAAGCCACATCTCTAATGCCCACCAAGACCATGTCTGGGACTGGGAGGACCTCCGGAAGGAGCTCAGCTAATGTGGTCCAAGAAGGACCTTTTCCAGCAAAGGCTGAGATGCAGCTCAGAGAGCCCAGTGGCCCCTTTGGAGAAATCTTCCAAGAATCCTCAGGGATCTCTACAGAGCTCCTGGTGACAGCTGTCAGTTCAGGGCTGAGCTGATGGCTAGCTTTTCATTCCAAATCTACAAAGTCTACACAGATGGTGTAAAATGGATGCATCGCCGGCATTTTCCACATTTCAGTGTGCTTTCTGCTCCCAACCCTCAAGTGTGTGATACTACTCAGGACTCCCGGCCCCATCCTCCAAGTTCTTCACGCACCATGTTGCCTTCTGTCCTCCCAGCCCACAGGATACAGTACATTTCAGCTAGGTTCTGGGTCAGAGGCAATCTGCTGTGCTCATTCACAGGAGATTTCAAAGGTGAGAAGAGTTCCAACTTTCCCGATCTAACGGCACCATAACACCCTCATTCCCCAACATCCTCAATGTAAAGTGTGAGCTCATAAATAAACAAATACATTTAAGAAGGCTATTTACAAACATTTTATAAGGTGGTAGGGTCAAAGGACATTTTCTTTTGTTTCGTTGTATTTCACAAGTAGGTATTATATAATAATAAGTAGGTATTATATCTGGAATTAGTAAGAGAGCAAACCAAAAAGCCAAAGGGTTTCCGTTAGCCCAAATAACTAGAATTTTAGGTAGGATAACAAACTGAAGTGAAAAATCCACTGTTTATGGGCCAGATGATGAATGCTACATTATAAAATCTTTTGTATCTCTTCTACTTCTGACTGACAGGGTTATTTAAAAAACCCATCTTCTAAAAAAACCCCAAAGGCTCCCATAGTAGACACCAGCCCTCTGGTGGTGGAGGTGGTGTGGGTGTGATCTATTTTTAAGTGTGCGTGGGTAGCTATTTATACAAAACTAAATTCTGTGCCACTGTAAAAGTAATTGGTTTTTAAGAAGAAAGGTGCCAGACAACTCCTGTTATTTTTGCTGATTCATACTTTCCTAAATTAAGCCAGATGATCTCTATCAAGAATCCTTTTTTAAGGCTTCTGAATAAAATGGGTAACGGCCAACTTAATTGAAGCGATTCATTTTTTTGAGACAGAGTCTCACTCTGTCACCCAGGCTGGAGTGCAGTGGCACGATCTTGGCTCACTGTAACCTCTGCCTCCCAGGCTCAAGCAATTCTCCTGCCTCAGCCTCCTGAGTAGCTGGGATTACAGGTGTGTGCCACCATGCTTGGTTAATTTTTGTATTTTTAACAGAGATGGGGTTTCACGATGTTGGTGAGGCTGGTCTCGAAGTCCTGACCTCCGGTGATCTGCCGTCCTTGGCCTCCCAAAGTGCTGGGATTACAGTGGGATTACAGGTGTGAGCCACCGTGCCCAGACTGAAGTGATTCTTTTTAAAAAGGAAAAACAGGTGGTTCAGATGCCAGGCTTTATTTATTTATTTACTGACAGGGTCTCAGTCTGTTGCTCAGGCTAGAGTGCAGTGGTGCAATCACGGCTCTCTGCAGTCTCTAACTCCTGGGCTCAACTCCTGAGTCTCTAACTCCTGGGCTCTATGCAGTCTCTAACTCCTGCCTCAGCCTCCCTAGTAGTTGGGACTACAGGTGTGTGCCATCACACCTGGCTAATTTAAAAGAAAAACTTTTTGTAAGATAAGGTCTTGCTATATTTTCCAGGCTGATCTTGAACTCCTGGGCTCAAGCAATCCTCCTGCCTTGACCTCCCAAAGTGCTGGGATTATAGATGTGAGCTACCACACCTGGCTTATTTTTATAATATATTTTCCTCCATTTTTTAATAATAATGTTTTTCTTTTTCTTAATATTCTGAGATTTCGTATTCTTTTTATTTTTGCTTTTCACAACGTTACACCTGACTCAAGCCTGGCCTATTTTTATTCCTGTAATACACAGTACACATTTCTGTCTGGGGAGGAGAGAGGCAGAGCTGAGGACACAGCTAGGGACATGACCAGCTGTGGAGCAGGGTTTTCTGAGTGCTGACAGGTCTGGGGCTGGCGTGTGCAGTGTGGTGTTCACAGCCCTTGGGCCTGAGTTGAGAGTGTTATTTAAGCAGATTTTTACAGATAATATGATTAATCTACTTCTTTTGCTTATTTTAGATTATTACATTTATGTAAACATATACTGTTGATAAACAAATAGAAAAACAAAAGGATCAGTGAATACTCAGGGTCCTAAACCAGGGATGCCCTGGGCCCTTCCTGGTTCTGCAGAAACCTTCAGTGCCTGAGATCTGATTCCCATTCCTTGGCATCTCTGCCATAGACTACAGTTTTCCGGAGGTCTGCAGGCCCATTTCTATGTTGCCACAGCTGGAAAACACGGTTAGATCAGATTTCTGTTGCTGCAGCCCCACCCTCCTATTTCCTAGCAAGTGATTTTTTTGAGGTCAACTCTTGGGAGTGTGGATGGATGGGGCTGAGCCACTCCTCTGGCTTTATCACCTCTCACAAAGCTTCCGAAAGACAGCAATGATATATGCCTTATTAATGACATATCTTATTAAAAGATGTGTACCTGTCCTTCAGACATGTGGGGTTATATATTAACACACTAAAAGGTGACAGGAATTTCAGGAATCACTAAAGCTAGTACTGGCTGTGATTCTGAGTGACAGTGTTTGACATTTATTATCAGAATGCAGTGGAGTCACAGAATGGCTCTGTTCAGAAAGCCAACCTTCTCCGGTTATTAAAAAAACCAGTCTTTATTTGATTAAATGATTGATGAACTAATAAATTCTGACTCAATACTTTCATCCTCGAGTTCAGAAAAACAAGAGATCAGTGAGTTTAAAGAGATCAGATAAAGGAGGATAGAAGAAAGGTTGCATATAGATTTCTCCAGTTACAAAAGACAGTTTCAAGCACACGGCTTGATTTGTGTTCTGGTAATGATTTATCTTTTAACTACATATTGAGAGAGCACCGGTTATTGCTATAACTGCCCCTTGACTAGGCGGTTCAGGACTGACCACTCTAAGCTTTTTGGTTTACAAGAGAACTAAAAACCCTTGCAAAGGTAATGACACTCAAGCGACGTCTTTGACTAACTTTTCAAATGCAAATTTGCTGATGGTCAACTTGTAAAAAAAATCAGAATACAATGTAAGTCAGTGGAACAGGGATGGGGGTTAGGATTAGTGTGTTCTATCTGCTTAACAATACTAAGCTCAGGCCTGAGGGCTAATCAACAGGGCCAATTTGGTGACAGTCACCTATGGAATGGTACCTCTAAGATAATTCTTAGATGCACTGGTTTTAAAATTTATCATCATAGGAATTACTGCATGTCTGTCTACCTCACAAGATTTCTGCAAATGTAAAAATGAGGATTTTCATTATTTGGACTTATTAGCCTCATTTACTTTAAAATATCTGATCACTCACCTAAGCCTGAAAAAGGCCAAGAAGAAGAATCTCTAGCTAGTAGCCCAGTGTTATTCCTGTCCTGGGTGCCAGGATATTGGTGTCTCAGGTGGATTTCTCTCAGGAGAGATCCAAGTATGTGAACCTCCTCTTCAGAAGAGGTGGTCTCCTTTTCTCTCTCCCCTTCAAATGATCAACCACCTGATACCACTCTGCTTGACGTTCCTTCTACCTGGGCCAGACTGCTCTCAACAAATTGTGGGACCTGGTCACTTGAACTAACAATTGCCACAAAAGAGTAAATTTTAGGTACAAATACTTCATTACTAAGCACCACCATATACTGTATTATTTCATAAATTCAGGGACAAGGTTAAATTTTACTGCAGTTATCACTAATTTCTTACTAGCTTTTGGGTTCTATAGAACAGGACTGGCCCTGCCTGAAGCCATATAATCTAGGGACAGAGTCTAGGTTAGTGGTGTTTTTGCAAAACTCAAGTATGATTCCCAGGATCAGAGTAAGAATAGACCTTCCACAAATCTATGGCCCACACTTATGATGACAGACAAGCCATGTCTTCCTTTTAAATTTACACCTAATTTATTCGACTTCCTCTGTCACTTTCTACTGATCACAACCCACAAGCGGGTAGACAGCAGCTCCCGTGCTGATGACAGTTCTATACAATGAACCAGGAAAGGTATTACTGATGCACCAACACTAAAATTATCAGGTAGATGCTGAGCCAAGGTTTAATGAAAATGTGAAGTAACTTCAGTTAATAACCCAACAGTTCAACTCACTCATCTCCCTGGGGAAACAGCCTGCACAAGCCCTCCCCGGGGGCCACTGAATCCCATTCCATGGGGAGGAACTGGAGTTATTTAATGGTAGAACCGTCTGACTGGTGACACCTGCTCTGAACCATTTTTAAGGTAAGAATAAACTTTTCCAAGTTTTATGGCATGGAACTCTAGATCCCAACTGGGTTAACAATTCGACAGACTCAGAGATCTTTTGGAGGAAAGTTATGCTTGTACCTGTGGTTCAATCGTCAAGGTCATCTTTGTGCAGAAGTAAAATGGATCTCAGCCTGGGACTGAATCACCAACAGAAATTTTCCTCCTAAATTTTTATAACAGATCGTGAGCTCTGCCCTCTGCATATCTGACTTGAGAAGCATATGGCTATTCCGAGTCAACAACAGTACATATCAGGTGACAGAAAAATCCCAAGAGGAATGTGACGTAGCACCTGGATTTTGCTATCAACTCCCCTAAAAGCCAACCAGCCAGCCAAATGGCCAAATCAAAACAGCACCTGGTTTTCGCCAGCAACTTCTTTATAGACCTTATTTCTCTGTACACTTATTTCTCTCACCTGGGTTTCACATCTGTTGGGATTTCTTTCTTAATATTTAAGAGTTTTTTGCTTTTTTGCTTCACTTGAGACATTTCACTTTCATGTTTTTCAGGCATGGCTTGTTTTCCCTTTTGCTTTTCTGTATCCTGTAAAAAATGGACACTTAATTGCTGAGAAGGATTAATAAAATGACTGAAATTAGTTCCATTTTAAGATACAGACACAAAATCAAAGATGTAAAAATATACACATCATATACGTAAAAACAAACTCGTTTCTTCAAATCTGTCTTCACTGCGGTTCTGTCAATTTTTTGGCCTTCTTTAATTTGTCTCAGCTGTGTGCGGTGGCGCATGCCTGTAATCCCAGCACTCTGGGAAGCCGAGGCAGGTGGATTGCCTGAGCTCAGAAGTTCAAGACTAGTCTGGGCAACATGGTAAAACCCTGTCTCTACTAAAAATACAAAAAACTAGCTGGGCGTGGTGGCGCATGCCTGTAATCCCAGCTACTTGGGAGGCTGAGGCATGAGAATCGCTTGAACTGGGGAGGCAGGGGTTGCAGTGAGCTGAGATCATGCCACTAAACTCAGCCTGGGCGACAGAGCGAGACGCCATCTCAAAAAATAAAGTAAAATTTGTCTCGACTACGTTTTGGTGAGTTGGAGTTATAAAGAACGTCATTTTAATTTATACTCATATCCTGACTGGAGATGGTGGTGGCAGTGGCAGTAGCAAATTGGTAGCTTCTTTTCAAGCACTGGGGAGTAAAACACTGTATTTCCTTAAAAGAAAAGTTCAGTAGAGACTGCAGTATAAAGTCAAGCACTCCAGCCATGCACCCCATCCTGAGCACAACTCTCAGGACAAGAGAGCAGTGCGGCAGCCAAAGGGGCCATGCTCGCCTGCCTGCGATTGCGGCAGGGTTCCGGCTGGTTTAATGCTAAGCTAACAGCTGCTCCATCAATGGGAGGGGCTGTTTGTCCAGTTCATCCACACACATTTACGGGTCACCCGCTTGGTGCCAGGCCATAGGATTACCAAGAGGGCCCAGTTTCTCCTCCTAAGGATGGTGAAGTCTAGCAGGAGGGAGACACACGACAGACGCCAGCATGGACCTCTGCTGGGGGAATGTTACTGGCCACTGCAGCAGCACAGAAGGGCTGTCCTGCCCGCTAAAATGTGGAATCTGGAGTGGGCGGCCACATCCAAGACGCATCTTAAAGCTGTGCTACCCAGCTGGCCCAGCCAGGACCAGGAAAGTACAGAACCTGCCCCACGGATTTCTGTGGCAATCTGACTTCATTGCAGCATCTGAGTGTGAGATCAGTGGACCTGTCTCCCCAACAGGGTACACATCTACTCATGTATTATGTGTGGTTTTTTTTTTTTTGAGACAAGGTACTCACTCTGTCACCCCTGGGCTCAAGTGATCCTCTCACCTCAGCCTCCTGAGTAGCTAGGACTACAGGCACATGCCACCACACCCAGCTAATTCTTGTATTTTTTTGTAGAAATGGGGTTTCACCATGTTGCCCAGGCTGCACTCAGGTATTGCTGAACTCGCCTGGGGAGCTGCATGTGGAGTGGGCTGTGTACTAAAAGCAACCTGGTTCTTTGCCCCAGACAATCTGTGAAATACTGTGTTTACGGAAGCACTGGCAGGGACAGATGGGGAAGGACGTACTCAGCAAAGGGGACAGTGATGGCTGTGGAGGGGAGCTATAGGCATGTGGTGAATTAGCATCTACCCAAGAGCTTTAAAATTTATGATTATGAAGACAGCCTGGATTTTAATAGGTCACACCAGGTGAATCTATTTAACTGTCAAGAGTAAATAACCAGAGCTAGGGCTAAAACATCTCCCTGGCTCACATATCGTTTGAAACTACTTTGAGTTATTCATGAAGTCTTTCTTGAATACTTGACCCATCAGGTATCTTGTAAACCATGAGCTTTTCGAGGACAAGGATGTGGCCTTTTGTCCACTGTTGTTGCCTACGCACCTAGCACGTGGCCTGGCACGTGGGTGCTCAATTCCTATGTGTTGACTGAATGGGTAGAACAGAATTGGAGAAGACATGCAAGAGAAAATGACCTATCAAAGTTGTGATTTAGCTGGGAAGAAAATACACATTAACTGACAAACTGAGATCAGTTGCAGAGAAATAAAAGCACACGGCCTCTATGCAGATTGCTGAGCAGGAGGAATAACTCGTTGGAGGGGACAGGGTAGTAACCAGACAAGGAGGCCTCATGAAGGATGTGAGTTCTGAGCTGCACAAATAGCACGGAAGAAGCTGGGAACACAGGAGGGAATGAACAGGGAGCTAAGAATGACATCAGTGGGTGAGCACAGAACACTGGCCACTGGGGGCCGCTGGAGAGGGGGCCACAGTGGTGTGAGCAGGAAGAGGCTGGCAGGTGGGAAGGGAAGTGGGAGAAAGTCGTGCAGAAAATGCCTTCCGAACGCTGATGCACAGGGTTTAAACTGCTGGGATTTTACTCAAAGTTTAGCACAGGGCTTTCTGTTTCTCTGAAGTAATTTGTTAAAGTGCTATAAACTACAGAGCTCCAGAACTATTTAGGAGTTGGGCTAGGGGTAGATGGAGGACCACGGTAACGGTGAGGGAATGCAAAGGGAAAGGTGGCTAACTTGAAAGTAAGTTACATATACATTTCATTTTAAACATTTTAATGCATGTGAATGACACTGCTGGAAATCTGTAAGAAGTGATTCCTTGGTCAATAGACTAAAACTAAAAAAGAAAGTCTGTTCTACAACATTAAAGGCTATATTAGGATCAGTTTAGATTTGAAATCCATTTATCTAAAAATAAAAGCGCCAGAGTGGAATTATTACCCTTTCTTGCACACCCCATACTACTCACAGCAGTAATCTGACCCCGTCACTAAGGCCCACTGGACCCGACACTTTGCACTGCTCTTCCTGCTGTGATAACAGCCCTGGGAGCCGAGGCCTCCAACGGGCGAGGCAGCTTCTTGGCGTGCTGATGTGTCCTGGGCTGGGCTCCTCGTCCCTGGGGGCCACTAAAGCCTGGGGTCTTTCCTGGGGCCACACTCCCTCCAGGGCGGTCACCACTCTACTGCTTGGGAGTAAGCGGCCACCAAAACCCCGCTTCCAGCAGGTGCTAGGAGCAACATGACAGGAAAAACACAACCTAATTAAAATGGTAGAGTTCCTTCTCATTCTTTTGATCCTTAAAATCTGAAAGAAGTTTCATGAGGTAGAATAGTTACTATTCCAGATAGTCCCTAGCTTTCAAGCAGTGTTTCCAGTTTCTAACCATCTTACTTTAGTAACATGCTTCCAGCTGTTCTTCCCTGGAGGACATGGAGCCATTCATCCCCACAGCTGTGACTGTTGTCTGCAGGGGAATGACTCTGGAGGCACGCCCAGCACAGGAACCATTCCTCAGTAGGTGCTCATCCTAGATTTAAACATTACTTTTGTACTAAAACCAGAATCTATGAGATGGAAGGTCTTGTGAGCTGCAGGAGACCTCTCTTTCTCCCTCGTGTTTTGTTGTGTGAGATCAGCCCGTACCTCCTTGAGGAGCGGTTCTGTGTCAGGGTTGGAGGTCTCTGTGGTGGTGGAGGAGCTATCATCATCAGCCAAAGAGTCCTTCAGCTCATCTTCCTGTGGCTTTCCCTTTCCCTTCTTCTCCTTTTCCTCTTGCTTCTTAGGTGGTTTCACCTTGCGCTGAAGAGGTTTTCCTTTCCCTGAGGATAAAAATTAAAGTAAAAGAACTCTTGTTTTTGTTTCTTTTTTTTTTGAGATGGAGTCTTGCTCTGTCACCCAGGCTGGAGTGCAGTGGCGAGATCTTGGCTCACTGCAAGCTCCGCCTCCCGGGTTCACACCATTCTCCTGCCTCAGCCTCCTGAGTAGCTGGGACTACAGGCGCCCGCCACCATGCCCAGCTAATTTTTTGTATTTTTTAGTAGAGACGGGGTTTCGTCGTGTTAGCCAGGATGGTCTCAATCTCCTGACCTCGTGATCTGCCTGCCTCGGGCCTCCCAAAGTGCTGGGATTACAGGCGTGAGCCACCATGCCTGGCCAGAACTCCTGATTTTTAAATAGCTAGCTTGGAAAACAAAGCAATTACAACTTTTGTTGGAAGAGGCTGGACTCTTCTGATTAAAAAAGGTTTCTTTTTTTCTTCTCTAATTAAAGCTTTCCAAATCCATTTGACTTTGTGATGAGAACAATTTTAAAAATCAACTTTACTGAGATACAACTTATATATAATAGAACACACCCATTTTAAGGGTACAGTTCAGTGAGTTTGGACAAACTCGGCAGTTTTGACAAATCTGTATGTCTGTCTCAGAATGTTCTTATATTCTCCAAAGGGTGATAGAGCTTTGAAAAGTTACAGAAGTGAAAACCAGAGATCCTCTGACATCTGCTGGGAGATGGAAGCCTGATGGTGACATAAACAACGAGCCACTCAAGTGCTTCCCTTTAGGGGCGCTAAGAGTCCCAGCAGTGTAGCCATAATGGCTGGGTGCAAACCCTGGCAGCTTTCTACAAACTAGCTGCCTGATCATGGCCTCTCATCTGTAAGATGGAGACACAAGACCACACAGGGCTGTACTGAGGAATTACATAATCCCTGGGAATGGTAACTGGTGCATGAGTACTATGTAATGTTGTGTATATATATGGACAGAGAGTAAAATGGACATACGGAAAGCCAACTACTTGGAAAAATCTGGATGCTATCAAGACAAATGAGAACCAGCCCCGAACATATTTCCCAGCAGTGTTCTGTGTGCTGGGAACATAGTAGCAAACAACAAGCAAGCTCCTGCCCTCATGGAGCTTACAATCCAGCAGGACTAGACAGAGGCAGAGAAAGCCCCAGGTTCTAGCACCTCAGATTGTGCCTGCAAAATCACCTGGGCGGGCAGGCAGGTGCAAGCTGCAGAAGACACACAAGCCACATTTTAACCCAGTCTGTACGGGTCATAATTTCTAATACATCTTTTCGATAATGGTGACTTAATACAACTTAATTAAAACTCCAATGTTTTAGGCGTTATCCCAGAGAATGCCACCATTAATGGGAGACTCGAACCTCAGTGTTTAAAACGGGTTGGCAAACTATGGCCCATGGGCCAAATCTGGCCTGCAGTCTGTTTTTTATGGCTTGTGAGCTAAGAATGATTTTTACATTTTTGAAGTGGTCGAAAAAAAGACACAAATAAGAAGAGGCAACAGAGATAGTCTGTGGCCCATAAAGCCTCAAACATTTACTACCTGGCCCTTTACAGAAAAAGTCTGCTGAGCCTGAGCTAGAAAAAGAGTAAGTAAATCGCTTAGTGATTTCCAGGAATGTCATTTCATCATTTATTGCACACTGATTACAAGAAGTGTTAGATCTGAAACCATAACTTGGATAGTAAGTCTCAAAAATTGAAGGGGCATCTCGTTTCAAGCATAGGACTGACTAGTTTGTTTAATTATAATCGTGCCACTGTGCCCCAGCTTGGACAACAGAGCAAGACCCTGCCTCAAAAAACCAAACCAAGCCAAACCAAGCCAAACCAAACCAAACCAAACCAACAAAAAACAGGCCCCTGACCTACATCGAAGAGCCAGAGCTTCTCCCCATCATGGTAGACAGGAAGGGGAGTGTCCTGCTTTGCTCCATGAGCTCTGGGATTTCTTACATTCTGAGAGTTCAACAGCCCAGGCTGAGAATACTTCAAAATTTCCCATACAGTCAAGATCAGTTCCCCATATAATAAACTTCTCACCTGCAATTATACAATTTTATCATGCTTAGGTTCATTGGGTGAGGGGCAGTAAATCTGTATAAATAATCTATATTTACAATAACCTGAAACTTCCATAATAAATATGAAATGGCTGGAAATGAATTTTCAAAAACTAAACTCAAAAAGTGAAGCTATGAGTAGACAAAAAATACCTAACATAACAATAGTTAAGTTGAAAACTTCAGTAACAAAAGATTAATTCGGCTCAGGCCTGTAATCCCAGCACTTTGGGAGGCCGAGGAGGGCGGATCACTTGAGGTCAGGAGTTTGAGACCAGCCTGGCCAATATGATGAAACCTCATCTCTACTAAAAATATAAAAATTAGCTGGGCATGGTGGCATGTGCCTGTAATCCCAGTTACTTGGGAGGCTGAGGCAGGAGAATCGCTTGAACTCAGGAGGTGGAGGTTGCAGTGGGCTGAGATCGTGCCACTGCACTCCAGCCTGGGTGACAGAGCAAGACTTCATCTCAAAAAAAAAAAAAAATTATTGCATGGAAGAGTAATTTACCCTTTTTATCTTAAAATCATCACCTTATTAACTCAATATGCAGTCCTTCGACTTCTGTCCCTAGCACCTTAACAAAAGTGATTTTGGAAAGGCTGACAAGAATCTCTAACCTGTTGAAGCCCATGATGCCTATCATTCCTCATTCTACATGACCTTCCCGTTCCACTGGACACTGTAGAATGTAGCTCCTGCCAGGCCCCACCATGAACCCCTTCTTCTGACAACTTCTTTGCTGACTCTATCTTTGCTGGTATTCCCTAGAGATCTGCCCTTGGAGCTTTTTCTCTTTTTCCTTTACATTCTCCCTAGGGCTCAATTTCATTAACATCAACAATCCAAGTCCCAAATGTCCAAAACTGAGTTAACTATCCCAAAAACATCGTGTGGATTCTCAAGTTTGTGATTATGGTTCTTAACCAGACACACTTCAGAATAACACATGGAATGTTAAAAAGAAAATACTGCAGTCTGGGCCCGACCCCTCAGGGTCTAGGCCCCACCCCTCAGAGAGATTCTGACTCAACAGTTCTGGATAGAACCTAGGGATTCTACTGTGCACCCAGGCTGAGAGCCACTGGTCCATGGTATCAACATCAATCCAACCACCCAGGCTAGGAGCTACTTCAGGGCCATGTATGATTTCTTCTGCTGTTTGGATACCCAAAAGTTCAAATGTTAGTGGGAGGGGAGACAATGTGCCTTCCCTAACCTGACTGATAATACTGGATGCCTTCCCTAACCTGACTGATAAGACTGGATGGCCGACGTCTAGCTGCAGGCAGTCTCTGTCCCCACAGGGAGTGGCCTCTGCCTCCCGCTTGCCCCTGGGTGGGCTGAAGCAGTAAGCTGACTCTCAGGGCAAGCGTGTTCCTAAGGGTCTTGTCTCTTCCTTAGGGCTGGGTTCCAGTAGAAAAACTGGCCTTCAGAGAAAGGAGAGACTCTTCCAAATCTTTTGTTAGGTCAGTAGTTCTCAAAGTGTCCCCTGTTGCCCCAGAGTCCGCATCACCTGGGACCTTGTTAGAAATGCAAATTCTATGGCCCCATTCCAGACCTACAGAACCAGAACTCTGCGGGTAGGCACAGCAATCTATTTAACAAGACCTCCAGGTGACAGTAATAATGTATGGTCAATTTAGGAATCCCAGGGCTGGGCGCAGCAGTGGCCTGTAATCCCCAAAGGTTTGGGAAGCCAAAGCAGGAGGATCACTTGAGGCCAGGTGTTCCAGACCAGCCTGGGTAAAATAGTGAGACTTCATCTCTACAAAAAATTTTAAAATAAAACTAGCTGGGTGTGGTGGCACACACCTGTAGTTCTAGCTACTCAGAAGGCTGAGGCAGGAGGATCTCTTGAGCCCAGGAGTTTGAGGTTATAGTGAGTTATGATTGCACCACTGCACTCCATCCTGGGTTACAGAGTGAGACCTTTTCTCCAAAAAAACAAAAACAAAACAAACAAAAAACAAACAAACAAAAAAAAACAAAAACAAAAACAAAAGAATACCCTGGCTTTTAGGTATAAATTCTATCCAGGTTTATCAGAGACCTGTGTTGGGGAATTGCTGGCAAAAATGCAGGGCCTCATTTCCTATTTCTCTGTCCCCTGGGAATCTCTGGTGGATAGGTGCTGTCATTCAGAACAGAATTGGGGGAATTCTGAGTCACCTGGAAGAAATGATCTAAACAATGCAATTTTACCATCAATCAATCGGTAGGAATGGATTCTACTTCTAAAACCTCAAATGCCTTTCTCATGCACCTCCACTGCCACTCCCTGAGCCCAGGGCTTCCTCAAGTGTTGCCTGGCCACCCGTAATGGCCTTGTCTCCCTGATGAGCATCTCTTCCTGCCCCACTCTCCCACCCCACTCCGTTTTCTACACTGTCAGTAGCCCTGACTTCCCTTTGAAACATTTTTAAAGCTTAGAAATGTTATCCTGTCACTCATTTTCTACAGGATAAAGTTCAAATTTGGATTCACCTACCTTACCAGTGTCTGCTCCAGCCTATCCCTAACTCTTCCATATGCTCCACCCTTGACCTATCAGGGGCAATCATTGTATAACATATATAATTATTATTTGCCAATTAAAAAAACAGAATTCAGAGGGAGACTGTCCTCTCAAAGATGAATTAATGAACTCAATGAACAGTGGGGAAGGCAGGATGTCTCCCAGCTGTACGGGAACCACAACTTAACTGGTGCATAATCAGTAATAAAAATTAACCCATCTAAATAAAGATGGTACAAGCTGAATGGAGAAGCGGTTTAGAAAAACTCGGAAGTGTGTTTCCCTTGAAGTGACCAAGTGAGAAATATGCCCAAGGTGAACCTGGTGGCAGAGAAGGAATCTTGGTAGAGCAGCCAGGTTCGTCGGGTTCACACCACTGCCCGGATGAAGCATCCCTGAGGCTGGTCACCCTGCTTGCCTGCTCCCACGATCTCCACACAGACTCCTCACCTACTGAGGTCATGCAATCATTCGGGTCTGTCTCTGGACATGAAGCTCTTCTGCGACATTCTCCCTGAGATTGCCCCTTTCCAGGCTCCCGGCATGGACCCCCTTGGCTCTATTCGTCATACAGCCTAAGCACCTAAGGGCAGGGATAAGGCCTTACTGATCTCTCCAGCCCCAGTGCCTTGCACAGCGCCCAGCACGTGGCAAGTGCTCAGCAGCATCTGCCAGGCTGCACAAGTCAGTGTTTAGCCTTCTCAACAGTGAAATATACCAATGCTGTGACCTGCTCTGAGACTCACTAACCCAAGTCCAAATGCTTATCCCATCTCAATCCTTTATAAGTAATTTATCCTATCAATAAGTAGACTGTAATGCTCTTCTAGGATTAGTGGTTATGACCAATGAGTTTGGTTTTTGTGAGATTAGTACCAATCTGTGGCTTTACAGTGAAAATTTCTACAAATGACTTTCTGATCCCATTTCAGTCTCTACACTTAGTGGAGCCCAAGATTTTCCCTAATTGGGAAATATAAATCTCATTTAAACAAACAAACAAAACACCTGGAGACTTACACTTTTGGGAAGATGGAGTAGATCTTTTCCTTATTCTTCCTGCCAAGCAAAACTAAAAACTCTAGGCAGTATACAAAAACAAAGAAGATGACTCTGAAAGGCAGAGAAGGTGACAGACTGGAGGGAGACTGGGGTCTGAGGAAAGGCATGATAGTAAGATTCCTGGGTTTTCTTTTTGCCACACACATCCACTCAGAAACACCAATGTGCACAAATAAAGCCTCGACAAAAGCCAGCTATCTCTTGCCAAAGGTGCAGGAAAGGGGCAGCCCAGCAAGACAAAGGCTCCAGGCCAACACCACGGTAAGAACTGGGGTGCCATATCCACCCATGCCAACAAAGGCCAAAGTGGGAGCCAAGACTTCCACCCTTGCAAGGCTGTAACCAGACATCCCAGCATGCTGGCGATGGTGCTATCAGGGAGGGCTAAGCAGGGAGCTGAGCCTTTCATTCCAGACAGTCAGTAATGAACGCCCTTCCTGGCCAGGCACTAAGGAGCCAACTCTCCCCTCCCTTTGCCACTGAGGTGGTGACAGAGGAGGCCGAGTGGACAGTCAGGACTTCTACCACTGCCCAGTGGTGTCAGCAAAGACAACATGGGAACCAGAACTCCCAGCCCTACCCAGCAGTAATGAGGAGCCTCCCTGCCCTTGCGAGTCAACAGAGGACAGCAGGAAACCAGCACTTCTAACTCCACCTGGCAATAAAAAGGTGGCACAACCCCTTCCTCTGCCTCTGCCAGAGCAGTCAGAGAAAGCCAGTTAAAACAGAAGGTTTAGGTAAGATCCAGTCTCAGAACATTAATACCCAAATGGTCCAGGTTTCAATCTACAGCCACTCTTCATACCAAGAATCAGAAATTTCTCAAATCAAATGAAAACACAAACAAAACAATAAACAGATGCCAACACCAAGATGAGAGAGATGTTGAAATTACCTGACAAAGCCATCATAAAAATGCTTGTTCAATGAGCAATTATGAACATGCTTGAAACAACTGAAAAAACAGCCACAGCAAAGAAATAGAAGCTAAAGAAGAACAAAATGGAAATGTCAGAACTGAAAAATATAGTAACTGAAATAAAAAGCTCACTGCATGGGCTCAATAGCAGAACAGAGGAGACAGGAAATAATCAGTAAACAAATACAGACAATTAGGAATTATGAGAGAAAATGGACTAAAAAAAAAGAACAGAGCTTCAGGGACCCGTGTAATTATAACAAAAGATCTGACATTTGTGTTATCAAAGTCTCAGAAGGAAAGGAGAAAAAGGAAGGGCTGAAGAAGTACCTAAAGAAACAATGGGTAAAAACTTCCTAAATTTGGTGAGACTAAACCTATATAGACTTAAAAAAAAAAAAAAGAGCAAACCTCAAAAAGGGTAAACAGAAACGAATCCACATCAAGATGCATTATAATCAAACTTGTGAAAACTAAAGACAAAAAAACCTTGAAATCAGCCAGAGAAAATGACACATTATCTATAAGGAAAATACAATTAGAATGACAGATTTCTCATTAGAAACCACGGAGGCTAAAAGGAAGCATTTTTCAAGTACTCAAAGAAAACAAGTGTCATTCCAGAATCCTATACTCAAATGAAAATATCCTTCAGGAATATTCAGACATTCTCAGATGAAACAAAACTCAGAGAATTCATATCCAACAGACCTACCCTAAAAAAATGGCTGAAGGAAGTTACCAAAACAGAAAGGAAATGATAAAAGAAGGAACCTTGGAGGATTAGGAAAAAAATATAAATAAAACAAGATTTCCTTCATATCTTAAGTCTTCTAAATTATGTTTGATGACTGATGCAAAAATTCAAACATTATCTGATTTGGTTCTAAATGTATGTAGAGGAAATATTTAAGACAACTGGGGGAAAGCAAAGAAACATAAAGGGAGATAAGGTTTCTATAGTTCACTTGCAATGGTAAAATGATGACCCCAGGACCATGAGAAGTTATGTACATATAATGTATACCTAGAGCAACCACTAAAAAAGAGATACACTAAAAAATGCTACAGACAAAACAGAATTCTAAAAAATATACAAGTAACCCACAAAAAGGCAGGAAAAAGAAAATAGAGAAAACAAAATAAAAATAAAATGGTAGATTTAAGTCCTAACATATCAATAAGCACATTAAAAGCAGACAGTCTACTTATGTAATTAAAAAGACAGAGATTGGCAGACTGGATTAAAAATCATGACCCAAATTATATGCTGTCTATAAGAAACGTACTTCAAATACAATGATATAGGCAGGTTGAAGTAAAAGGATGGAAAAAAAATCATGGAAACATTAATTAAAGGAAAGCAGGTGGCTATATTAATACTAGATGAACTTGAGAGGAAAGAAAATTACTAGAAACAAAGAAGGACATGATATAATGATAAAACAGTCAATCCACCAAGAAGTTACAGCAATGTTAAATGTAAATGCATCAAACAAAAGCACTGAAAACTATGTAAAGCAGAAACATCTAAAAGAGAAATCCACAATTACATTTGGAGATGTCAACAACCTTCTCTCAACAGTATAACAACTAGACAGAAAAATCAGGAAAGAACTTAACACCATTATCAACCAACAGACTCTAATGGACATTTATAAACTAGTCCACACAAAACAGGAGAATATACATTCTTTTCAAGTGCCCATGGGTCATAAGCCAAGACAGACCATATACTGGGCCATAAAACAAACCTCAACACATTTAAAAGAAGTGAAATCATTTAACACATTTAAAAGAAATGAAATCAAAAGAAGTGAAATCATTCTCCCAACTAAAGTGGATTCAAAGTAGAAAGCAATAACAGAAAGATAGGAAAAGTCTCCAATCTTGGAAGACTGGAAACTAAGCAACACACTTCTAAATTATTCATGGGTCACAGAAAGTCTCAAAAGAAAAAAAATGGAAGGGAATGAAACTGAAAGTTCCATATATCAAAATTTGTGGGACATCAATAAAGCAGGGGTGAGGAGGAAATTTATAGCACTAAAAGCATACATAAAACGGGGGGGAAAGTCCTGTATTAACAATTAAAGCTTCCACTTTACATAACTAAAAAAAGAGCAGAAAAATAAATCTAAAGTAAGCAGGACAAAGATAATAACAAAGATAAGAACAGAAGGCGCTGTGATTGAAACAGATAAGCAACGGAGAAAAATCAATGAAACACAAAGCTGTTCTTTGATTAGATCAGTAAAACTGACAAACCTAGCAAGACTGACCAAAAACCCCAAAAAATGAACAAAAATAACTAAAAAAGACACAAATTACCAATATCAGAAACAAAACAGAATATTCCTATAGACCCTACAGACATCAACATGATGGTAAGGGAATACTATAAACAACTCTATTCACATAAATGTGGTAACTTAGATGAAATGATGGACCACTTGATTAAAAAACACTACTACCACAACTCACTGAATATGAAACAGATGATGTGAACAGCCCTGTAACTATTAGGAAAGTGACTTAAAAATTAACATCTTCCCCCCACTTTAAGTCAAAGTGAACTCCAAACTAAGTTTCACACTTCATACAAGATGAACTCAAAATGAATCATGGACTATAAAAGGATAAAAAGACACACTACAGGCAAGTAAAAATTATTTGCAAACCACATATCTGACAAAGTACTAGTATTTAGAATGTGTAAATGACTCTCAAAATCAATAGTAGAAAAACCCAAACAATCCAATTAAAACAATGGGCAAAAGACATGAAGAAGGTATTTTACCAAGGAAAACATACAGATGTCAAATAAGCACATGAAAATATATTCAATATCATTATCCATTAGAAAATAACTGCAAATAAAAACCACAAAGAGGTATCACTACACACTTATCAGAATGGATTCAACAGAAAAAAATGAAGATGCTGCTGAGGATGTGGAGAACCTGGATCACTCCTACGTTGCTGGTGGGAATGTAATACAGCACAGTCATTAGAGAAAACGTTTTTGCAGTTTCTTAAAAAATGAAATATGCAACTATCATAAGACCCAACAAATTCACTCCTGGGCACATATCCTAGAGAAATGAAGTTCTGTGTTCATACAAAAACTTGTACACAAATATTTGTAGCATCTTTATACATAACAGCCCCAAATTAGACATAATCCAAATGTTCTTCAATGAGCAAATGACTAAAAAACCTACAGTACATCCATAAGTTGGACTACTATTCAGCAATAAAAAGGAACGCACTGGTGAATCTCCAGAGAATTAAACTGACTCAGAAAAACCAAAATGGTACATTCCTTTTGGGGAAAAGTTCTCCTTAGTCTGGCAACTATTAATCTCCTCCATTTCTACAATTTTGTCATTTCAAGAATGTTACATAAATGGAATCATAGTTGCCAGACTAAGGGGTAGGCTGAAGAAGGAGGGAAGTGAGTGTGGCTAGAAAAGGGCCCATGAGGATTCCTGTGGGCTTGGAAATGTTCTGTGTCTTGGCTGTATCAGCATCACTATCCTGGGTATAGTAATAGTGTACAGTGGTTTTGCAATGTGTTACCATTGGGAGAAACTGGGTAAAAGGTATAAGAGATCTCTGAATTTATTATTTGCACGTGAATCTACAAGCATCTCAAAATAAAAAGCTAAAAAACAAGCAAGTGGCCAGATACGATGTGGCTCACACTTGTAATCCCAGCACTTTGGGAGGCTGAGGCAGAGGGATTGCTTGAGCCCAGCATGAACAACATAGGGATACCCTGTCTCTCCAAAAATAAAAATAAAAAAATTAGGCATGGTGGTGCATACCTACAAGTTCCAGCTACTTGGGAGGCTGAGGTGGAAGAATCCCTTAAGTCTGGGAGGCTGCACTGGGCTGAGATCACACCACTGCACTCCAGCCAGTGAGACTCTGTCTTAACAAAACTCCCAAAAACCAAAAACCAAAAACTCTTTATTGACAAAAACATTTGTCTCTGACTGTGGGGTACCTTGGGGCTAACCTCAGTGTGTGGAAGAACACTTAGGCTGCTAAATGTTTAGTGTAGAGAACCACCCACTAGCTATACTTACCCATGGTCACCATAAATGCTGTGCATGTGGGGGTGACTGAGTGTTCATCTGAGAGGCACGGTGTAGGTGAGGAGCTCTCATTCAATGTGAAGATGCTGGGTTTGACGGGGGGCCGACAGAAAGGATCTATGTGAAGAACATTGCCATAGTCTCTGTAACAGAGCCACGATATCCGTTCTACTATTCGATGTCCTCAGATTCAGGCAGGAATTTAATGCCAGCAAACTGTTTTTTCCAGATGAACTCCTATGCCCCCTTTTCCTTCAGAACTATATGACATTTTTCCTCAACCATAACTGCCAGAAAATTTGCAGTTCAACTTAACACTTAATGGTAACAACTAACTTTATTCGAGGTTTCTGCTGATAGTACCGTAACTAAAAAACAGATGAAACACCAAAAACCATTTCTGACTTTTATTCATTGTTTTATATGTGCTATGATAATTTAAACTGCCTCTAATCTGTTTTAAATGTAGGCAAAGTATGAATTATCTATGTAAAAAGCATGTCCTAGACATTTACTTCGTCTTTATCTTCACTACATGCTGTGTAATGAATTTGTCTGAGCTAGGTGCTCTGAATGAATCGTTAGTCTGAGCTAGTTAGTTGCCTCTCTCCCACTTTAAATCATTTCATTTAATTGCCACCCAAAAGAACTATTTCAGGGAAGTTTCAATCACTAGCAAATGGGTTCTCTGAACATATGTGGTCCCACGTTAGGCCCTGTCATATCAGTGACAGCACCTGAGAGGGACATCTCTGGACAACCTCCAGAGAATCACCAACTGTGACCTCCAGAAAGAATTTCCCCAGGCTTCAGGGGTGCTGGCATCACACTTACGGACTTCTTCTTTTCCTGGACCTCCCATTGTCTGGGCCCCAGGCCTTATACAGGTGGACAATCTCTTATCTGTAAATCTGAAATCCAAAAAACTCTCAAAGGTTTTTTTCCCCAAACTCATTTAGAAACAAAACTTAATATGACTATATATTTTTGGTGGCTGCTGATGTTCACCTACTTTTACAGTCTTCTGCATCGTGTGGTGCATGACTACATACCTTTCCAAAATTCTGAATTCTCAAACACACGAGGCACCCAGAGTGTTGCATAAGGACTGTGGACCTCACCTCTAGCTCACTCTGACATCCCATTTCCAAGGCTGCACCTACGAACCTGGTATTGCCCAGAACTGCTTTTCCTCTGAAACCTTACACTCACACCTCCTTTTTAAACCTTAGTCTCCTAACATTCCTTGCTCCCACCATCCTCGAAATTCAATCTGTTGGATTTCCCATCCCTTGACTCATCCATGTTCTCTATCTGTGAGGTTCCTTCTGGCTAAAGGTCCTTCCCCAAGTTGCTAATTCGACACTGCCAGCACAGCACCCCACCGCTCTCCTGCCAGCACTCCTGTGACGTCCTCACTCGCTGTCTTTTTGCTGTCCCTGCCCCACAGAACTCCAGCACTGTCCTACTCCACCAACTACCCAGTTTTCATTCTTCACCACTGGGCTGCAGGGTACAAGTGAGAAAGTGACACAAACCTGAGGCAGTGCCTCAGTGGCCCTCGGCTGGGCCTCCAATGTTGCTGAAGGGGCCAGCGTACAGATCCAAGTTTCCTGCCCCTGCTGACTCCCTGGGCCTACAACATTCTCAGCAACGTGGAATCTGACTATTCCAAACTTTGTCTATTTTGTGTTTCTACCCTACCACTTCCCCCAGCAGTCTCAGAGGATGACTTAGTTCAAGTAAAAACTTCCCTAAACCCACATGCTGCCTCAAGTTGACTCCTCAAGTTCAAGTGAAAACCCGTATCCTGCCTCTCCATCTCTACCAACTCACGCACATCTGCACACCTGCGGACTGTCCATCCTTTTATCATCTACCAAACTGGGTCTCGGCCCACTCCACCACCTGGGCACATGGTTTCACCAATTATCTCCTCATTTTCTTCCCCCTCCCTCTTTTTCTTCGAGGAGGCAGCACAGTGCAGGAGTTAGAATCACACAGACTGGGTCTTGCTCCCATTCTGCCCAGCGCTGCCTTACTGGAAAACCGTAGCAAGCAGTGCCAGTCACCAGGGTGCACGAGAAATTGTGGTCACGTCTGAAACCTTGGCAAGTGTGGATCAGCACCACTGTCTCAGCTCTATAGGCTTTCTGACCTTGGCCCAGAGATATTTTCAAGCACCATGTTTCCATGTATTATTCATTTTTCATAAAAAATATTGCCTTCTTGGTTGTAACTCTCTATATTTTTTAAAAACCTACCATACAATACATGCATACTTTTTTCTTGTTAAAAATTAAATAGGGAAAATACAGGTTAAAGAGTAAAAGCTCCCAAAACACTCACTAGTTAGTGGCCACTACTAACAGTCTGATGTGAAAGTTACTCTAAGCCACAGTGACTTGGTCTCAGTCAGAGGTGATGGCGCTTCACACAAACTGTTCTTTCCAAGGTCACAAATAATGTCCTCAAGTCCAGGCTCCGCGAGCACTCTTCAGCCTCTGCTTTGCCTGGCCCTGCCTGCTGGCATGTGCTAACCACACCTTCCACTGCTTTCTGTTATGCTGTCTGTCATGCTATCTGCTGGCTGCCTTCTCGTTTGGCCTTGCCCTCAGGATTCTCTGCTTGTCCCAATTCTTACCCTTGAGACCAAGTTCCTAACAGATGCTTCTGCTGGGATGCTCCACAGCCACCTTCAACTCAGCAGGCTACAGATGGCATGTGCCACTTCCTGCCCCAATAATAACCATGGCAGTAGTGATATCCTATGATGTGGGGAGTAACTGTTCTCTTCACTTTAAAAATAACAAGTGGAGGCTCAGGGGAGTCATTTTCTCCCAAGTCACACAGTTAGTAAGGGAGCGGAGTCAAGATATAATCTGCACCTGCCTAATGGCAGAACGTGGCCTCAGGACGCCACACCTCTCTGCCTCTCCCTACCCTTGATAAAGCCAAAGCCAGAAACGAGAATGGCCACAGACGCCATCATTTCTCTGGTTAACAGACACTGAGACCCAACTGTGCCAGGCTCACGGCTTTCTTGGGTTTTAGCCCTCAATCCTGCAGTGGCTGCTGTCCAGTCCATGGGGTTTAAGTGTTAGAGGGGGGAGAAACCAAAGAAGTACAGAATCTAATGATTATTCAGCAACAAGAGTCCCTGCTCAGGCCAACCATGAACAGGCGGCATTTCTGGGCATCATCTTCCACTGGAAGCAGTGACTGGAGAGATGGCATAGCATGGCTGTGTGGCTTGCAAGCCATCCAACCGCAGAAGGCAAGATCCAGGGAGATAAACACATTCACTTGAAGAGGTCATCCTGAGCAGCTTCCAAAAACCAGAAACTACATAAGCTCATTATAAGAAATAATTTTAGTATGAGATACCAGGGGGAGAAAAAAAAGAACGTGTTGCCTCTAAAAAGAGAATGTTACTATTTAATGTAAATCTGCTATTTGCAGGGGTGTGGGGGTAGGCTTTTGAAAGATTATAAAGGTTTTGCCCAGCTGGAAGCCTATAGTTTCACAACATACTACTAGTTTGCAACCCCAAGATCAATGCCCACCTTTTAAAGTTCATTTTAAAGACTGTCTGTCTATATGCATGCTATACTTCAATAAAAACATTGAAGAAGAAAAAAAATATAGATACAGGCTCCTTCCTTTTTCCCAAACAGCATCAGTGGGAAGGATAGTGAGTAGAGTAGCCGCGCCTGCAAAGCTTCTAACCACTGTCTCCTCACAGGCTCAAGAGTCACCAATAATGTGGCATCCATGCTCCCTCACTGAGTATCTCTTAGTAGGTTGACTCTAGGACCACTGTGAAAATTAAAAAGCATTTCATTTTAAAATTTAGGTTCTCAATGAGTGACCCTGAAAATAGAATTGGCCCATCACGCTGGTGTTGGAAGACTGTGTTGACACAGGAATGAGGTAGTCAATTTGACTGCCCAACTCTTTCTTTGTGATAAGAAAGGATAATACAGATTTATTTTATTCACGCCCTAAATGTGGGGAAAACGCTATGTAACTTGATCTAATTAAAAAAGAACTTTTAAGTATTCACTTAAGATTATTCTAAAAATTACCCTAAAATATGTAAGCTCAGTTAATAATGGGTTAGCCAAAAAGGATTTCTGTAGAAGAGGTTAACCAATCATATTCAAGACATCTTACTGTTTTACAAATCCGAATGCGTGTAATTCCAAGAGAACTCAATAGAGCTAGTTTTTGTATTCCTGGGACTAAAAAATTATCTAAAACTCCTTGACTCTGGGATGTCAAGTTTCTTCTGGCCTCTTAGGGCTGCCAAGATCCCTGTTTTCCGTATAAATTGAAGCCCAAAACTCCTTGGTAAACCATTCTGGAAGGGACTGATACAGGCTTGGAATAATGTATATTAGCATGGCTGCCACAAGACAGAAAGGAAGATGCAAAAAAGCTCAGGCTGTGAAGGGATGAAATTGCAATACAACTAGAGGCTATTTACTGGTTTTTACCTTTTGATTCTGGAGCTTACAAACTGGTCTACCTATTTGTGTGTGGTGCAGACTTCCAAGCTCCCAGTGGTGCCCACCTCTTGGTATTTATGCCCTTGCGCGGTTCTCTCTCCTGGAGTGTGGGCTGGACCACACTTCGAATGAGCAGAATACTACAACATTGATGGGATGCCACTTCCCAGATTAGATAGTAAGAAACAGTGACTTCCGTCCTGCTTCCTCCTTGCCCTCTTGTTTGCTCATTCTGGGGGAGCCAACTGCCAAGCTGTGACCCGCTCTGTGGAGAGGAACCATGACAGACCTCTGGCCACAGCCAGCAAGGAGGAGCTTGGGCCCTCCGTCCAACAGTCCGTGAAGAACTGAATCCCACCATCAACTGCCTGTGTGAACGTGGAAGCAGGTCCACCTTCAGTTGAACCTTAAGATGACATCAGCCTTGGCCAACACCTTGACTGCAGTCCTGTGTCCTGTGAGGGCCATGGGACCCCGCTAAGCTGTACTCATGTCCCTGACCACAGAAACTGTGAGATAAGAGTATACGTTCTTTTAAGCCCCTGGGTTTTGAGGTCATCTGTTACTCAGAAATAGGTAATTAATACAGTAAGCAGAACTCTAAAGCAGGGTTGGCTTTTTTTGCAAAGGGCCAGATAGCAAATATTTTCAGCTCTGTGGGCCATATTGTTTTGGTCACAATTACTTAACTGTGCCATAGAAGCATGAAAGCTGAGGATATACCAACAAATGAGCATGGTTCTATTCCAATAAAACTTTATTTATAAAACCAGGTGGTGATTTGGCCCGCTAACTGTAGTCTGCCAACCCCTGCTCTAAAGTAAAGAAATCCTAATTTGGAGTTAAAAGGCAGATGATCTCCATTTTACTCCTGTGCTCAAAATTATTTTAACAATAAAACAAAAGCTAAATCTATCACAATAACACAATCTCAGGCAGCTGAAAAGAAAAGCAGATGTCCACAGAATTTCTGATTTTGGTAAACAATCTAAGAAATACAAATATATCTTTTATGACAGATACCTCTAATTGCATTTTTATGGAAAAGTTGAAGTCCAACACTGGAGATAAATCTGAGCCAGAGGAACCTACTGAATTAGTTGTTTACCACAACTATAATCTTAATAGCTCCTTAAGCACGCACTGGCTTTTCCCTCACACATCACGGATCTCCGGCAGTGGGAGATGATTACCTTTGCTTTTTGGCAATGGCGATGGAGGCTGCTCTGTAAACACTTCTAGGGCTGGGGAGTCATGGTGGTCGAAGTCTTTGTCCATGGCTTCTATGAGACTGGTGATGTCCGAGTCCTCGGAACTGTGCCTCGCGCTGCTGGCACGTTCTGGGTGGGAAGGGTGTGCGAGGGGGGCGGGAGACAGCCTTTCAGGCTGCGGCTCCTGGGGCTGAGGCACTGGCGGTGGCAGAGGAGGCTGAGGGTGCTGCTCCAGCGGGCTGTGG